>NC_000002.12:236883557-237186587 GCF_000001405.40 Homo sapiens | reverse complement strand
GACTTTACTGACATTTCTCACTTTCTTGTAGGCTCATCTTCTTCTGCCTAGATATTTCATATTGATTGCTGAATGCTTCGTCCTAGTTGCTCTCCTACTCAGAATATACAGTTCACCGTGGCTGAGCTCATTCACACCCATGACTGCAAAAGCCATGGGCCTGCCTTATGAATATCTCTCAAATCAGTCGAATTCTCTTCATCTCTATTGGCATTACCCTGGTCAGTGTTACCCTGCTCATTGCTCACCTAAACTCCTGCAACAGTGTTCTAATGTATAACACCCACCCGCATCTGTCTGATTCCCTGCTTACCCATGGCTGCCAATTCTTCACCACAGGGAAGCAAAATGAGCTTTCAAAATCCCCTTTGGAGATCCCAATTACACATATATTGGAAGAATATTTGAAGAAATATATTTGAAGAATAATATTGAAGAAATGGACAGAAATTATCAAAACCAATGAAAATTGAGACCCAAGAAGCTCAACAAATTCAAGAACAAAAGCCATAAAAAGTACTACACCCCAAAATAAGCTCAAATTGTTTTAAACGAGGGATTTAAAGTGTTGAAAGGCAGCCAGCTTTTCTCATCAGCCAGAATGATCTTATTTCATCTTTACCACTTTCCCAGGACCTCAGTGAAAATTTACCCAACATAAAGAGCACCTTTGTCCCTAACGTTACTTATAATTGCTTCTTAAATAGATAACAATATGTCTTGGAAAATTGAAAAGTAAGTGTTGGCTTTCAAACAACTCTCTCTAAAGATGTTCCCAGAGGGGATTAAGGGTGAAAGAGAGAAGTAACAGTGAAATACTGAGGGCGTGAGTCCTGTGAGACAAACAGGAACCATCCAGCTATTGTGCTTATTCGCCCATCTCAACATGAGAAACAATAGATAAGTTCCTTTTCTTTCCTCATTTCTTCATAGTCAAAGAAGATACACGTAAGAGATGTGGAGTTTCATCAACAGCACGGTTTGAAATTGAGTGTCTTAAGTATCAGGGGACGTGTCAGGCTCCGTACATGAATTATCAGATAAATTTCAAAAATTACTCTTTGGGGAGGACATAGTTACCACCTCCGTTTGCAGATGAAAAAAATAAAATCTCAGGAAACTTACACAACTGGTTAAAGATAACACATCTGAAAGTGTCAGCGTTTGCATGAAAACCCCAGTCCGTCTGACATCAGAGCCTCAAATCTGTGCTCCGGATGCAGTCAGCTTTGAGATCTGCGGCTACAGGTGTGCTATCCGGTGCTCTCTTGTCTTTATAGACTTTTCTAGGATATATGAAAATACAAAGTACTACTCTGGAATATTTGGTTAAATTCCACTTGGATAACAAAATTTTAAAAGCAGACATCCAAGTTCAGCTCCTAAGAAGGAAGGCTGAACACCCCCCAAATTAACCCGTGTAACTCCCTTTTCAAATCCATAGTCCTTCTCCTTCCCTACATTCCAGACGGATCTCAAATGTGGAAGATGGAACTGAAGCCCTGCTCACTGCTAGGCTGAGCATCAGGCTGCATTCTTGAGGAGTGGCCAATTTATTTCCTGACCTGAAGCAAGGATATCTTTTAATTTTTTTTCTCTTCATTTCCTCAGTTTGAATACTCCCAAGAAGAAGAGCTAATCCACGTGTTGGTACAATCTCTTCTGGAACAAAGGAACTGGAGCAGATGGGAAGTGTTTGATAGGAAGTTGTTTATCCTTGCCGAATAGCCCCAAAACAAATCGATAATGGTGGGAGTTTTTCTCTGGCATGTTCAATAATGACTCCACGTCCCAAGTGATCTGTGCCGCTCTCTCATCTACACCGCGGGTGCCACACCCTTCCGTAGCTGAGGGTTTCATGTCCTCTCCCTCCTTGCTTCTGCCTTATCAAAACCTGGTCTCAGAAAAAGAAAGTCTGTTCCCAGTCAATGAGTATAATTTTGTTTAAATGTCATTGCCCCTTTTCCTCTTTGAGTTAGGCAATTCAGTTTCCTCTTTGAGTTAGGTTTGGTAAAAAGTTTTGTCTCCTGTGTAAATAATTTAGCTGTATGCTAACTGGAGGAGCTACCAAGTGTACCAGTGGTGGCCACTTACTGCATTCAGTGAGGGCCTCCTCTTTCCACTCCCTTCGTGACTAAGAGTGAGGGAATCAGAGGTGACTCACATTAGGCCTTTACTGTATATCTCAGTATACTTAAGAATGTTGACCTTAACCTCGGCAAGGGCGGAGAGACGCATGGTCCACAGCAGCGCATCTCCAGAGCCTGGACCGAGCTGAGAGCATGCAGAGCCTCCATAACTGGTCAGAGGAACTGAACTCCCGGCCCCAAAAAACCCTATACACAGCAAAGGAGAGGCATAGATGGGAGGTAACCTCTTCTTAGAAACAGCAAAATGATGTGCAAAAGAGACAGAGACATCCTACAAAACTCTATTTACTTTTCTCATATTTGAGGGGAAAAAAACCATTCAGAAACCCTTCCCTGAAAATTAAGGCCTGGACCCAAGTGGAGATGGAAACCTTTGATTCCAACTGACCCTACTGCTGTGTTCACAAGGACAGGACCACGTGATTACTCCGGGATCCCTGAACACACAGGTGGGGAAGTTGGAGAATTTGGGGGAAAGGAGGTGGAAGGTTGTGAGGAGAATGGGATGGACTTCTTTGGAGGCTATTAACTCTGTGTCATTGGCAGCAGATGGGCTCAGTGCACACTGAGAAGTGGCTGGGGGATGGTGCTTGCACCCGAAACTGTGGAGAACCAGTCAAGTTATACTTACTGGTTTATTTCTTTAGATATTATTTGGCCTCTTGGTTAGATTGCCAAGGGGGAAAGGTCGTGTACTGTAAGGGAAATCAGGGAAATGTCTGTCAGCTCACACAGGTTTCTCCTGAAGTTTTTCCTAAGGGCTGGACAAACACCCGGGTCCAAAATTTCTGGACTTCTTGGGAAGCGGTGCATTCTTAGAGTTTCTGTCTTTGTTTGTTTGGATAATAAGCATTTAATCACAAGACACTACTCTAAATGCTTTCAAATATTAATTGACCTTCAGAACCTACTAGTATCACCTGCATTTTACTGATGAGGAAATCAAAGCCTAGAGACAGAAGCCGACTTCACAAGAACACAGCACTAGTAAGTGGAGAGCCGGGATTCAAACCTGAGTCCACACTTGTAGCCGCCATGCTGTGCTGCCGTTCTCAGCACTGGATCGTAGATGTCCCTGCCCACAAGGTGAAACTTCTACCCACTTTGTTCACCTCCACCAAGAAAAAATTTTTGCTCTTTTGTGCCCACTGGCAGAGAGATTGTCCATTTGAATTTATTTCCACAGAGATCAGTCAGAATAGGCTAGGTTATTCTACAGGTACGACCCCAAACTCCAGTGACTTACAACTCACTAGCTAGCCAACAAGCTAACCTAAGTAAGCAATAAGACGGAAAAGTCGCTACCTGGGGCATTGCTGGTCTTGGGCAGGATGTGGCGGAAGCAGTCAGTCCCCCACCTCTGTTCCCTCAGCCCTCACTGTTCCCTTCCACGCGGACAGCCTTCTGTTGCAGGGGCTCACAACCTTCCGCCTGCAGAGAGTCGTCAGCCAGAAGCATGTCCATCCATGGCATGAGGCAGGCCAGGACTTCATGCAGGGAGTTAACACCCTGGAAGCCACCCTAAGCCAATGGCGGGTAGGAGGTGGTGGTCCAGTCCCCAGGCTCCTTGCCCCTTCAGGCCAGCTGCATACAGCTTCCCCATGGGGCTGAGTTTCCATTGCCCATCATGGAAACTTGCTCACTAACATGCCCTGTAGCTGCTTCTTCTGTGTCCACAGTGGACTGTGAAGTCCCACAGTCCCATGACGTGAACCTCTCTCCTATGCCAGACTTCCCTGCCTGGTTGGTAGGGCTGAGGGATGTTGCTGAGGCACAGTCGTTCCCATGTAGATCATCCTGGACGTTCCAGCTGCTTGTGCTGCACACATGCGGCTATGATTATGACGCAGAGGGGGACATCCCCAACACGACTGGCCTCGGAGCATGTTCTCCCTGAACCCATAAACCTATGAGTTTTGATCTGGACGTTTTGTTCTGCGATGTTGCAGATCATTTCCCAGAAACTGGGAGACTTTTTTACATAACTCAAACTTCACTTCTGTGCTGGGGAGAGCTTAGTGATAAATAAATAGCACATGCCACAGTTCTTCTCATACTCTACCTTTATCTGGCCTAGACCCAGTGGCTGTGGGGTGGCCACATTTCCCCAGGTGGAGGAGACAAGTTTTCCTAGCATTTGCTGTGGGCAGAGCTGGCAGTCAACTCACCATCTCTGTCCAGGACCGGGGGGTTTCTCGTATAAGCAGCACCAAGGTTTGGGCTTTTTCTCTCTTGGAAAAAGTCATGATTAAAAACCTATTAACTCCAGGAATGATTGTAGATTTTTTTTTTCCCACAGCCCTTGGCCTGAGGAATGATCCAATTGTAGCTTCCCTGACCTGACCTCAAGAAAGATGCAATCCTCCTGTATGACATCAAAGCTTCGTTTGCTCCCACAGCTCTCACCCGCGACTTCCCTAACTCCCAAGGCTTCCCCTAAGCTGTGGAGGACTTCAGCAGTGAGTCATCAGTGATCTGAACTCTCTGATCTCTTGCTATGTTTGGGGCCCTCCCTCTGTCTCTGAAGACTTTTAGTGACAACCCAGAAATTAAGAACTTTCCCCTATGCTTTTATGTTTTCTAATATCACATAGCAAAGAGCTACACAGCAGCATTTGAGTCCAAATGCTACTTAATCTGAATGATCACTTGCCAATCTCTAAGTGTTATTTGGAGCATCACATAGAGCAATAACAACAAGTGCTCATTCTTTTCCACTAAGAGGGTCCCTTGCATAAGGACCCCTTTTCCTCAGTATTCATTATGAAGGGTGTTCAAAAAAGTGTTTTCAGAAGTCTGTAAATGTTCTACAAAAATTTTTATTTGTGCATTTTTTTTTTATTTTTTTAGAGAGGTCTTGCTATATTGTCCAGGATGGTCTTGAACTCCTGACCTCAAGCAATCCTTCTGCCTCTGCCTCCCAAAGTGCTGGGATTACAGGCACTAACCACCATGCCTAGCCTGAATATTTTTTTTTAATTTGAAGATTTTACTTTTATAACTTTGGCATACTGAAAAAAATAATATGGTTGTAAAGTTTTGTTCTTTCTCCCATTGAGAGACAGAGTCTATTTCTCCCTGGAAGCTAAACTTGGTCACACCACTTGTTTTGGCCAATAAGTCACTAGCAAATATGGCATGAGCAGTAGCTTGAGAAAGGTTGTCCCCTTAGGGTTTGTCTTCTCTTGCTGACTTTGGAACCCAGCAGCCATGGGAAGAAGGTAGGGCTGGTCAGCTAGAAGCTGGACTTATGCCATCCCAGCCAACTGCCAAACACATGAGTGAGGCCATCTAGGATCCAGTGACCACAGCCACCTAAGAGGGCTATGGCAAGTCTAGTAGAAGAACTGCCCAACTGTGCTCAGCTTGAATTGCCAATCCACAGAATTACGAGCTAATGAATAAGCGTTGCTTTAAATCACTAAGTTTTTTGGGGTAGTTTCCTACTTAGTGAAACCTGAGATGATGATAACATAACGAAATGAGCATAAGCATCTCCTGGAGCATGTGTATAACCACCTTATGCTGACGCTGTCACACGCTTCCTATGTGCATGTTTGAGATTGTGTCTATGATCTTATTAATTGCATTCACTTTGCTTATAAACTAATGAGATAAGAGCAGTGCATGTAACACATTTGTTCCAAGTGAGGTAAATGAAGTCCCAGCCCTTTATACAAACGGGGTAAGAGGTGAAATGGGGAAACTGGGAGAATTGGTGAAGAAGTCAGTCATAATGAGGCACACAATTTTTCCACAAATCATAATTTTGTCCATGTGGTTTTATAAAGGAACTTGAGCCATTAAGTATAAGGAATTTGTACCTATGCTTTTTTTTTACATGTTCATGTGCTTAAATAACATGATAATAAATGCATATTTAAATAACATTAAAATGGAAGTAATTTAATACATTTTGGGAGTCAGCAAGCATTTTTCCTTTGAGAACAGTTCATGCACGAGTCAAGACTGAAGAACACTGCTATATTGTGTAAGATTAACTCAGGAAGAGACAGCGGCCAAGAGGCTCCCAGGAAAGGGAATAGGACCCGGGCTCGGGCAGCTGGGTTTCATGTTTATGTTGGGTCTTTCTCGGTTTTCTCAGTGGCTTGTAAAGTTTGAGATGCAAAATCTGTTACATATACCCTTCATTATCATCTACTGAGGAACACATCTATTATAACTTTTAATATGACCAGTTATCTAATCTCTATTAGATTAAATAGTCCCCACAAATCCAGCATCTCCTCCCTTCGCCTCACGGCTTAAAACTGGATTTCCTCATGTATATGCCTTGGCCCGCAAGTTCCCACCTTCAAAGCTTCCATGACACACCAGTCCCTCAGCCATCCATGGAGGCTTCCCCACTGACTTGGCCCAGTTCACCCGGCCTCCAGCAGGCTTCCTTCCTTCCTCCCATAGTCAGCCTCTTGTCCTAGTCTCAGAAGCAGTAGGGTGTTCTCCAGTTGCGAAGGTTCTGCCTCTTCTTGAGGATGTGGTGTCCCCTCTGACAATCCTAGGTACGTTTTGAGATCACCCCCTGATCCCATGCCCTTCTCTCTGATTAGGGGCTGCCTGTGGTTCATGTCTTCCTGACAGCTCACTTAGTTGGGCCCTCCCCGGAGAGCACAGGCCTCCTCTCCTTCCTTGGGCCCCTTCTAGTTTTCCATCTTCCATTGCTCACAACCCTGGACATGGGGCCCTGTTGCTTGTGTGCCAATTTTACATCTCATTTTGGGCTAATACATTATTTTTTTAACACATGCTTTAGATTTTTTTGAGTGAGGGCCCCAAAGTCATGGATACGAAACCAGTGAGATCTGGGTCTCCCAATATTAATCACTGTTTAAACAAAGTCGAGCCCACCTTCCCTCCCAGAGTAGTAACATCTAATGTCCAAATTGGACCTAGACTTGACCTCTCCTGCTTCCAATGGGCACTGGAAGCATCTTACCTCCTCCGGGCCCTACTTAGTAACCAACTCATCAGAGACAGAGGGAACATAGGTTTATTGCATAAATCAAGACACTTTCGGGTATGAAAGGGAATATAAAAAATTGTGCTGTAACAACAAGTACAAATGAAGACATAAAGTCAAATAGGTTATTTGTCAGCATCTTAGTCAGCAAGGACTCTAGAAGATGCGTCAGTTATTTTTGTAATCGAGGTGAAATTTATGTACAGCAAAATGCACATAACTTTAGTGTATACTTCATTGACCTTTGACAGACATATATACCTGCGGAGCCAATACCCCATCAAGACAAACCATCTCCATCCTCCAGAGGGTCCCTTTATGTCCCTTCCATTTAATCTCTCCCCGTGGCAACCACAGTTCTGAATTCTATCAGCCTCTTCTTGAGATATGCTAAGGCTTTCTAGATCTTCTATTTTCACTGACTTTTAATTCAATTCTGTTGTGACCATAAAACAGGCTCTATAACATTTCACTCAAAATTTTTATTTTGACTTAGTTCATGGCCCAGCATAGGGACCTTCTTGGAAAAAAAAAACCCACATGCATTCAAAAGCAATGTGTTCTGCAGTGAATAGATGGAGTTTTCTATAAATGCCAACTGATTCAAGTGGTTTGAAAGTGTTGTTCAAAGAATCTATATCTTTTCTGATACGATGTCTATTTTTTCCAAACTGTCACACTTTGCTCATACGAAGAGCAGCTGTTTTGAAGTTTTGGGTTCCCGAGTGAGTCAACCAACAACCTTTCCATTCCCTGTCCTTATGTTTATTTACCTTAGGCTGTAGAATTATGCCAGATGTTAGTCATGTCTCTGTCTGGAATGTATACAGAGAGACATACAGCACTCAGAACTCCTAAATTCTAGACCACCTGTTTACACAGGCAGTCCTGTAAAATGAGCGGTGATGCCCAAATCCCGCTGTTTACTCCTTCTCCCCACTGTGGCCCTTCCAAGGGAATGATTCACATGAGGATCCACAGCCAATGGGAACAGCACGGGGTCAGGAGAGCTAGAGATAGCAATCTTCCCCAGCCCCATGAGATGCCAGGATGCCCCCATCGACACCAAGTTAGAGGATGTGGCTTAGGAAAGGTGCTCCCACCTCACACTCATTGTCTGTAGAGGAGACTTGAAGTCCACCTGGCCAGCTGGGAGGCAGAACTGAGCAAGGGACCCTGATCTAAGCCGCTGATGTTCTTGACTCCCAAGGCAGGAAGGCAGAGGAGGAGTGAGGCGAGGGGAGCCTGCCCACCTCTACTGACCCATATTGTCTGACTCAATGTGGGCTTCTGTAACAAATACCATAGGCTGGGTGGCTTAAACAACAGAAATTTGCTTCTCATAGTTCTGGAAGCTGGGTCAAGGTGCCAACAGTCAGTTCCTGGTGAGGGCCCTATTCCTGGCATGCAGATAGATGCCCTCTTTCTGTATGCTCACAGAGCAGAGAGAGAGAGGAAGCATGCTCTCTCTTCCCATATGAGCACTAATCCCGTCATGAAAATTTCACCCTCATGACCTAATTAACCCCCAAAGACCCCACGTCCAAACACAATCATATTGAAGATGAAGTGTTCAACGTGGAAATCTGCGGGGACACAAACATGCTACCCGTAATACCTCATCATATGACAAATGTGTTCAAAGACAGTTGGGATCTGACCCAGTAGGTGATCCCTCTCCAGTTAAAGAGGAGCTAGCGAGGGAACAGAGAGGGAGAATACTTCCTTTCTCCCACTCCCAGCCCTTGACATTTCCAATGAGGAGACAGAGCCAGAACTTACTGCCTCCATGGATGAAGAGAGAAATGTGGGGAAAGGAAGAGAGAGGTTAACCTTTCCTGGTGGCCCCTATACTCCTCTGATTCTGGTCTCTTGCCACCCACTGGGCTCAACAACAGCTTGTCAGAAGGCTACTACTGAACTTCCTTACAGGTGAGTCCACATCACTGTATCAGACCAGACCTGCTCCCACCTGAGGGGTAACTGTTTCACTGTCCTCAGAACCTTTTGAAATAAGTCAAAACAAGGTATTAATTAAGTCTATGTCCAAATCATACCCCAAGTCAAAAGTTTATTCATTTTCTCTTTCTTTGCCATGTCCTTCAGCATACATTGGGCTAGGCAGTATACTGGATGCACTGTACCCTGCTTCACACCCTCTCAGCCCACCTCTTAGTCACCCTCTGTGGCATCTCTCTCCCTCCACAGATACATCACATTTATTTGTTTTTTTTTTTTTTTTTTTTTTTTTTTTTTTTGCCACAGGGCTAAGGTGTGGGTGCCTGGCATTCAGCTTTGCTTCAACCTGGAAGTGCAGATGAGTTAACATCCCCAGGAGGAAATCTTGACCCATAGGGAATGAGAGCTGATGCATAATACCGCTATCCATCTATTCAGCAGACAATCCTGAGGCCCATTCTAATGGCTTCTCAGAAGAATCTAGTTAGATCAAATTCTAATTACCCATAATGGTGAGCAACTTAGTAATCTCACCTGTATTGGTTTTCCCTCTTTCTCTGGTTCACTCTACTCTGTTATCTATTATTGCTACCTGGGATCACATCTCTGATCTAACTATTTGCATACAAGCCTTGTCTTAGCTCTGTTTTCTGAGAGGGACTCAGGTTAAGATGTATAGTGATGTCAAATAATCATAATACAATAAAGAGTGTTTCAAATTTGAGTAATATGAACCTTCTCTTACTATTCTCTTCTGGGAAACAAAATCCAAATAAAATATTCTTCACTTTATAAATTAAAAAGCAAAGAAATGTCTGAAATTCTCTTTTCCCTGTTGTTGCATAGAAGACTCACTTAGGGAAGAGTGTGAATTTCTTCTTTAGCAAGTTTATTCTAAACCATCATCCAGTAGGATGGATATGATTTTGTTAACAACGCCAGAGTTGAATTAATCCAACATTCTGCTGTAGTTACTTCATATTTCCTTTAGGTAGAAAAATACAATATAACAGATATAGCCAGAGGATACTCATTCTTTCCTCTGCATTCCCTCCCTCTCCACAAGTAACCCATTTCTGAAGTTGTTGTGAATTCTACCCATAAGTAAATAGTTTATATGTAAACGATAAGAAGAATATCAGTGAAAGGTTTTTGCAGGAAACAGGATGATGAGACATTATTATGTGTTTGCTTTTCCTAGGTTTCAAAGAGTCCAAAATAACAAATATGAAAACAATACTATAAATGTTCACTATTTCATTACTACAAATATTAAAATTCAGTATGAACACTGAATATTTCAAAATGTGAAACCATGGGACAAATACTAAACCCTCATGATTTATAACTAAATTTGTACTGTGCAGCAACACCATTTCTCCCAAGAAATGATAGTCCTTTATTGTTTTGCCAGATATGAATACTAGCAGAGACCTATGATTATTAGAAGAAACAGGATAGAAGTGAAATGAAAGAATAAAAAGAATCTTGATTTGAGCCTCCCTTGGAGGTCAGTTGTTCACAATCAAACTCAGAGGGAAGAAATATACCATCAAGAGGTTGGTTTTGGATACTATGCCCCCTAGATCCTTCCAGAACAAAAAATTATGCCCTCTCTTTCAGATAGTGCCATGTGGAACAGAATTTGAGGCTACTTTCTACCAACTTTTTGACGTAGCCAAAATCCCATAGATTAGCATTCTGTAGCTCTTTCAGAACTGAGGTTTGTTTTTGTTTTTGTTATTTAACACTGACTCTGTGTTTTGGTAAAGAAATATTACAAATCAACCAACCAACCAAGATAAAACATGTCAGCAAGAACTATGTCAATCCAACAATGCCATATGAACTGTACATAAACTCTAAATTTTGTGAAATGAATCTTAACTAGAATGAAAAGTCTGTCTCCCTAAGACTCTCATACCAAGCTTGGCCAAGAAGATATACCTGTGATATACATTTACATACTTAATGGTAGACCACTAAAGCATATGAAGCAAAAACTGACAGAATTGAAGGAAGAAATAGACAGTTCTACAGTAATAGTTGGAAACTTCAAAAGCACACTCTCAATAATGGATAGAATGACAAAAAAGATAAAGAAGGAAATAGAAGACTTGAATAACACAGTCAACTAGCTGTAACAGATATACACAGAATCATCTATTCAACAGCAACAGCATACACATTCTTCCCAAGTGCACACGGAACATTTTCTGGGATATGCCATATGTTAGGCCACAGATTAAGTATAAATAAATTTAAAAATTGGACAGTTTGATCCACTTACATTTAAAGTAATTACTGTTAAGTGAGGACTTCTGTCACTTTGAGATTTATTTGAGATATCATGCAAAATATATTCTCCGATGGCAAAAGGATGAAGTTAGAAATCAGTAACAGAAGTAAATTGGAAAATTCACAAATTTGTGAAAATTAAACACCACACTCTTAAACAACAAATAGATAAAAAAGAAATCACCAAAGAAATCACAAAAGAAATCACCAAAGGATATATTTAAGCTAATAAATATATCCATCACCTCTCATACTTATTTCTTTGTGGTGACATTTAAAATCCACTATTTTCAAAATTTTGAAATATATGATACATTATTATTAAAGTATGGCTACCATCCTGTGCAGTAGATCACCAGAATGTATTTCTCCTGTCTATTATCATTTGTTAATTAAAAATAAACTTTTAAAGAAGAAAATACTTAGAGACAAATAGAAACAAAAATACAACATAACAAAACTTATGCAATGTAGTGAAACTAGTGCTAAGATAAATTTGTAGAATACCACCCTGCTCTCTTTTGATTACTGTTAACATACAATGTCTTTTTCCATCCTCCACTTTCAAACAATTTGTGTCTGCGGATCTGAAGTGAGTCTCTTGTAGATCATGTATAGTTGAATCATGTTTTTTTCCCCTAATTTTGCCAATCTGTCTTTTGATTGGACAGTTTAATCCATTTACGTTTAAAGTAATTACTGTTAAGTGGGGACTTCTGTCATTTTGAGATTTATTTTCTATATGCCTTTTTTTCCATCATTTACTATATTATAATCTTAAAACTACAAAGCTTTAATTTAAAAAATGAAAGAAGACATAAGTATATCCATGGGATATACTTAAGTATATTCATGGATTAAAAGACTTAATGTTCTTAAGATGTCAATAATGTTGTTAAGATGTCCATACTACCCGAAGTGATCTACACAGTCAATGTATTCCCTATCAAAATCTCAATGACGTTTCTGAGGAAGTAGAAAAAACCATCCTAAAAGTTGTATGAAATCTCAGGGACCTTTAATAGCCAAAGCAATCTTGAAAAAGCAGAAGAAAGCTGGAAGACTCACAGTTCCTGGTTTCAAAACTTGCTACAAAGCTATAATACTCAAAACAGTGTGGTACTGGCATAAAAACCAATGGAATTGAATAGACAGCCCTGAAATAAACCCTGTATGTATGGTCAAATGATTTTTGACAAGGGTACCAAGATGATTCAATGGGGAAAGGACAGTCTTTTCAACAAATGTTGCTGTGAAACTGGGTATCCACATGAAAAAGAATAAAGTTAGACCCTCACCTAACACCATATACAAAAATTAGCTCAGAATGGATCAAAGACCTAAATGTAAGACCAAAACTACAAAAATCTTAGAATAAAACATCAGGAAATCTTTATAATATTGAATTCTGTAATGATTTCTTGGATATGACACCAAAGGCACAGGCAGCAAAAGTAAAAGAAACAAATTGAACTTCATGAAAGTTAGAAGTTTGTGCATCAAAAGACAATATCAACAGAGTAAAAACGCAACCAACAGAGTGGAAGAAAATAATTGCAAATATATCTGATAAGGGATTATTACCCAGAATATATAGAGAACTCGTAAAACTCACCAATAAAGAAACAAATAGATTTTAAAATGAGCAAAGGGCTTAAGTAGACATATCAGCAGTAAGCACATAGAAAGATGTTCAATATCACAAATTATAAGGGAAATGGAAATCAAAACTACAATAGGTTACCACCTCACACCCATTAGGATGGCTACCATTAAAACAACAACAACAACAACAAAAAATAACAAGTGTCAACAAGGATGTGGAGAAACTGGAACCCTTGTGCATTGTTGATGGGAATGTGAAATGATACAGCTGCTGTGGAAAAGAGTGAGACAGTTCCTTAAAAATTAAAAATATAATTACCATATGGTTTAGCAATTCCACTTCTGGGGATACACCCAAAAGAATTGAAAGCAGGGTATTTAAGAGGTATTTGTACACCCATGTTCATAGCAGCATTATTCACAATAACTGAAACATGGAAGCAACCCAAGTGTCCAATTATGGATGAATGAATAAGCAAAATGTAGTATATGCATATGATGGATTATTATTTAGCCTTAAAGAGGAGGGGGATTATGACACATGCTACAAAATGGATGAACAACATGTCCACGGTGGACTTTCTGCTAAGTTAACTAAGCCAATCACATAACGACAAATACTGTATAACTCCACTTATACGAGATACTTAGTCAAAATTAGACACAGAAAGTAGAATGGCTGTTTTCAGGGCTTGAGGGGATAAGAGAATGGAGAGTTGTTGTTTAATGGGAATAGAGCTTTAGTTTTACAAGATGAAAAGAGTTATGATGATGGAAGGTGGTGATGATTGCACAGTGTTATTAATATATTTAATACCACTGAATTGTGAACTTAAAAATTTTTAAGATGCTAAATCTTATGTGTATTTTACCACAAAAACATGAAAAAGTAGACACGCTAAGGAAAAAGAAAAAAAATAGTATAGTTATTTTGGAAAACAGCTTGGCAACTCTTAAAGTTAAAACACACTTACTAGATGACCCAGTAGTGAATAGCTATTCATCAAAGTTATATTCATAATTGCCCCAAACTGGAATCAAAGTGTCCCTCAACTGGTAAATAAATTGTGATACATCCATATGACTGAATACTGGGTAACAATCAAAGGAATGAATTCTTGATACAAGCAGAAGAATCTCAAAGGCATTATGCTAAGTGCAAGAAGCCAGAATTGAAAGGCTACAAATCTGATTCCATTTATATGATATTCAGGAAAAGGCAAAACCATAAGGACAAAACAGATCAGCAGTTGCTAGCCCTGGGGATGGGGAGAGGGGATTGAGCAGAAATGGGCTTGAGAGGAATTGAAATATTTCTATGGAGGAATATTTCTATGGCAATAGAAATACTCCATATCTTGACCATTGGTGGTGGTTAGTCAACTGTACACATTTGTCAAAACACATAGATTTACTGTTTAAGTGGTAAAATGTACAAAAAAAGAGTAGTGATGAAAACAGTAACATAAATACGGCAGTTCAGAAGAAAGTCGTAAACGTAAACTGTGGGCAGAACTTCATTGCTGGCTGCAAAATATGAAGCTATATATGGGCTGAAGATAATTTAAATTGTGATAATGCTCTACAAGTGTAAACAGGAATAAAAATGCTCAGTATGATTTTTATTAGACTTTCCAGAAAGTGGCCTATTGTAAAATATTTTCAACTACTGGCGTGAAGCCATTCAAGTTTGAGGTTGTTTTCCAACAAAGCACAGTGACTTTTCTTAAAAATTAATGACTTTTGAGGTTCTAGGAAACAAATAGTAAACAATTATTTGGGGTGTAAAATACATTTTGAAGTTAAAGACAGAGAAGAAAGTAAAAGCAGGGGGGTATTATCCAAAGCTGCAGTCTTGTAGCAACACAGACGCTGTTTTCTCAATTCCTGAGATTCTTGCACAATCAGTCACAAAGTCAAGGCATTTCGCTTAGAGAGAAATCTGAGATTTCTGTTAGCAAAATTCTTTGATCAAATGACACCATCTGGTGTTGCATGATATCAGTGGCGGATACCAGTTAGAGTTCTGTTTTACAACTCGACAAAGCCTGTGATACGCGGAGGATCAGTTTGCTCCTGGTTGCTGTGTAGGAGGGAGAAGTCCAGGAAGACTGCTGGTTCTGTTCCCACTGAAAGCCAGAGGCTGTGCAAGTCTTGATGTGGCCTGAAAATCGTGCATGGCCACGGTACTGAGAGTAGAGTCGATATTGGTCTGCAGCAAGGGAGGTACGGATTTATTAATACAGGAGGGGAACCCTGGATGGCCAACCCACACGCTCCTGAGTTCATTCAGCCTCTGGCTCCTAATTCAGTGTTGGATAAACATGGGTGAAAATGGAAAAAAAATCAAAGTCCAGCTACTGAATGTAATATCAGCACAACCGTCTGAAGAAATAAGCAGAGAATGTCAGAATCTGCTTTCTTGTGCTAAATTACAATGATCTTTCAAGAAGAAAATTGTCAACAGGAATTTTTGAAATGAGAGATATTTAAAACCCCATTTGCATTACCCTAGTTGTGCCCGCTCAAATCATTCTAGGATTTCAAGCGGCTTGATCAGATAAAATGGTGTATTTAAACAATATCTAATGTCTTGGATATCCAGAATCTAAAACTGTGGGTAGGGCCTTTTTTTTTTTTGAGATGGAGTTTCACTCTTGTTGCCCAGGCTGGAGTGCAATGGCATGATCTCGGCTCACTGCAACCTCTGCCTCCTGGGTTCAAGCGATTCTCCTGCCTCAGTCTCCTGAGTAGCTGGGATTACAGGTGCACGCCACCATGCCTGGCTGCTTTTTTATATTTTTAGTTGAAACAGAGTTTCACCATGCTAGCCAGGCTGGTCTCCATCCCCTGACCTTCTCCGTTCACCTTAGCCTCCCAAAGTGCCGGGATTACAGGTGTGAGCCACCATGCCCGGCCAGGGTAGGGCTATTTTTAAAATAAGATACCAAGGTTTGTTAAGGAAAGCCACCTGTGGGCAGATGGTTGGAATGCTGATAGTTTGACTCTTCTTTGCTTGGGTGCTTTACTGGTCAGAGAGCAAAATTAATGAATAATCATTAAACACTCAAAACGACATCCAAATGCTGCAACCAAAATGAAGAAATACTCCCCAGAAACGAATGTATCTGTTGAGTGGATGTGAAATTATTGCAAAAGTAATACATGTTCTTTGGAAGTGTTTTAAGCAGAATATAAAATATAAATTAAATCCCTTCCCCAACCCCCCACCACTCTCCTGAGATAACCATTCTTAATAGTTTCAAATGTTCCATTCATGCTTTTCTTCCGTGCATATGCAGATACTCACATACACAAACTCTCACACACAGGCATGAAAACCAGATGTCAGATGAGGAAATTTTTCCTTTGGGATTCAAATAAAATTGGCTGGGGCCTCTTTCCACATGTATTGGGAAGTCCATGTTCCTCCCAGCCAGTCTGGGAGTTGGTGAGAAAGGGGGATGGACACCATGTTTCCTTCTGCTTCTAGGCTTCATTTTCACCTAATTAGTTCAGGGAATGACTGCTTTGTTATCCCAAATATTTTAATATTTCTCTTAATCCTCAGGTGCAAAAGTTTGATTTAATTACTCTTTAGTTTATGGGCCACCATTATAAGTGGTCTATGCTGGGTCCTCAGTCTTTCTGTCTGTCTGTCTATCTATCTATCTATCTATCTATCTATCTATCTATCTATCTATCCATCCACTTATTTAATCTGTCTACCTGTCTACCCATTTTTTTCCTGTCTACCCATTTGTACATCCACCCATCTATCCCTTTTGCTTCACTAAAAAATTTATCTTATTCTCCTGCCGTTTGTTAATTCTGTTTTCCCTAATCTGCATCCTCTAGTTTATGTGTGTTATTCTACAATGTGTAATTGTGCATTGCAAGTGCATTTTTAATTTACACAAATGTTATTGTGTCAAATATCTCACAGCTCTTTCCCCTTGGTTTCCACTCACCCTTGTCACTGAAACAGCACCCAGATTAGCAGATGTGCTAATTATCAGACAACTGAGGAATTGCATATCCTGTTGCTTAGCCCTCTCTCTTCTTCAAAGACTTTAACATCTACTATTTTGAGGTCCCCCCCGGGTTCTCTACAAAAGTTCTGTACCCTCTCCTGCACTTGGACTCACATGTACTGCATGGTTGATAGTGTATATTTAAAGTCTCATTCATGCTGTGCTAAACAATGGCCTATACAGGCCCCTTTTTGACATTGGTGAGAAGTAGTGATGGGTGTCTGGAAGGTTTCCTATCCACTTACTCTCTGTAAGTGGATCCCAATCTCTGTAAGTGGAAGGGGCACTGTCCGAATAACCAAGGCAATCCTAAGCAAAAAGAACAAATCTGGAAGCATCATGTTACCTGACTTCAAACTATACTACAGGGCTACAGTAAATAAAACAGCATGGCACTGGGACAAAAACAGACACATAGATCAATGGAACAGAGTAGAGAGTCCAGAAATAAGGCCACACACCTATGACTAACTGATCTTTGACAAAGCTGACAAAAACAATGAGTAAAGGACTCCCTATTCAATAAATGGTGCTGGAATAGCTGGCCATATGCAGAAGATTGAAGCTGGACCCCTTCCTTATACCATATACAAAAATCAACTCAAGGGGATTAAAGACTTAAACGTAAAATCCAAAACTATAAAAACCCTCAAAGACAAACAAGGTAATAACATTCTGGATTTAGGAACAGGCAAAGATTTCATGATGAAAAACCATCAAAAGCAATTGCAACAAAAGCAAAAATGGACAAATGGGATCTAATTAAACTTAAGAGCTTCTACACAGCAAAAGAAACTATTAACAGAGTAAAAAGAAAATCTAATGAATGAGAGAAAATATATGTAAGCAACACATCTGACAAAGGTCTAATATCCAGCACCTATAAGGAACTTAAACAAATTTACAAGAAAACAGACAACCCTATAAAAAAGTAAGCAAAGGACATGAACAGACACTTTCAAAAGAAGACATACATGCGGCCAATAAGTATATGAAAAAAAGCTCAATATCACTGATCATTAGAGAAATACAAATCAAAACCACAATAAGATACCATCTCACATCACTCAGAATGGCTATTATTAAAAGTCAAAAAAATAACAGATGCTTGTGAGGTTGCAGAGAAAAAATAACACTTATACACTGTTAGTGGGAGTGTAAATTAGTTCAACCATTGTGAAAGGCAGTGCAATGATTCCTCAAAGAGTTAAAACAGAAACCCCATTCGACCCAGCAATCCCATTACTAAGTATACACCCAGAGGAATATAAATCATTTTACCATAAAAATACATGCATGTGGATATTCATTGCAGCACTATTCACAATAGCAAATACATGGAATCAACTGAAATGCCCATCAATGACAGACTGGATAAAGAAAATTTGGTACGTATACACCATGGAATACTATGCAGCCATGAAAAAGAATGAAATCGTGTCTTTTGCGGGTACGTGGATGGATAAAGAGGCCATTATCCTTAGCAAACTAACACAGGAAGAGAAAACTAAATATTGGATGTTCTCACTTATAAGTGGGAGCTAAATGATGAGAACTCATGGACACAAAGAGGAGAACAACAGACACTGGGGCCTACTGGAGGGCGGAGGGTGGGAGGAAGAAGAGGAGCAGAAAATATAACTACTGGGTACTAGGCTTAGTACCTGGGTGATGAAATAATCTGTACAACAAACCCATGTGATGTGAGTTTACCTACATAACAAACCTGCACATGCACTCCTAAACCTAAAATAAAAGTGTTTTAAAAAAAAGAAATTTATCTCCCTACAGATTTGGATGTTGTTGCTGTTACTAAAAGGAATGAATGGCTATAGACAAGTTTTCACATTAAATAACAATGTCTCTCTCTGTTCCAACTACATATAGACATATTCATTTTCTCACAAAAATGAAATCATATAGTTTATGTGCATTCTGTTTCTGAATATATTTAGAATTACAAAACCCTCAAACCCAGTAGGGAGTACTGATGGGAAGTAGAGAGCACTTAAGTGCTGAAAGTATCCTCTCATATGGAAATAATATCAATTACCAATAGCGCATCCTTAGATGAAATGAAGAAGTAATCAGCAGACACCTGTGCAAAGATATTTATGACATCATTACAGTGGATATTTGTTACTGAGGCTATTCAACATCTAAACACCACATATTTTGGGGGAAATCTTAAGATAGTGGCAGGCAGGACTCCACCTTGCACCCAGACAGCAAATGAATGCAGCGAATCAGGTGGCTTCACTTGGAACTTTGCATTGTGAGCCGTTCTGGCCGCAACAACAAAAGGTCGCTGCAGCAAGGCCAAGCCAAACATGGTGGTGCCCACTGCCCCCAGCCCCATGCAAGTACATATCCCCTATTGAGATGCTGGCAGTGGTAAACCTCTCCTGGTTTCTGCCTGAGTCTGGTTCTGCAGATCTTTATAGGATATCAGAGCTGCCTGATAGCCTTTCATTTTGCCAGAGTGGGTTTCTAATGTAACTCCTCCAAGCACAAACTTTGGAAAATTGGATTAAAAGAGCAAAAGGCATCTGATTAGCCAGGAGATAAAATGATGAGAAGAGAACAAAAACAGGAGTTAAAAGTCTCTAAAAGCGAGATTCTGGTTCCCAGACCATGAGCAATCACTTGGTGAACGTCAGGACTTAACATAAGGAGGTAAAGATGAGACGGTAATCAGAAAGTGGCAACAGCAGGACACATCCAAGTCAGAAGAAAGAGGCCTTCTGAGAGCGTAAGAGCAGATGGTGTGAAGAGTGTGTGCCTCCAAGGAGGTCAGAGCTCAGGAGAGAGCTTGGGCTGTGGGCAGAGAAAGGAAAGAGTCCTTAACTGCCATGTAGACATCCCCATGGCACAAGATAGAGGGTGTGGATAATTCAACTCTCACATCAACCTCCGAACATCCAGATCGAGAGATAAATGTCCAGAGAGAGGCTGTAAGGGAGTGGAAACAGTACCCACCAGACATTTGCTGGAGCCTTGGAGATTATGTCAGGGAACCACAGCTCTGCTTGAATTCTGACCAAAAAGTCCATTAAACAGGTTTACAAAACTTAGAGAAAGAACAAAATGAAAAATTATTGACCCATATACTCAACTTAACCTTTTTGTTTTCTTTTACCTTATTTTTTGTTAGGATGTAATTCTAGGAGCCATGTCTTTTTGCAGAGTTTATGTATCTGTAGATGGCTTCACAATGAAAATATTTCTTACAATTATCAGAAATATTTAGGTAGCTCTTGACTATTTTTGTGCCATTTAGAAAAGAAAAGGAATCACTGGACTCTCTGATACTGTCAAGAGGTCAGGTATTAGATAACTGGTAGAGATGAGTGAGCTCTCAAAGGAAACTAAGCAAGATCAGCCACCAGGACTAGAGGAAAATGAGGGCGTGTTGTGGAAGTCCTGAGAAAAGTGTACTCAGAAGAATGGGAGCCACCATCTGGAATGGTGCTGAAAGGTCGGCCACCAGGAGGCTTAGCACAGGGCTGCTGAATTTAGTGGCTGGGAGTCATTGGTGTTTCGGGTCTGCAGCCACTTGGATAGAATGGTGCAGATGGATACAGGTTCTAGGATGTTAAGGAGTGAATGGAAGGACGTCTGGAAGCAAGGTAGCTCAGCCTGATGTGTTCTCCTCCACTATTGCACACAAGGATTTTGGATCAGGAGAAGAAAATGCTCATAATAAATGCACAGCCATGCTTAAAAGCAAGAAGGGGCAGTGTCCGATGCCCCAAATGTAAAGAGGGCTCAAAGCTAAGATGACACTCTACAGCCAATGCTGGGGCAGTGTGACTAAGTGGCTTGAGCACTGTGCTTGAGTTTTCATGCCCATACAGGGCAGGAGACAGGACTGTGGGTGCATTCCAGCTGGGGAGACAGGAGTGATATACCTGCATGAAGCAGGGGCCCTTGAATGGCTGTTCTTATGTAAGAAGGGACCTAGAAAAACTTAGCTCCCTATGGAGAGGGCAAGGAAGACTGCCCTCCAGTGGAGGAAAAGCTGTCCCTCTGGGAAATCACCTCAAATGCTGAGCCTAGAAATGAACAGAATAATGGGTCTGGGTCCAGTTAATCCTCTTAGATCCTGAAGCAAATAACATCCTGTGCCAGGAAAGCTTCCTAGCTGGGGACTCAGAGATGCGGCCACATCCACCGACCATGAACTCACAATTAATAATACAAAATACATAAGGAAATTCACCACCAAGGATGGATCAGTACCCGTGATGAATGGTTAAGAAATAAAAATCACAGGACAACCTATTAAAGATGACCCAAAATGGCATATTTATAAACATTACAGAGATAAAAGAAGACACACAAATCATAAAGGAAAAGCTGGTAGTTTATAAAAGAAGTCAAATAATAAACCTGCTGAAGTTGAAAAACATAGTCATTCAAGAGAAAATTCAATGAGAAGATTAAGCTATAGATTAGAAAAAGGGGAGCAAACAAAGATTTAAGGAAATCATTCCAAATGTAGCACAGAGAGAGGGGGAGGTGGAGTCGATGAAAGTGTGAAAGTATAAGAGAAGCGAAGACTTAAATGAGAACAATCACACACACACGTGCTGTGCTCGATAAAGGCATGAAAGGAAGCACAAATGTGGAGGTAGAAAGGGGAAAGGCAGATCCCATCCATCCCACAGCAGTCAGGAAAGGGATGAGCGGAAGAGGGAAGTTAGGAACCCACAAACCAGATGATAGGATTAAACGGGATCAGTGTCCATAAACATGGATCAAATTCACTTTTAAAAGAGGCTCATACTGATTTCGACATTAAAACACAGCATGAGAAAAGAAATACACGGGCCAATCTCACTTTCAACAATTTTACGGGAAGTTATCTCAAACAGAAAGAGAACAGACTATCCATGTCTTCTGAACTGTTCCAGAAACCAGACGGAGTGGGAACATGTTCTAACTCATTTTATAAGTTAGGTCACTGAAATCAGATGAGTATGATACAAAAGAAATTATCTCACTTATGAACATGAAAACAAAAACTCTAAATGACACATTAGTAAACCAAATCCATCAATGTGTTTAAAAGATTTTTTAAAGTATAATTAAGTGATATGTATACCAATAATACAAGGGTAGTGAAACATTACAAAATTATTAATATCATTCACTACATTATCAGATGAAACGAGAGGATCATATGATCAACTCAATATATATAGAAAATACATTTAGTAAAACTTATCACCAGGAATACAAGAAAATTTCCTTAACCTGGTCAAGGCTTTAGGAGATCACAAGAAACCCCACATTAAATGGTGAGGCTATGGAAATACTCTCTTTAATTCCCTTAAATGTCAGAGACAAAAAAAACATTAACCTACTGTCTCAGTTTCTATTTATCATTTTACTGGAAGTTCCAGACATTGAAATAGCAAAAGAAAAATTAAATAAGAGGTAAAGAAATTGAAAAAGAAGAAACCAAATTGTCATTATTGGCAGAAGAAATAATCACTGACATATGAAATCAAAAGATTCTATGTACTATTATTCTTAAAAGATGAATTCAGCAAGCTCTGGGATAGCAGATCAATATTCAAAAAGCAACAACATTCCTGCACACCAGAAAAGACAAATCACAGAATGTAACAAAGTTAAATACTGATTGCACTCACGGTAACATAAAGTTCAAAAGCTTCAAGGAATAAGTAAAAATAAAAGATGTTTGGCAAGAAAATAATAAAATTGCATTGGAGGATATCAAACATGCCTTAAATAAATGGTGAGAGGGAGAGAAAACCAGAGAAGGAGAAAAACTATATTCACGGATAGGAAGATTCAAATTATCTCCCAGATTAGTGTGTAAATTTAATACTAGGGCAATACAACTCTTAACAGGGTTTTTAATAAATGTGACAAGTTGATTCTAAAGTTTGCATGAAAAAGTAAATAGGCCGGGCATGGTGGCTCACGCCTGTAATCCCAGCACTTTGGGAGGCCAAGGCAGGTGGATCACCTGAGGTCAGGAGTTCAAGACCAGCCTGGCCAACATGGTGAAACCTGTCTCTACTAAAAATATAAAAAATTACCTGGGCATAGTGGCAGGTACCTGTAATCCTAGCTACTTGGGAGACTGAGGCAGGAGAACCACTTGAACCTGGGAGGCAGAGGTTGCAGTGAGCCGATGTCATGCCATTGCACTCCAGCCTGGGCAACGAGAGCGAAATTCCGTCTCCCCCCACCAAAAAAAAAAGTAAATAGCCCCAAATGGCCAAACTATTTAGAAAAGAATGCGAAGAAAGGACTCACCCAAATATTGAGACCTAGTATAAAGCTCTAACATTTCAAACAGTGAGTTTCTGACTCCAGTAAATATAAATATTGCTGATGGAGCAGAACCAAGAGCCAAGAAAGATACCCACACACACACAGGAACTTAGATATGACCACGATGGTATTTGAAGATCAGTGAGAGAGGAACAGAAAGTTTAGAAAATAGAGCAAGGACAACTAGATCAAAGACTTAAATGTAAATCGTATAACTTGAAAACTTTTAGAAGAGACTAAAAGAAAATATTGTAACTTTAGAGCAAAAGAACACTTCTTAAAGAAAACACACATGGAGAAAAAGAAAGATAAATCTGACTAACTAGAAATTGAAAACTTCTTCACAACAAGGAAATGCCAAAGTTAAGTCACTGTTTAAGGGAAGCTACATAAAACATTTATGATCTAATCAAAGATTAGTGTTTGGATTCTATAAAGAAATCCTTCAGGCCAGGTGCAGTGGCTCACACCTGTAATCCCAGCACTTTGGGAGGCCGAGGTGGGCAGATCACGAGGTCAGGAGATTGAGACCATCCTGGCTAACACAGTGAAACCCCATCTCTACTAAAAATACAAAAAATCAGCCAGGCGTGGTGGCGGGCACCTGTAGTCCCAGCTACTCGGGAGGCTGATGCAGGAGAATGGCATGAACCTGGGAGGCAGAGCTTGCAGTGAGCCGAGATCACACCATTACACTCCAGCCTGGGCAACAGAGGGAGACTCCGTCAAAAAAAAAAAAAAAAAAAGAAAAAAAAGAAATCCTTCAAAATAGGTATAGATGGATGGGTGGATAGATAGATAGAAATAGATATACTGAAAGATAAACACTCTAATAGAAAAACAGACAAAAAGCATCAGTAGTCAGTTGATAGCAGAATATACCAACATGGCTAACAATCTTTTGAAAAGATATGCAGCCTCACAAGTTGTTAATTAAAACAAGCTGAGATACTACTTCTCATCTTTCCAGATGGCCAAATTTTAAGACGGGGCACTAAAAAAAACAGAATAATCAAACAAAACTAGTTTTGCAAAGGTTTTCAACTAGTTCTCAAATATCATCAGACCCACAAATACTGTATGTGGC
The DNA here is from genome assembly GCF_000001405.40 of Homo sapiens. Taxonomy (NCBI): domain Eukaryota; kingdom Metazoa; phylum Chordata; class Mammalia; order Primates; family Hominidae; genus Homo; species Homo sapiens. Next base: position 237,162,164 of record NC_000002.12, on the reverse strand, counting down.
CTTAGTGTACCCGCCACTGAAATTGTTGAATAGGATGCCCTGGATCTACCACTGCTCCTGTTTTTACTCCTTCCCTGACATGCCCTGTCCCTCCCTGAAGCCCCACAACTACCAGCCTAGGTTCTCAAAACAAAGCTTTTAAAAAAAATATCATGCCCTGTTGGGGGCAGGTACTAACTTGTTCCATTTTGGGACAACCACCCTTCTCCAGATGAGGACAGATGACCTTCCAGGTAGCATGGTCACAGGCAGAAGGGCTCTCCAGTAACCTCATTCAAAGGAATGTCTAGAGTGGGGGTTTCAGACCCTAGCACCACCCGTGAAGCAGATCTTTGAAAGACAGGAGATTCTTTGGGAAAACCTCTTAAATCGCACACCTAAGCTGAGGGCTGTCATGGAGCCTGGCCTCCCTCCTCTGGCAGCTGCTGTCCACGTCGCAGAGCCACAGAAGGTCCAGGCATCACCAGGCTCCCATCCCAGCTCCCATTGTTCATTAGTAAGGGACTCCTGGGTGTCCTGCCCACCTTCCTTCCTAAAGCTCCCATTACAGAGGGAGAAGACGTTTTTGGCTTTTCAATCTAACTTTGCTTCTTTCCTGCTCCTGCCCTGCCAGATGCTGTCATCCCTCTGGACACATCACGCCTCTCCTCCAGATCCTAGCCTCTTGGGGGAGGTCTTTCATCATTTGGACACACTGAGGAGGCTCCAGAAGGAAACAGTGTGCAGCATTTGGACCCTGCGGTGAAGTTGCTGGGTCAAAGCTGGATCTGCCGTTTCCCGATTCCTCCTGATGACTTCTCATGTGATGTTGGCTGGATATTCATCGTTTATTTGTTCCAAGTTTCTGTACTAAACTATATGGGCCAGTTCTCAATTAAAATCAGCTGTCATGTGGCATGTCTTCTTCCAGTTTTCACAGAACCTAGGGATGGGCCACCACAGGGGTGTGGGAAAGTGGTACAAAGGTGTTTGTGATTAGTCTCCATCGGGAACCTCCCTCAGGAGCCCATATCCTTTCCTCCAAACCTCTCTCTTCACTCAACAAATGACTCTAACTTAGTCCTCATTTTGGTTGTTTACAAAACAGTCTGATAGAAGAGAATATAAAATGAAGGAACTAACGATCATCCATAATTCAAAATAATCAAAGGAAAACGTTTTAAATCTTTTGGAGCATTTTTCTTTCTCTGTGGGAACTGCCCCACAGCGTGTATGAGAACTGCACCTCACATTTCTCTTTATGAGCCTGAAGTTCTCCTCTACACCCCTAGGCTCCCCACACCACAGCCCCCTCCGCATCACAGCTATTGGCTTAGCCTCTGGGCCTCACTGCTGGCCTTGGCCCGTGGTGGCACCGGTCAGGACCTTGGATCTAGGCCCCACCAAGGCTTGACCAGGGGCCTCCCGCCAGCCTCAGCAACCTGCGCCTGCCTTTCCCTAGTCAGCATGGAGTTCTTTACTTTGTCTCCCAAAGGGGAAGCCATGTCTCTCCATCTCCTTCCAGCCCACACTCTGAGGGAACCTTGCCAAGGCCGCACAGAAGTGGTCTGGAGGATCTTTAGGGCCTGTGGATAATCAGGATTGGGCCCAAACACCTGGACTCTGCTCTCAGGAGGAGTTCTCTAGCCACTCCCAAGGAGTCCAGGTGGCCAGGCCTGGCTGCTTGTATCTACTTCCTCTTCCAGCCATCTTTGCCTTGCCCCACCCTGGTCTTGGCCGTACCCCCTGAGTGCATGCAGACAGCATTCTCCTCCTCCCTCACTCCCCTGGGACTCCCCGGCACCTTGTAAGGCCTCTGTGACTTTCTTACACAGGTCGGGTCATCAAGAAACACCTGAGAATTTAGAATGAGGCTTTGTTAAATTTGGACTTTTCTGGACAGGCACAGTGGCTCATGCCTGTAATCCCAGAACCTTGGGAAGCCAAGGCAGGACTGCTTGTGCCCAGGAATTCGAGACCAGCCTGGGCAATATGGTAAGACCCTGTCTCTACAAAAAACACAAAAATATTGAGTGTAGTGGTGCACACCTCTAGTTCTAGCTACTTGGGAGGCTGAGGCAGGAGGATCACTTGAGCCTTGGAGGTCGAGGCTGCAGTGAGCTTTAATGGTTCCACTGCACTCCAGCCTGGGCAACACAGTGAGATCCTGTCTCAAAAACAAAACAAAACAAATTGGGCTTTTCTCAAAACAACAAAAGCTGTGAAGAAGGGCACCTTGAAAGAACTCCAGTCCTATTATCTAGCATTTTTCTCTTTAAAAAATAATAAAAAAAAAAATAGGCAGCTGTCTTGTACTCAGAAAGCCCCGGGGGCCTGGCCTCACTTCCTGCTCCCAGCTGCAAGCGCTACTCTGTCCTCATTTATCTCTTTGCTCTTGCATTAGAGAGAATTGTCTTCATCGCCTTTTCCAAGGTGGCCACATACTTCTGTGTGCCCAGTTTCCACCAACTGGGTGAGTCTTATGACTAAAGCCCAGTGATGTCCAGAGTGGAGGCAGGAAGCCCTTCAGGGTGGCCCCACAGAAAAATAATTTGTAATTTCCTCTGGAGCCTTTCAAAGGGACAACCCCAGAACCCGGTCCACTTTCTTGCTAATGAACACGATGTACCTCTGGTCTGATTCATCTGCGCTGAGGAAGTCTGAGCCTCTGAGAGGATGCTGCTGTCATACCCAATTTGGGGCTCACTCAAGAGCCCTTTGAGAGGGTAGATCTTGTTGACCTAAAAGGAAGAGGTTGAGGTATAAAATGTCATTGAGAGTTGACTTGAGCCAAAGCGGGGACAGCTGCCAGGGAAACTCAATCACAAATGACCTTGGATGAGAGCTTCACGAGGCCTTTGTTACAAGCAGGTTTCTAAAGACAAAAAAAAGGGGGGGGGGACAGGAAGTGGCCTGATGCAAAGTCATTTGTCTGACATTATCATTGGCTTACAGAAATCACACCGATGAGTTGATTGGCTATCCACTGTTCAGCTATAGCGTGTGGGTTGTAGTGTCTGGTGCAGCATTATTAGGTTAATTTACAGCCACCTGTGGCAGTGCCAAGCAGTTTCAAGAGGGGAAGACATAGCTCCAAGTGGGGAGTAGGACCTGATTGCTGTCTCATCTTAATGTCTCTCTGGGTCTGATAATTTAAGAGGACTCTCACTCCTCAGATAAAAGTTCTTTTCTTTTCTCATTCACTTCCCAAGGTTAACTGTAGGAATGCTGTGAGGATTATTTATTTTCCCAATCTTCAATTACAATTCTATAATCTTCAGTTAGACTTTCCAAAAGTCTAGATTTCCAGATTTAAGAGTCATCTTTCTATCCATGTTTACTTATGTGGATGATATTGTAAATGCTGTTTTGAATACAAAAGACATTGCGTGCACGTTATGTCCATCGGGGTGCTAATAAATGTTTAATAACCAGCTCTCCAGGAAAAATGGAAAAAAAACCCACCTGATCTGTAGTGTTTGCCAATTTCCATGGTGTAAATACTTCCACCGTGGCTGATTTTAAGCTACCAATGTGTATCATTGACACAGAGTTGGGAAGAGACACACCATATCACACCATTATATAGTATTTCAGCGTTCAGATTTAATACATAAATAATAGACAGGGATGTGTCCTGAGAAATGCATTTTAGGTAATTTCATCATGGTGTGAACACTAGAGTGTACTTACACAAACCTAGGTGGAATAGCCCAGGGTCTGCAACCCTGGGGTTGGTACCAGTCTGTGGCCTGTTAGGAACTGGGCCGCACAGCAGGAGGTGAGCAGGGGGTGAGCGACATTACCTCTTGGGCTCTACCACCTGTCAGATCAGCAGCAGCGTTAGATTCTCATAGGGGCATGAACCCTATTGTGAACTGCGCATACAATGGATCTGGGTCGTGCACTCCTTATGGGAATCGAATGCCTGATGATCTGAGGTGAAACAGTTTCATCCCAAAAGCATTCCTCCACACCTGCCCTGGGCCTTGGAAAAATTGTTTTTCACAAAATCGGTCCCTGGTGCCAAAAAGTGGTGTAGCCCACAGCGTACCCAGGCTATCTATTGCTCCTACACTGCAAAGTCCTACAGCATGTTACTGTACTGAATACTGTAGGCAGCTGTAGCTCCATGCCCTGTGTGTGTTTATCTAAACATATCCAAATGTGGAAAAAGTACTATAAAAATATGGTATAGAAGATAAAAAATGGTATACACTTACCATGAGTGGAGCTTGCAGGACTGGACATTGCCCTGGGTGAGTGAGTGAGTGAGGGGCTGGTGAATGGGAGGGCCTTGGGGATGACTGTACACTACTGTAGATTTTAACCCAACCACTGTGTACTTAGGTTAAATTAATTTAAAAAATACAGTCATTGTGCTAGAATGTTACAATGGCTCTGATTTAAAAAAAAAAAAAAAAAAAAGGCAGCCTTCTTGTACTCAGAAAGCCCCGGGGGGCCTGGCAATAGAAATGTTTTAGTTCCACTATAATCTATGGGACCACCTCCCTATATGTGGTCTGTCACTGTGTGGCACGTGACTGTGAATTGTGCCAAGTCAAGCAATGAACAGCCCTGTGGAAAAGCAGAGCATGGTGTGAGAGCACATTTATGCAAAGGCAGCTCAGTGTTCTCTGCCACAGGTGCAGGCAGCCTTGGAGGGTCAGAGGAGGGAGGAACGCCAGAATTCAGCAGGACTGCAGATCCTGGAGCCACCAGCCCTCTGTTCAGATCCTGGCCCCGCCACTCAGTAGCTGAGTGATCACGGCCCGCTCACTTATCCTTTCTGATCTTCAGTCTCCTCACTTGTAAGTGGGGATAGCGAGCCTGCCCATCGCCGAGGGTTGTTGTAGGACCGGAGGTGACAATATGTGCAAAGTACAGGCACAGACCTGGCAGTGGCTCCTGAGGGAGGTGGCATCCTTCCCTCTCTAAGGAGGGCACGGGGTCTGGGAACGCTAGGAAGCCTGTTCGAGGTTGGAGGAACCTTGTGCTCCTCTGCCCTGGGCTGAGTGGGCACTTAGCCCTTCTGCTGCGTTCAGCAGTGACAGCACTCGCATCTCTGTGGCCATCGCCACCGGAAGAAGCTGGGACGTGTGCGGCATACGGCCGTTTGGGAACTGCGATCGGTGAGCTGCTGGGGATGCGATGCCTGACGCGACCCCGCTTCAGAGCGTGGACTCCGAGGGCAGAGCCCTGGAAGCTGATGAGCGGCCGGGCCAGAGCTTTGACCTTGCTTCCTTCATGTGTGAAATGGGTCTGCGAGGCGCCCTCTTCTAGGGGCTGTGCTGAGGACCAGGAGTTACTCCGTGTCCCTGATTTGCAGGGACCTTGTCCCCTAAGCTGTGCTCAATCAGCCTTCCTCAGTGTTACCGGCAGCAGGAAAGCTGTCATCTCACTGCGGGCACAGGGAGCCCTTGGACACAGTCTGAGCAACGTCCTGGGGGAAGAGAGGACTGAAAAAACTGAACGTCCAGTGAGAAACTGTTCCCTGGACAGAAATGTGAAAAACAGCGCTGGCAGCACAGCCTGTGACTCACCGGCGTGTGCCCCCACACTGCAGCTGGGCCAGCGCGGGGCCCTCCTGATTCATGTTTTCCGTGGTTATCCGGGGAAATGGAAACCGTCTGGACGCGGCACCCACTCGCACGCCGGCGCTCACGCTGCGCTGATCAGCTTGGAAGTGCGGAAGGGCCTCCTCCCAGCCTCCTCCCCTACCTGCAGCCGCAGACGCTGGAGTGGGGAGGTGGCTGTCTTCACACCCCAGACCCACTGCCCAGGGCATGCTTCCCCGTAGGAAGCAAAACAAAGACCCGGTTCCCTGTCTGTGGGCAGGGGCAGGGGCCACTTTGAGGTCTTTTCTTATTTTTTGTTCCCTTGGGTAGTTCCCTCTGCACACAAACCACCGCGTGCTCTTGATGACTGAGCGCATGCCCTCAGTGAGGCATCCTAGGGCTGATGTGGTAAGGACGGTTAGGAGCCTACTCTAATGACATCTGAATTTCATGAAAGGGGGAGGGAGGGGACATCACAGTGCCGTGCTTGTGAAGTCACTGAGTGTCTTTTATCCTTGGAAAATTGTTCTCTGGGACATGCAGCTGGTTGCTAAAGTTTTCATTTTTCTGTGTCTGCAGATGTGCACAGAAGTTTCCAGTTAAGTTCCAGTTAAGCCCTAACCTGCATTAGGAAAAAAAGAAAAAAAGAATGTGTTTGCATGGCCTACAGAAGTGCTCAGTATGACCTGAAGCCGAATCACAGGCACTTTTCTCATTAGCTCCTGGGGCTGCGTCCCCTGGGCTTGTGTTCTGATCCTCTGGGCCGGCTGTGTGACCTTAGGGAACTTCCTTGCTTCTCTGAGCCTCGGTTTCCTTCATGGTAAAATGGGGAGGGTAATGATGCCTCCTGAGGTTGCTGGAAAGACTGACTGAGACAGTCCTCAGAAAGCACTTCACAGGGGCCAGCCCAGGGTAAAGGCACAGGAAACGCCACCCACCGCTGCAAATCCATTGCTGTTGAGTCCTGGGGGGACTTTCTTGCCTGTGCTGGCTGTGAGGCAGCCTGTGTGCTACCCCCTCCAACAGCCACACAGTGAGTTTTATTTTCGAATTGCATTGCTAATCCCTGAGGGGAAACACAAAGGCTAAGCAATAAGGCAGGTGTGTGAAACTCTCATTGCCATAAGAAACCTCCAGCATTCTCCCCGTCTTTGTGCACAGCCTGAACTGTTCATGTCACACTTCCTGGCTGCACTGTGGGCTTCTGTTCAGCCCCAAGATAGAGTTCCTCATACCTCCCCGCTCTTCTGACTCCTTCAGGCTGGCCCATCCCGAGGAAGGCGACCCTTCTCTTTTGCTTGCCACTTTCTCATGACCTTGAGCAGACAGCCCCTCTTGCTAGGATCCCGCTGTCTGGGTACATGGAGATACTGTGATCTGAGCCAGGGTTCCTGTCTCTCAAATGGCAGATGAGGACTCTGATGGGCATGTCAAGAGGCTGGGGCAGAGTGTGGGTCTGCAAGTCCCATTGCCTGAGGCACCTGTGTGGGGAACAGAAACCCAGGGACACATGATTGGCAGCTAGTGGAGGGAGGATGGAGCTGAGGGACTGATGGGGAGAGGCCAGATGTGAGCGGATATAGGGAGGAGCCAGGACCTGAGGCCAGATGAAGCTGGGAAGACCCAAAGTTTCTGAGAAAGTGGTCAACACCATGCACAGCAGAGAAGTCACAGGAAGAAATTGGAATGAAAATGTGAATTTGCAATTAGGAGGCCATGAAGAAAAGGAGCTTCCGTGTGTGGAATTGTGGGTTGAAAGTCAGAGTCAATAAATAGCAGAAGCAGAGGCAAGAGTGCCCTGCTCCTTCTAGAAATCTGGTGGCAGAGGGAAGGAAGAGAGGTAGCGATTTTAAAATCAGGTGCACTGGCGGGTACCTGTAATCCAAACTATTTGGGAGGCTGAGGCTGGAGGACTGCTTGAGCCCAAGCGTTCGAGTCCAGCTTGGGCAACATAGTGAGACCCCATCTCTTAAAAAAAATAAATAAAAGGTAGTAACTCTGAGTGCAGGGACCAGGGTTTTCTGTTTTGGGTGGTGGGAGACTGAACGTTTTGGAAATTTGGTGGAAAGAACCAGGTGAGAAAGGGGCTAATTGACCCAACATGGTCCAGGGCCAATCCTTTACTTAGGGACTGTTTATAATGATGTGCAGCTGCTCTGAGGACTGGAAAACGCCTGTTTGGCAAAGAGCTTGCCTGTCAGGAGGGGATTTGCCACTGGAAGGGAAAAGGAAATCATATCAATATAGTCTTTTCACGAGACGACCCTTCATGTGGAGACCTTGGCCCTTTAAAGTTTGAAATACATGTCCCCACATCCTTAGCACCTTTTTCTAGCTGCCACAACAGGCCACCTGCAGCCACCTCCCTGTGTTTCAAGGATGCCATCGTGTGGAAGGCGAAGGGAACAGCAAATATAAGACCCCTTTTATTCAAGGCAATTCACTTCTCGAAGACTAACCACACTAACCACCTTGCCTGACATTTGTATGTCTCCAGAGAACTTTCACAATTTTTTTTTCATTTGATCATTACAATAACCCTGTTTTACAGTCCAGTAAACAAACTCAGAGAGGTTAATTGACTTACTGAAGGTCACACAGCAGAGGGAAGGCATGGTCAATTGCCTCACTCCAAGTTCTCTTCTATCTTCACTGGGTCACTCTAGGCAATGTCATTCAACAGATATTCTACAGCCATGTTTTTCCAAATTTGCCCAACCTTTAGCTCTGGAACCCTGTAGACACATTTGCTTGGGTATGTAGACCTGTAGATGAGTATTCCTGAGATAAATTTCACAAGGCAGCACTTACCTGTATCAAATGTGGTGCCTCTGATTATTCTATTATTCTATTCTATCACATTTTTATAAAAATGCTATTTATGATCCATTAAATTGCTCTCATGACCCATTAGCAGTCAAGACCTATGGTTTGAAAGGCTGAATGATGACCCCCCAGCCAATGATGACTACATCCTAATCCCAGAATCTGAATGTCACCTTACATGGAAGAAAGACTTTGCAGATGTGATTAAGTCTCTTGAAATGAAGAGATTGTCCTAGAATATCTAAATGGGCCCTATGTCGTCACAGGGTCCTTATAAAGGGGGAAGCCAGAGGGTCAGAGTCAGAGGGAAAATGGGACCACTGGAGCAGACATTGGAGTGATGCTCTTTGAAGACGAAGAAGGGGCCATAAGCCAAGGAACACAGGTGGCCCCCAGAAGCTGGAAAAGGCAAGGAAATGAATCCTCCCTAGAGCCCCTGGAAGAAATCAATCCTGTCGACACCTGGACTTCAGCCCAGTCAAACTGTTATCGGAAAGGGGTCCGGATCCAGACCCCCAGAGAGGGTTCTTGGATCTCACTCAAGAAAGAATTCAGGGCGAGTCCACAAAGTAAAATGAAAGCAAGTTTATTAAGAAAGTAAGGGAATAAAAGAATGTCTACTCCCTAGACAGAGCAGGGCATTCCTGAAAGCAACAGGAGGAAGGCACCCACCTTAGGTACAGTGCTTATTTATACACAAGACAACAAAGTCAAGGAAATTATGGGGCGATGTGCTCTACTACGAGAGCTTGTGACAAAGGATTGTTCGTCTTTGTGTAACTATTGTCGTCTGCAAGAATCTATATTAATATCTTTAAAGTAAACTTATTCTTTTTTTTATTATACTTTAAGTTTTAGGGTACATGTGCACAACGTGCAGGTTAGTTACATATGTATACATGTGCCATGTTGGTGTGCTGCACCCAGTAACTCATCATTTAACATTAGGTATATCTCCAAATGCTATCCCCCCCACCCCAACCCCTAAAGTAAACTTATTCTTAAACTAAGAATGCTTTTGTACTTAAGATATCGGGCCATTGGGGCAGTTCCTGGGTCTGTGAAGTCCTGGGTCGGCTGCGTAAACATTATTAACTTGTTCCCTTAACCATAAACATCCTGTGGCTAAGAATCCCTAACTTCCTGGGAGTGCGGCAGAACAGATCTCAGCCTCAAGCGGATCTCAGCCTCATTTCACCCAGCCCCTCTTCAAGATGGAGTCGTTCTGGTTCAATGCCTCTGACAAAACTAGTTTTGGACTTTGGGCCAGCAGAACAAGTGATTCGATCTGTGTTATTTTCGGCCACCAAGTTTGTGGTAATTTGTTGCAGCAGCCCCAGGAAACTAATGTGGATGTTGTCTCAGCATGACTATTAGAGGCGTTACCCTGGCACCCTGAGGGGCATATGGCCCGCAGACCTGGGATGTTTGTTTGTGGCCTTCACGTTCTTTTAAAGTCTCTGTTGAATTATTGGCCACCATTTAAAAATCATGATGTTTCATGTGTAAATCAGAATTTTTGGCTTGTCTTTGTCTATCCAAGGCCCATGTTTCCACATGGCAGCGTCTGGCTTTGACCGGTCAGAACCTTCTTCTAAATCCTCTTCTCTTCCAATTCACTTCAAGAATTAATTTGAATTCTGGTAATATGTCACATGCACAGAATTTAGAGACACCGGGCAGTTCTACAAGGTTTGAATGAAAACTAAGTATCCAATCACCCAAACCTTTGAATACTTCTATTCTTCAATTTCCATATAATTTGCTCACTTTGGTATCTCGTGGGTAACAACACTGGACATCATCTTTCCACCGAGTGTCTAGAATGAAAGATAAGGGTTTAGCTCTCTGAGCCCCACCCCAACTCCATTTCCTTTCTCATCTTCCCAATGGGATTCAGTCGCAAGATTTGGACTTTAGAAAGTCTTTGCAGGGTAGTTAGAAAGGAGGGCATGGAGGAACACCAAGGTCAGGCCCAAGGTCTCAGAGTCTGTGGGCAGTGGGGAGCCTCGGGCCCTGGGGCTGGGGACTAATTCACAAGGCCATGTTGCATCTGACTGAGAAAAGGGATAGACCAGGAGAAGGTAGAGAAAAACTGGGTAGACATTTAAGGGAGGACAAAAAAGGAGGAGCCAGCGAAGGGAGTATTTTCAGGAGGGTGAGCTATGGAAAGGTGGGGCAGGCAGGCTGTGAGCAGAGAACTGTGGAGATTCAAAGGATCTGTGAGCCTGGGGAGAAGGTTCTTAGGAGGGTGGAATCCTCTGGGAGCCTACAGGTTGCTGGCACAGAATATGAGCAATCTCAGTGCTCCCAAATAAGTTGTGTAGGGTCCTGAAATGAGCCACATCCGGGGGTGAGGGTGCGGTGGAAAGAAAAAAGAGAAGAGCTAGTGATTCCAGCCTGGGAGCCCTCTCAGTTCTGGAGAATCCCTAGGAGTCCAGCCAGGTCTCCCAGCTCTCCCTTGAAAGAAGGCGCCCACCCACCGTGGAGGGTGGCAGTTGCAGCCTCTCTGCCCTGCCCTGTCCACCCTGCTCTGAAGCTCAGACTCCCCCTAGCACCAGGCTGGAGCACTCAGGGACAGCCACTCTCCCTGGCAGCTGCTGCTGCATGGCTTTTGTGCCCTGAAAGCAGGTTAATTACCTGTAACAAAAGCGTGTGCTCTGAAGCTCACAGCAACAAGCTTTCTGGGTAACTTTCTGCCTGTCGTTGTAATGCAGGAGTCACTGGGCTACATGTCCAAACTGGAACTGGGGACAGAAGAGCAAGGCAAACCCTGTAGAACCCAAGAGTGTCTAATTGCACTCCCCACCCCCACCAGTTGAGTTTCAGTGGAAGAGAGGTGATTATGGAAGGTGGAATGGAGAAATGAGAATGGGCCTTATGCTACAAGGTTGTCCAGACACAGAGTCAGTTCCTGGTGGTGCCGCTCACTGGCTCTGTGGCCTCCCGCAAGTACCTTCCCCTCTCCTGGACTCAGCCTACTCATGTACAAAATGGGAGTCATAAGCACTGCCTACCAGGCGGTTGTGAGAATAAAAGAAAAATACTGTGCTTTGGACGAGGGCTCTTTAGGTTGCAAGCTAACTCAGGAACCCGGGGAATCTCCCCCACATGCACGGACACAGCCCAAGACTGCTGGGTCCTGGCGCACAGATCTGGAGTTACCTGTCCATTTGTCCATCTGGTTCTCACGCAACATGGTCATGGCCTCTTTTCTCCAGCCTCTCTTCCATTCTCCTCTTTTTCCCAGACGACCCTTATACTCCCATATCCCTGGTTTTCTCAGGATCATAAGTACCTGGCCTGGGCCTCCAGGCCTGGACTCACAGCCCTTTCCTGAGGTGCCCATGATCCAGTCTCATACCCCAGGTTTCTCTAATTCACATTTAAAGGGAAGCACTTGTTGGCCAGCTCAGGCCTAGGAGCCAGGACAGGGTCAGGTCACTGGCCTATCCATGGATGGGCTGCCCTTGCCCCAGTGTCTACCCTGTGTTCAGTCATTTGCAAGAGCCCTATTGGGGTCTCTAACCCTGGGAGGAGAGGCTATGGACAAGTGAGGCATCCCTGGCAGGGGCCACATGCAGGTTGGATGGTGACCACAGCCCTGAGACATGGATATGTGAAAGTGTTACTCCTCTTCCTCCCAGCCAGTCACAGGACTCCCGGGATGGGAGAAGGATTTCCTTTCCAATTGGCTCAGCTTTCCTGGGAAGGTTTTCAGTCTGTCCCCTGAGTTTCCTGCCCCAACACACACTGCCTAAATACATTTTCTAAAGTTCCTCTTAGAGAACTAGTCTAGGAAATACAGGCCACACAATGGTGGTGGAGAAGACATTTGCTCTGAAATTAGGAAGTGCTCTGGAAACAATACCAAATAAAACCAAACAGAAACATCTTCCTGCATAGACCTGCATTGACAGCCTGCCTGAATGGGCTCTCAGGAGAAGGTGAGCGCTGCCTTGAAGGAGTCATTCTTGGGGTGGGGGGTATTTTTCTTGCTCCCTCCCACTCCCACAGTGAGGAGCAGCCGGGTAAGGCATGGGCATGCATGTGTGTGCACACACACACAAGCGCACACACATACACACACACACAAACATGGCCCTCTTAGGGATGCCAGCAAAGGGTGGGGCCCAGCACCCAGCCCTACTGCTCACTGCAGAAGCCATGCTGTGGCTCAGTCTGATTCAGACATTCTAACCCACTGTCCCCAGACACCTCAAAGTCTTACCCACACCAGCCCACACGCTCTCTCTCTTCTCAAGAATTTCCACACCCACCTCAGCAAACACTCAGAGCAAATCTGCCTACTTTCCAGTGCTCTCATAAATCAACTTGTTCTTTCAAAACGGTGAGGACAAGAAGAGGAGCTAAATGCATGTATTTATGTTGAGAGAAGAGGAGTGACACTTGCTACCTTCTTGCTCCTCAACTCTGTTTGTTTGTTTAAGTCAGACTTGCCCAGAAGTCAGTGTCAGCTACTAAGGAACACTCTTTTCCATTTCTCTTACCCTGTCAGACACTGGAGGCCTAGTAATAAGCTCAAATGCTTCTACCTGAGTCTCCCCATGCAGTCTGAGAAGGCTCTTCTGTTCCCATAGAGTCATGGTGGGCTGGTGACCAGCCCATGGAAGTTGGTGTGGAGGATGGGGAACACATGGAAGCAGCTCAAGAAAGATGAAATCTGCACAGTCCCTTCCTCCACAAGTCAGTGAACTCAATGATTTATTCCACTTATATTTATTCTGGAACTTTCCTACAATGCCAACTACTATTAAATAGCCATTCAGCTTAGCCGATTAACAAATAATAATAATATTAATAGAAATGTGAAAAGTGGCCTCAACAGGAGCCAGGGCACAGACTTACAGGTGCTGCTGTCAGAGAAGTGAGCTCCCCACCCTGACCCTGTGCCTCTGCTCAATGTCAAACCCTCAGAAAGGATAACGTGATTGGACCCCGGGTGTGGCAGGAAGTGCAGATGGCACACAGGGACAGTCTCTCCAGGAGCACATGGCATAGGAGAGCTTCCCAAAGGAAAAGTAGGGAGCTGGTAACAAAAGAAAGGGTATGGGTTGCAGGAAGCGCAAGTGTGCTCCCAGGAAGGCCTTCCTGTGTGTGTGGGAGGAGTACATGCTGGCTGGCCTGGCTGAACCCACCCATCTGCACAAAGGAACATCTGATCAGGAAGATTGAGACCTTGCTTCACTGCACATGGGGTTAAGGTAATGGCTGGTAGAGCTGGGCTGCCTCATGAGCTGAGACACTTCCCTGCCCCTCACGTACCTCACAGCAGAACTGCAGATGTCATAACCCATGGGGCTTAGCACTGTGCCAGGTTCATAGTAAATGTTTCACTGACATCAGCTGTTGACGACAATAAAGCCTTAGTACAAAGTAGACTTTTGTTCATTTCTCTTTAGTGGATAGGGAGTCTGCTTTCCTTTCTGCAGTCAGTTTGGTGGAGCAAAGTGGTATCCAGAGATGGACTATAAAGGAGACAAGATCTGTAAGGAGATAGGAGGCTCAGCCTGCTCCTTGGGACCACCAGCGGGTCCTGATTAGTGGTCTTGGGAGAAGAATAGCCAGAAGCCCTACACTGAGGTGAGAGAGGAGAATCTGCAGGAATAGAGTTTAGGGCCTTGGACTTTGGAGCCAGGCTACTGTACTTAGTGGTGAGAGTGAGCAAATCACTAATATCTAGAAGACTCAGCTCCCTCTTCATCAATGAGAGATAACAATAGCAGCTTCCTCTTAAGGTTGTACAGTTTTAATGTAAGAATGATCCAGAGGGCAACATGGTGCAGTGCTTCTTGGGCTGAAATTTCATGGAGCACTGATTTATCATCCCTCTCCTCTGTGGCCCTGTAATCAGTTGGTAATATAGACCCCTCTCTAATATTTCCAATGCTCTAACATGTACATTAATAAGGCTGAGAAGAAGGACAGTAAAGAGTCTTTTAAGTTATATTTAACCCAGTATTCCCCATAGTTCCTTAGGACCCCATAGGTCCTTAACCAAGGACCTCTTGAACTCTTAGAGAAAAACATAGGGGAAAATCTTCATGACATAGGATTTGGCAATGATTACTTGAATATGACATCAAAAGCACAGACCAAAAAATAAAAATAAAAATAATTTGGATTTTATCAAAATTAAAATCTTTAGTGTAACAAAGGACAATTGCAACAGAGTGAAAAGGATAGTTTTGCTGGATACAGAATTCTTAGTTGACAGGCTTTATTTGTGTGTCAATCTTTTGGACCTGTCATCCCATTATCCTGTGGTCTCCATTGTTTCAAATGAGAAATCTGCTGATAATCTTATAATTTTTCTACACATGATGAGTCAGTTTTCTCTTTCTGTTTTCAAGATTTTCTCTTTGACACTGGCATTCAAAAGTTTGACTATATGTCTAGTTGGGGAACTTTGTGCTTATCTTACTTGAAGTTCATTGAGCCTCTCTAGGTAGATTAAGGTTTTTCATCAAATTAGAAAGCTTTAGACCATTATTTCTTCAAATATTTTTCTGTACCTTTCTCTCTCTGCTTTTCTTGTAGAATTCCCATTGTGTGTATGTTAGTACACTTGATGGTGTCCCACAGGTCACTGAGACTCTGTTCATTTTTCTTTATTACTTTTTATTGGATAATTTCTATTGATCCATCTTCAAGTTTGGTGATTCTTTCTTCTTATATTATCTCATCTCTGCTGTTGAGCTCCCCTAGTACATTTTTAATATTAGATACTGACATTTCCAACTCTATAATTTCTATGTACCTCTTTTTAAAAATTTCTGTCTCTTTATTGATAATCTGTATTTGATGAGTCATTGTCATCATACTTTCCTTTAATTCTTTAAATATGGTTTACTTTAAATTACTTGAACATATGTATAATAGCTGTTTTGAGGTCATTGTCTGCTAACTCCAACACCTGGGCACCTCAAGAGATAGTTTCTACTGACTGCTTTTTATCTTATATGTGCAACACATTTTTCTGTTTCTTTGCAACTCGCATATTTTTGTGGAAAACTGGGTATTTTAAATAATATATTGTAGCAATTTTGGATTCTGGTTTTCCCACAATCTTGGGTATTGTTCTTGGTACTGTCTTTGTTTTTTTGTTTAGTGGTTTTCCTGGACTAATCCTTTAGTTTGTCTCCCCATGAATGTGGCTGCTAATGTCTCTGCTCAATTTTTTAAAAATTATTGTTGTTGTTTTTATTTTGAAGCCTGACTTCCTCAGAGTCATCCCTTGTTCAGCAGAGCACAGTGATCATGTAATTATTGGTCAGAGTTTGCGCTCAAACGTCTTGATCCAGTAAGCTTTCCAACCTTTGCTGACAGATCTGTTTATGGGTTTGAGATGCACTCAAAGTTCAGGCAGTTTACATGTTTTCTTGGTTGTTACTTTCCTCAGGACCATCTCATGTTCTGTCTGTATGTGTTCCAGCTTCTTGTTCAACCAAGGATGTGTAGATAGCTAGGGCCCTCTCTGTTCTTTCCTGAACATGCTCATACCTTTGCACATGTGCACACTCTTCTATACTTTCAGGTATACGGAAAAGCTTATCAAAGTCCACTATGAATATCTCATGACTTGGACCTCCTTGTTAAATTTCTGGCTAGTCTGCCAGTCTTGGTTGCTCCAAGCAGTATCTAAACTTTGAGCTAGCCATGACATTTCCTTTCTTGTTCATTTGCCACTGAGATTTCTACTTATTTTCAGCAACACATCTGAGCATGGGGTCTTTCTGTGCACAGCTTTTAACCAAATAAGCCACCTCTAGCAGGTGAGGTGCTGGTTTTTAAGGTATGCTTTCCCTGGTAGAATTACTGCATTGACTAAGCTGGGGGATGGGAAAATGAAGTAGCCCCAGGCTTAAAAATACCACACACTATTTTTCTTACCTGAGGTTCAGTAGTTTATCTTGAGTAAATGCTTCTCAATTTGTTGTATGGCTTTGGTCAATTTTCAGTCCTGAGATGGTTGTTTTTGATAATTTTGTCCAGTTTTATTATTACTTTTTGGGGAGAGGATTTGACAATCTCCTCATTCTGCCATTCTGGAAATGAAGAAGCTGACAAATCTGAAAATTACTGAGCACACTGGCAAATCTCTTAATTGTAGATTTATTTTAAAACATTTCATATAGATTCAGTTGCATACCCAAGTTGTATAACAATTATTGAAACACCAGGACTTAGAAAAATTGTTATTAATATTAGAAAAACTTCTCTTTACATCCTGGAAAATTTATTAGTTCAATGGCTCTCAATCTCCATTGTTTAATCTCTCTCAGACTTTAATCCCTAACTTTAAAAGTGGGTCTGGGGAAGATGGGAGTGCAGAATACTATTATGGTAAAAATTACATGCAATATTTATGCAAATGTGTTTTGAAAATTGAAATATTCTATACAAGTGTTACTGTCTTAAATGTGTTGGGGGCTATGCTGGGTGCTGAGGAATCAGAGTGGACAATACGGAGGTAGTCTCTGACCTCATGGAGTTGACTGCCTGGTAGGGCAACCGGACAGTAATTATGTATGTTGGAATTTGAATACAACCATAAACAATAACTCGTTCTTCTCCTTTAAAATTTAAGAGATAAGGCACAGGTGTCAGATGGAAATAAAAAAATATGTTTTATTATTGATAAAACTGGAAAGGCTGACTCAATCTGTGCCCACAATAGGGATCCCTAATATGTACTCCTACTATCCCCCTCAAGTGCTCCCATTCAGCCAACTCAGGAAGAGCTGGTGAAGGGTGAGTAGAGGAGGAGAATGTCCATAGGAGGAGATGCCCCAAAGAGAGGAATACTGTTGGGGTCTGAACTGCTTGGATGCATTTTTTTTTTCAATCCATCTCTCCTCAGACTATTGGAAGTGAGAGGAGAAGATTCCGTTAAGAGGGTGCCTGAGAAACTGCAAAGCTTAACGGTTAAGCAGAGGAGGGAGGAGTCTGTCTAAAAGGCAAACCAAGAGTGTTTAGTTCCAGAAGCCTAGATAAGAGATGGTTTCTACACACAAGAGTGTAGTCAGTAGTGGAGACTGCCACAGAGAGACCCAGCATGATGGGAAGGACCACAGGTGTCCACTGGATTGACTGAGGACAACAGTGGGAGCAATTCCAGTGAAGTTATGTAGGCAAATACTAGATTGAAGTGAACTGAGGAAGGAGTGAGATATGAGAACGTGGGGACTGTAAGTGAAGACAATTGTTTAGGGCAAGTTTATCTGTGAAGGGAGCAGGAAGACAGGACAGTACCTGCAGGGAATCAGATGGGAGTGGTGGGGGGTACAGCCTGTGTAGAGGATTATTTGTACTGGTGTTGGTGGTAGTTTTGATTGGTGTTGTTGATGGGGATTTCTTAGGTGCTTTTAAATATGGGAATGGCATGAACTGTTGAAAAGGGGAAAATACAAGCAAAATGTCAAAGACAGACAGCGGTGGGGGTCGACATGTTAGTGGTCCTTGGAATGAAGAAGTGGGATGGGATCCAGAGCAGGCAAAGAGGAGCTAGCTGCAGTCAGAAGAGGGACCACTCTTTCATTGTAATGGGGAAAAGGAAGAGGAGATTTTAAAAAAGACACAAGGGGGAGTGCCGATTTGGTGGTGCAAAGGTGAGAGTGCTCCATGTGACGGTTCCTATTTTCTCTGAGAAGGATGCAAGGTCATACATTGAGAGTAAGGGGTTGAACAGGGTCAGAGGATGGAGTAGACTGGAGACCATAAAGCCAAGTGAGGGAGATTCCCTCCAGACACTCTAAAGTCTGTGCTTCCACCTCTGTTCTTCTTTAAAACCACATATCATGGGTACCTATGACACTGATTTTCACAGCCAGTTTTTTTAAGTGCAAGAATTTTGCAATATGATATAAATTTGATGAATCATTGAATAGTTCTTTGTGTTCTGTTTCTCATGCTCCATCACTAACCCAGCCAAGATTTTCATTAAAAAAAAATTTCCAGACGTTGTTTATCAATCCAGGAGCTTGGCAAGAAAGGTCCACCTCTGTTCACACATGGGACAGACAAGACCAGTTTCTGACTGCCAGTAACTTTTACAAAAGGTGGGTATGAAGCTTCTCTCTCAAATTCTAATAATAAGAAGAACAATAATGTGTCAGATTTTATGTTCCAAGGACACATATTTGTACTCACATGTATTTATCCCATTTCATCCCTCCCAATGGGATGTGGGGTCTAGTTTCCCCCACTCAAATCTGGGCAGGGACTGTGATTGCCTGACCAATGGAGTATGGCAGAAGCTTGATGTTCCTGCTGGTTCTCTCTCTCTCTTTCTCTCTCTGGGTGTCAGGATGCTCACCTTTGGAACCAAGACACTATTATGTGAGGAAGCCCAAGCCACATGGAGAGACCCACACGGAGGAACAAGGCCTTTGCCAACAGGCAGCACCAATTAGCTAACTACACAAATGAGCCACCTTGAAGGTGACTCCTCCAGCCCCACTCTAGCCTTCGATGACTGCAATCCTGGCTGACATTTCACTGAACCTTCCTCAGAAAGCTCAGGCCAGAGCCACCCAGCCAAGGTGCCTGGGATTCCTGATCCACAAGAAACCATTTGTGGTAATAGTTATATTTTGTTGTTCTAAGCCCCTATGTTTTGGGGTAAGTCACTAGGATTTGTTTTGTAGCATCAGATAACTGAAATGAATGATAATAACAAATTTAACAAATACTATTTAAACATCTACCTCTGCCTGGGTTCTCAGTGCCTAGCACTGAATCTAGGGGAACTAGTTTGAAGTAGTAATCCTGAAATCACTAAGCTACGGTGCCTTACACACATCACATGTAATCCTCACAAAAATCTTATGCAGTAGGTGCTGAGATTAGACCTATTTTAACAGATGAGGAAACTGAGGTCCAGAAGTCACACAGCTGGTAAGTGGCTGGCCTGGCACAAGAACGGATGCATTGCTATCTCTGAGTCATATCTAAGATGATCTTCAGGATCTAAAGATATCCTTTCCCATTCCTCAGACTTCTTACCACAATCTGTCCCAGCTCAGGATACATACAGGTGAAGGATGGCATGTCACCAACTAAGGGGGATTATCCTATGAGCTTCTGGATAACTTGCCACCTTTGCCCTTGCCCTGTCAACTAACTGCCCCACTGCCAGTCCACCTCAATGTTGCTGTGCCTTTGAGGGTGTTGTCTGTGTCTGAATTAAGAAGGTAGACTGTGGGAAGAAGAAGACAGATCCTATAGGGAGCATCATGCATTAGGAAACAGAACACAGCTCTCAGGGTCCCCCATTGGTGATTTGTGCTTTAGCTGATGTAAGCTGAGCCACTCAGAGCACCCACGGCTTCCACCCACCCATGTGCTAAACCCCACCACCCTTTCCAAAATTGTTCCACAGCCCCATGCCCTTAGGAGCCTAGCATTCCAAGCTTGAGGCTCTTTGGGGCCTCCACTTTCTTCCCAGGAGGGGTTTTCCAATACATGCCCAATATGCACGAGTTGGTACATCCTTCCTTCCATCCAACCCATCTATGCAGTATGTTGAAGACACTTTCTGAAGCCTGTGGAGATCAACCTTCTCTGTTTCCCAGCACTAATTCACTTTTCAGCACTCTTCCTACATTTGTTCATTTTCCATGGGAATTTTGGAGAGAGAAAGTTTGACTTATGGGCTTGCCATCTTGAACCATGAATTGTAGATTTTTAATGGTAAAAGTATCTCCTCTGATGAGTAAGTTAATTTGGGATGGAGACCAGGGTTTTGGGCAGCCTGGCACAGAGAAGAGAAGCTGGGAGCGGCCCTGCCCAGGGCCTTTCTGACCTCACACCAATTTTCCACTTGGCTGCAAAGTAGCAGCTCTCCCAAGAGAACATGAGGACCTGGGGGCAAAGACTTGGGGTGTGGCCATGGTTGGAAACTCTAGCTCTCTAGATGGTTTTGCCTTTCACTGTGGTTAGAAAGGATACATAAATAAAGAGTACTAAGTATTCTATGTCTTGAAGATGCAATTTTCCCGCCCACAGCTAAGGGCTACTAGCCAACAGCAGTTCCCTGAAACCAAGGAAAAGATGGCCTGTGGGAACATGAGTCAGTGGCCTTGGCCTTGGGGAGGGCTCCAGTTAGGATCACTCAGCCTGTTCTTCCTCCCACCTCAATCTACTGGAACCTGCGTGTCAGGAAACCCACGATGATACAGTATTTATGGAAGAGCACATAGGTCTCTAAGGAACTACAGCGACATTCTGGGAGTCATGGTCTGCTCTGGGAAGTTTCAATGTGAATGAGACCAGTCTCAGGCTCAATCCCTACACCAGCCAGTTCACTCTTCCCTGATCTGTGACCGAAGGCTGTACTGTATCCCCACCCCAACGGCCATGTGCTACTGGCCTAATCATCTGTTGCCTCCCCCAGCCCATGGTCTTCTCAACCATGCAAGGAGACCCCATCACCACTGGGGCCAGCTCAAAGAGGCAGAGTAGGTCTGGCCTCCATAGCCCTCTGGCTTAAAGAGGAGTAGGATCACCGGAGGTCTTGCTAATGACCATTTTGGACAAATGACTTGTTTGTAGGCCTTGAAGCTGAGCCCATACTCTGGCCCTTCTCTCAGAACTAGGAATTCCAGAGCCTGTCCAAGGAGTCCTAGAGGCCTCTACTGGGGACCATCCCCTACAAGTCAGGCTTCTCCCAGGTCCACTTGGATTGGTGGGCTGCACCTGGGACCTGCTCTGGCCTTGCCTGTGGCCCCAACCCAGCCCTGTCCTCTTACACTCAGCTCCCAATCTGAGATGAACTTCTCAACCAGTATCTCCACTGTTGCTCCCTCAGCTAATAGCATCCTTGGCTGTCCACACTCAGCACTAACTTGACATTGTGCAGCTGCCTGACCTTCTGGACTAGACCTTCCCTGGTTTTTATAAATCAAAGAGCATCTTTCGGTAAAGGGATGATGGTGAACATTTATAAATGTCCCACAGACACAGGCCATCAATAGCAATGACGGCAGTGGGAGGGCAGCCCAGCTCCTGCGGGTTTCCACCAAACAGGAAAACAGGCTCAGGATTGTCAGATGCTCACAGTATTTCAAGAGCCATGAGAAATCTGGAATTTTCTGTGAAGTCTCCTGCTTTTTAGTTGTTAATTCATTAATATTTTAAAACATGGTGAGAGGCCCAGGCGTGGTGGCTCACACCTGTAATCCCAACACTTTGGGAGGCCGAGGCCAGTGGATTACCTGAGGCCAGGAGTTCAAGACCAGCCTGACCAACATGATGGAACCCTGTCTCTAGTAAAAATACAAAAAAATTAGCTGAGCATGGTGGTGCACACCTGTAATCCTAGCTACTCAGGAGGCTGAGGCAGGAGAATCACTTGAATCCAGGAGGCCGAGGTTGCAGTGCGCCGAGATCGCACCATTGCACTGCAGCCTGGGCGACAGAGCGAGACTCAAAAAACAAAACAAAACAAAACACGGTGAGAGCCAACCAAAACATATCTGCGAACCTAACCCAGGACCACCATTTGTGACCTCTACTAGGAGTACAGCCATTTGTTTAGTAATAATAATGAAAGGGATGATGTTAATAATAAAAGGTATTGAGTGTTCACCATGGGCCAGACATTATTCTAAGTGTCTTATATGGGTATCTGTTTTCAACCTCACTACAATATTATGAGGTCTATAGAAACTATTATCATCATATTTTGTTCCAAAAAAATAGTGACAAGTAACCTGAAAAAGGCTAAGGAATGTGTCCAAATTCAGACACCTAAAAAATGTCAGGACTGGACCCAGCCCCAGCAGCGCATGGGGCCATGACCAAAGCACCATGCCTCATTCCTCACAAGCACAGGAAGGAATGGGGAGGGGGTTTGTTTTAAGGGCTAGGATATATTTTTTTCAAAAACACTCCTATAAAATACACAAAAATGCAAACTGGTCCCTCTAGACAGGTAGGACTCTAAGTAACTTCTTTCTTTTCTTTTGTTTCCAAATAT
Organism: Homo sapiens; assembly: GCF_000001405.40. Lineage (NCBI taxonomy): Eukaryota > Metazoa > Chordata > Mammalia > Primates > Hominidae > Homo > Homo sapiens. Next base: position 237,139,799 of record NC_000002.12, on the reverse strand, counting down.
TCCTTTATATTTTTTAAACAAATGTGGTAGGATTATTAGTAAAGGCCTGCATAAGCCCTGGTCTGTCTCTGTGTCCCCCCACCCTGGGAGGAAGGTCACCCTCTCAGCTGAGTTCCCCAACTCCTTGGTGATACAACCTTGCAGCGAGGAACAAGCACTGTGGGTCTTAGTCCCAGTGACTGAGTGTGTGCACGTGCATGTGCCTTTGTGTGTGTGTGTGCATGTGCGTGTGTGTGCATATGTGAGCATGTGTGTGCATATGCGTGCATGTGTGTGCGTGTGCATGTGCATGCATATGTGCATGTGTGTGCGTATGTGTGCATGTGTGTGGGATCATGTGTGCGTCGGTGCATGTTTGTGTGTGCATACGTGTGTGTGTGCATGTTTGCACGTGTGCATGTGTTCATATATGTGCATGTGTGCATGTGTGCATATGGGTTGCATGTGTGCATAGGTGTACGTGTGTGTGCATGTGTGCATGTGCACGTGCATGTGTGTGTGTGTGCATGTGCACGTGCATGTGTGTGTATGTGCATGTGCACGTGCATGTGTATTGGGTGTGCATGGGGGCTGGATATGCAGATGTGTATTTTGGAAAGGTGTTCCAGATAATTCTGCTAGCCAGATGGCATTTTGGCTGAGAACAATTATTTTAAAAGTAAATATTAAATCTAATCTTTAATACCCCTAAGACATCTATTCTTACAAGAAATGAAAAACCTTATTTTATTCACTCTGTTATCAAAGTAGTTTGGGCTCCTTCAAGAAGATTTACAAGATACAAAATGTAGAAGGAAAAGAAAAATACACAAAACACCATAACATAACTACTATTTATACTTTAGTTCTTTCCCCCTTGGTCTTTTATGTATTCATAAATAACTGTGTGTGTGTGTGTGTGTGTGTGTGTGTGTGTGTTGTCCAAATGTACAACTAACCTAGTATCTTCCTTTTTAAATTTAATATATCATAAGTGCTTTTCCATGTTGCTAATATTATTTATTGGGAAAATTGTTTAATGACTCTATAATATTCTATCAAGTGCATTTGTAATAATTTTTCACCTTTCCTATGATTGACTATTTCAGGGTTTTTCTACTCAAGTTGATTATTATAAAAATGGCAAAATAAATCTTTGCCTATTTTTTCATATTTTTTGTTTAGTTTTCAGAATAGATTCCAAGAGAAGAAATTAATGAGTGAAAGCATATGAACATTTTTAATCTCATAAAACGTGCTGCAAAATGTATTTCCAAAAAAGTTGAAGAGATTTCTTTTCCCTCCAACAATGTATGAAGGTGCCTATTGTATATACCCTCACTAGCTTTGGGCAATCTCACCTAAGCACAGCGGGGAGAAAAGAAAAAACAAGCTGCTATTTTAAAACAATTCCACACAACAAGATGTACGGTGTGATGGTACTATCCATCCACATATTTCAACAGGAAATCTCCTTCCCAAGCCCAAGGTTTATAGTTGTTTAATCAGGTGAACTGAAGCAAATCAAAGAAACAAAAAACCTAAGGTCCACTGATAGTTGAGCCATCCTAAATCCTATGGATTAGGACAGCTTTCCCTCAGCATGACGAATCCTTTCCCTTCCTTAGAGCTGTGTCTGAGGCTGGCACTGAGCCGCAGGCACAGGGGCAGGTGGCCGTCTGCTGGGCTCTCAGGCCACGGCCTGCGGTCGACGGGCAACCCCAGCCTGGGGGCAGCCTGTCACTGGGACCAGGCCCCACTCAGCTCCCATGAGCTGCATGAGATTTGTCAAGTGTACTTTGTACTCTGGACCTAGAGTGGCAGGAACGCAAGAAAGTGGGGAAGAGGGGCAGGAGGGGTGGCACTACTGGACTCTGACTACAGTGGACAGAGGTAAAATGCAGCTTCGGTAAAGGGACTGGAGAGTGTCTCGCCTTTCCCACACAGGCAGAATGTTGAGGGGTCCAAGGCAGAACACACAGTGACAAATGGACCTCAGGGACAAAGGGGAGGGCCGAGTAGCAGTGACGCCCTGGCAGCAGTGAATGCACCTAGTGCCCAGGCCTTGGACTCTAAATAACGATCTCCAGTTAAAGGAACCAGGGCTCCTGGGAGAAATGGCTGACACCAGGGCTGACACTGGGAATGAGCAAGATTAGCCAGGAATATTTTGTGGTGCTAGAGAGTAAGAAAGGGATCCAAAAATGACAGGGCCATGCCAGAACAGGGGCCAACCGGAAGGCTCCCCCAGTGACTGAGCCTGGGATACGCAGAGCAACAAAATGTATAATGATGGCAACACATGACAGTTCCTAGAATCTAGAAAACACCCCTGAGTCCACATGGATACGAAGAATAACTGAATAAATAAACAGGAGGGGAAGTTCAGCTCTAACTTCCAGTAGAATTCCAGTAGAAAGAATGATGGAAATAGAAAAATCATTACTCGGCAAACACCGTAGTACTCATTATTGCAGGCAAAGGTCGTTTGATGGATGCTAAAATTAGTGAGTGAAAGATTGATGAAGAACAGAGTATTTATACAGCCTCTAAGTATCCCCCAACCAGATACTTACTGATTACAAAGGGAAGAACAGAAACTTTACAGTGGAGAAACCTAGCGGACACCACTTGAACCAAATCGAGTTACCATTACTGGTAATAAGACATATTGACCTCACGTACCCACCAAGCACAATGCACTGAGAAGGGCACAGCGTTGCTCCTGGGGTACCCTTGGCAAAAATGCATAATTTCAGCGTCACAAAGAAAATATCCGCAAAATAACAGATGGGCTTTCATCATTGGTGTGAAGATTATAAAAGGCAAAGACTGAGAACTGTCCCAGATTAGAGGACCAGGGAGATCTGACAACTAAACGTGGGCTTCTGGATTGGATCTGGGACCAGCAAAAGGCCACAGGAAGGACACTGATGAAATCGGAATGAGGCCTACAGATTAGTTAACAGTGTTTTATCAGCGTTAATCTCATGTTAATAATTGAACTATTGGTTATCTTGGTATTAACATTTGGGGAAGCTGGCAGAAGAGTATAATACAATTTTTGAACTATTTTTGTAATTGTAAGTCTAAAATTATTTCAAAATAAAAAGCCAAAAAAGAAAACAAAAAGTGATAGAAGCAATTAATTGCTGCCACAACCAAATACTGTGTTTAGCTTTACTTCTTCCCCTCCCTTTTACAAGATACTATTTTTTTCAATAAATTATGTATTAAAGACATTTTAACATCGAAAACCATCAAAGACATCACTCCTCACAAGGCTATGGTCTACAGTAATTGGCTGTTTTCCTTTCTCTCCATGTCTATCTTGAAGAGGCGACAGGTTTTTAAGGCATATTTTGGACGGGCATTTAAGGAAGTCCTGTGCCCTCCCAGGGCCCCGGTGGGCAGCACTATAGTGGTCAGTCGGTTTTTCTGACTGCCAAGATCTTTTACCTGCTTAACGAATAATGTGCTTATTTGTTCCTTCGTTTTTAACTTTGTATAAAAATCACAAATTCCAAATTATCTCCACCTGTAAAAAGAATTAACTATCTCCTTTTTTTTTCAGAACTTTCTTCACTTGTTTTGTTTTGCATCAATCAATTAACGTTCTATCTGTCTATACACATGGTTCTTTTTCTTCCTCAAAAATGTCATTGGAACAAACAATATTGACTGCATAATGGTTCAAAAACACAGAAAAGCACAAAGAAGAAAATTAAAATCCCCTGTACTGTTTCCCCTGGAGACATCCATAGCAATACTTTATTGAAAACGTATTCCCACGTCATTAATCTAAAACGTGACTTTAATGGCTGCATATTGTTCCATTTTACGGATTGACGACTTACTCAAACTTCTATTGCTGAACATTTAAATTGTTAGAAATCTTTTCCTACTACAGATAACATTCTAAAATGACTGTTTCTGGTTTGTAGATATTTTCACATCTCTATTTAGATGGAGTCTTATAGTTGTAATTATAGTATTAATAAATATTTACTTGTTTAGGATATCAACACCCTTCAGAAAGATGGTCTTTTTTGAGTCTTCATTCTTGGTACCTTCACCAAATTAATTACTATTTTAAATCCTTGTCAAATTTATTTGCTATGGCTATGTTATTTAACAATTTACCAAGCACCCTTTATTGAATAGTATTTCTTTTCTCCACTAATTTAAACTATTATTTCTGTCTTGTCCTAAATACATATGTGTACTTGATTTTAGATTTTTCTCTTCATTTTCTCTTGTTTTTTTTTGCATCAGTATCACTATATTTTAATCAGTATACCTTTGATATATTTAGTTCAGTATTTGACAATGCCAATATCCCCTCATTATAATTTGATAAAATATCACTTTCTTGACTATTTTTATCTTTTCTTTCCTAAAGATAAATACTGACATGATTTTGTAGTTTCAATTTTTTTTCACTGGGAATCTGCTTTTGTTAATCACTTTGAGAAAATTGATATGTTAACAATACTTTGTCCTTCCTCAGGTCATGTGGGTTGGTCCCTTCCTTAAAAACTAACAAAATGGAGTTTATTTTAAAATCTCGGGAGTAAACTTAGCTTGAAGAGACTACATTTTTCTCGGGGTAAACTTAGCTTGGAGGGACTACATTTTTCTCGGGGTAAACTTAGCTTGGAGGGACTACATTTTAGTGGTGAGCCTTAGAACTAAAAGTCATCTAAAGTCAACAGGATTAACTAGAGAAAGGTCAAACTGAGCTAATTATATAAATCTTTGACATGCTGTCTTGATTAAAAAAGAACTTAAGCTAGCATTTATAGGCACACTTAGGAAAGTTAGTCTAGAATCTCACAAGAGTGTGCAATCAAGACATTTTCAGAGATTTGTCTGTGAGTTCCTACAGCTGAATTAGGAGCTGGTCAATTAGTTCTCCCAGCTGAAGGTCAGCTTCAGTGTCATGAACAATTAAGCCAGGGCTGTTGGATCACTTGAGTAAAATATGAAGTACAGACAATTTGAGAATGAGCTAATAAGGGAGAAGCTCCAACTGGCTATGGGTTTTATCATAAGATGAAGCAATGAGCAAAAGTCTAGATGTCAAGTTGGATTTTAATTGCATTTAGTCCCTAATCTCTGAATTTACTGTTTGGCATATACTTAAAACTACAGATGATTTCTATCACTGAGTTTCCACTTAATTTTCTTGCTCATTTACACTCTCTAGGGGTGCTGCAGATTACTGTGGTTCAGTTAATGGGGACAAATTTCTGTTCAACTGCAGCCCCAGGCCTGAGGCAACCTCAGGCTACAATAACCACCTGTAGAGAAAGGTGGGGAGGGTGCCTCAAGTGGAGCACAGCAAATCTGTTGTGTCAGCTGCGGCTGAAGTCGGCCCCAACCAGGTCAGCTGGCAATGGGAGATAAAGGCTCATCACCCTAGCTGGCTACAGAAGTCCAGGGCCAATGGCAACCAGAGAGGAAACTGCTCTGGCACAAGACTTCCAAGTCCTTGCTCCTGCTGACTAATTGCAGTTCCCACCTTGCACATCAAATTGCATTAAATATACCAAAAAGAGAGGTCAAGAATTTTTGAAGCTGCTTATTCTTTTACCTGAGATGAATTTCCCTTTGTAAGGCTAAAAGAAGCATTGAAAACTCATCAGTTTTGGCAAATGGAACGATGGCAAACAACCCATTCGGGAAATTTGAACCTGTGTGAAACAGAGCTCTTTCAAGAAACAAAAGAAAACTTACAGAAAAGAAATCAAGGTTAAGAAATTTGAACTGTATATTCTAAAAGAGATTTGAGGAGATAATATTCTTTCTTCATGACTGTTGCACTGATGCAATCTGAAAAAAAAAGAGAATTCTTAAAGTATTACATACCCAACTAAACTACCAATAAAGGAGGAAGGCAAAATAAAGACCTGTTAACAGTCAAAAAATCAGAATATTGTCTTCTATATGTAAATCATGAGGAGAGGAAAATGTGATTAGCAAAAATTCCTGCAAAAAAAAAAAAAAAAGAGGAAGCTAGGGAAAAGGAAGATATCAAATTCAAGAATCAATGGAGATAAATCAAAAATGCAATGAAAAGAAACTCCAGCATATAAGCATTAAGATGAACGACATATGAAGAGTAAAAAAACAACCCACAGGATGGGAAAGGATATTTGCATTCCATATATCTGACAAAAAAAATGATCAAGAACTTATGTAGAGCTCTGAAGAATCAATAATAATAAAATGCTAGAAACCAATCCAAAGGTAAAATGGGCAAGAGATTTTACAAAAGAGAGTGTCCAATGGCAATAAACATTTGAAAAGATGCTCCAATTTATTAGCTGTTAGAGTGGTGCGAATGAAAATCATTGTGATGTTACACTGTACATCCCTCAGAATGAATAAAATTTAAAAAACAAAATAGACAATACTAAATGTTGACAAGGATGTAGACCAAGTGTAACTTTCATCCACTGCTCATGAGAATGTAGATTGGTAAACCCACTTTGGAAAACTTCCATAGTGGGATGGCAACCCTTAGATCAAGGATTTGGAATCCCAGATCTGGCCTCTTCCTGCTGTTTAACAGAAATGTATTCTGGTGCTCTGTGCCTTGGGAACAGCTCTGTGAGAAGTTTGGCTTAGTGTCAGTCGGGTTCTTGGGAGGAAAAAGATGGCACACACAGGCTCTGCCTCCCTGGCAGCCCCATATGGGCCAAGCCTACAGCTGAAATCCCATTCCATGTCCTTGGCCTTTGTCCTTCTCGCCACCACTCAGGGAATTTGCGTTTCCTGTAGAGTTGCAACGTCACTCTCTACTGGACTGGAGGTTCTGCTTCCACTAGAGGGCAGTGTAAGAGTTCCACCCAAGTTGAGACTCCCGTCATTTTGGGTTCCTCATGCCAGCCAACCAACAGACAAAGAAAGGAACTGCCCTAGTGATATTTTGAGCCAGATAATTCTTTGTGGCAGGGTCTGTCCTGCACACTCAGCAGCATCCCTGGCCTCTACCCTCTAGATACCAGTAGCACCCTCCACCTCCAACTGGGACAACCTAAAATGTCTCCAAAAATTGCTAAATGTCCCTTGGAGGACAAAATTGCTTCTAGTTGAGAACCACTGATTTAAAGACATTGTCCCCAATGGTGGACAGATCACAAGGCTTTGGACAAATAAACTCTAGTTATGATATTGCAGAGTTTCGTTGGATCTGTTCTATAATAAGGGGCTGAGCAACAGTGAGGGCAGGCAAAATGAGGATTTCAGATCGACCTTCCCATAACTGCTTCCATAGCCCAAGGCTATTTCACCAGATAAGCTTTGGGTCATGCTTTAGTGCTAAAGGTAGTTTTTCCTGTAAAATTTATGAAAAAGATAAAGCTATATATTTTCTTAATACTTTAAATATATTTGAAACCACTTGGTATTAGGGAAAGAGAATGTACTAGAATCTGACAGGGGGAGTTTAGAATCCTGGCTGCACTGTTCCCCAGCTGTGTGAGGTCGAGTTCCTGACTTCTAGGGGTGGGGACAGGGGTGGAGGCAGCTTCCTCCGCCTGTAAAAGAATACCTAAGCAGTGGGCTTCTTGGAGGACTCAATGACAGAACACTTGGAAGCATTCAGTAATGCCTTCACTAAACACCTTTTCCTAGTTTAGGGTGTAGGGTTTCTTCTTGCCCTCTGTTCTTCATTTTGTGTGTCCATCTCTCTGCCTTACCATGGTAGATGAGACACATAACCTCCCAGGCAATGAAATCATTAGTCCTCCTGACCAAGGCAGAAATGACAGCTTCACCCAACTGGAAAATAGAACTTGAGACTTTTATAAACATCTCCGGAATTAACAAGGAATAACCCCTGACAAACAAGTAGGTGTGGTCCCCTGAAAAAAAAGACGGTTTTGTGGAGTCTCACAACCCACTCGGACCAGCCTGGCAGAGGAGGCAGGGCTGAGGGTGGGGAGGGGAGCAGGGCCAAGGTGACCACTGATTCTGTAGAACTGATGGAAATTGGGAGCCGGGTGAAACAGTCTTGTTTCAAAGCCTCTCCCTGAGAAAGCAGTTTGGGAGAAGGTAGAGGAAACAGAAGGAAGCATGTGTGTGTGCATACACACATGTACACATGCACACAGACATACACACACACAGACTCTCACAAAGACACACACATGCTAACACATCTGTTCATACTCTCACACGTGCACACAGGCACCCATACTCACACTCATGTACGTAGGCTCTTACACAAAAATTCTCACTGATTTTCACGCACACTTGCTCACGCAGACCCTTTGACACCCATATACATGCATACATATCTGCACACATAAATGCACATATGCACACACACACTCATATGTACACATACACCCATCACTCTCACAAACTTTCATGCACTCATATCACACAAGCATGTTCACTCACACTCACACACATCACACACATTTGCATGCACTCACATACTTGTGCACACATCACACACAGACATGCATTCACACACATCACATGCACTCAGAATCATACACTCACAGACTCACACTCGTGCATTCGCTCACACATCACATGCACACTTAGACTCATGCACTCACACACACAAACATCACATGCACAGACTTACAAGCACACACTGACATTCGCACATCATATGCACAGACTCATGCACTCACACACTTGCATATCACATGCACATGCAAAGACTCACATTCACTCACTTGTTCACATATCACATGCACACTCAAACACACATGCACACAATTACACTCACATCATATGCACACTCAGACTCACATGCACTCACACTGGCCCACACACATCACATGCACACTCAGACTCGTGTCTTCACACACTTGCTTACACTTACAAACATCACATGCACACTCAGGAACTCACACAAACACATCACATGCACACAGACTCACATGCACTCACAAACTAGCTTACACACAAACATTGCATGCACACTCAGACTCACAGGCACTCACTGACACTTGCACATCACATGCACACTCAGACTCACATGGGCTCCCACACACTTGCACATCACAGGCACATGCAGACTCACGTGCACACACACTCATTCACACAAATCACAGGCACACACGTGCTCACACAATTACACTCACATATCACATGCACACTCACAGACTCATGCATTCACAATCACTGACACATCACATGCACATTCACTCATGCACTCATACACTTGCTTACATTCACAAACCACTCACGTTCACGAACATGCACTCAGAAACTTGCTTACACTTACAAACATCACACTCAGACTCACATGCACTCATTTAAACTCACACAACACATGCACACTCAGACGTACATGCAGTCACTTACATACACATCACATATACACGAACACTCATGCATGCACACACTTGCTCACACACACACTGAAACATTTGCTTACATCAAACACACTGAGACTCACATGCACTTGCTCACACACATCACATGCACACTGACTCATGTACTCAAACGTGCTTACACTCACATCACCTGCAGACTCGTGCACTCATGCTCACTTACACACATGCCACACACACAATTCACACTTGCTCACACATATCACATGCAGTCACAGACTCATGTGCAGTCACAGAATTACTCATGCACATTACATGCACAGACTCACATGCACTCACACACTCACTAAAACACATCACACGCAGGCATGCACTCACACACACATCACATGCACATACAGACTCATGCACTCACACACACACTGCATGCACAGACACATGCACTCACTGTCGCTTACACTCACACACCACAGACTCATGCACTCACAGACACATCACATGCACACCCACATGCACTCACACTCGCTTACATATATCACATGCACACACACACACACTCAGATGCACATGCACTCAGTTATACACACACATCACATGCACACTGACATGCACTCACCCACTCATACACATCACACACACTGACTCACATGTGCTCACAAACTTACTTATACATCACACCCACACTCAGACACATGCACTCGCTAGCTCACACACATCACAGACCCACATGTACTCACACACACAGATCACATTGACAGACTCACATGCACTCACATGCTTGCTCACACATATCACATGCACACTCAGATGCACATACTCACTTGTTTACACTCACACACACCCTCAGACTCACATGCACTCACACACACATCACATGCACTCACACACATAGATTACTTGCACACTCAGAAACGCACTCAGACATCACATGCACATTCAGACATGCATGCACTCAGTCACACCCAAACACATCACACACACTCAGACTCATGCACTCACACTCGCTTACCCTCACATCACATGCACACTCAGACACATGCACTGAGAAACTTGCTTACACTCACATCACACACACTCGGACTCACATGCACTCACACTTGCACATCACATGCAGACTCATGCGCTTACACACATCACACAGACTCGCACTCACACTCGGTCACATCACACAGACACATGCACTCAAAAACTTGCTTACACACATCATATGCACACTCAGACTCGTACTCATGCTTGCTTACACGTACAAGCCACATGCATTCACACATGCTCTCGCTCACACATCACACAGACACATGCACTCACAAATTTGCTTACACTCACAAAAATCACACACACAGACTCCCATGCACTCACATGCATCACATGCACACTCAGACACATGCACTCACACACTCATCACATGCACAGACACATGCACTCATGCTCACACATCACCTGCACAGTCACATACTCATGCACTCACACACATGCATCACACACATGCATTCACAAACTTCCTCACACACCACATGCACACTCAGACTCACATGCACTCACATTCGCTTACACACAATCACACCCACTCAGATTCACATATACTCACACATTTGTTCACACATGCCATGCACACTCACATGCACTCACACTTATCACACACAGCTCACATATATTCACACTCACCTCACACGCACCCTCACGCTCACTCTCACAAATATCACACACACGCACTCACACACTTGCTCAGAGACTCACATGCACTCAAAAATTTGCTTACACTCACAAATGTCACACACTCATGCACTCACACTCATCACACACGTGCTCACAAACTTGCTTACACCCACACATACATACACTCACACATTTGTTCACACAAATCACACAGACTCATGCACTCATACTTGCTCACACACATCACACTCAGACTCACATGCACTCACACACACACATCACACGCACACTCACAGACTCACATGCACTCACTCGCTTACAGCCTCCTCAGCTTTCATCCCTGAGGACGCCACCCCTGCTGCCCTGTGACTCAGAGGCTCACAAGGAAGAGGCACCACATGACGGATCTGGCAAGGTCCCTCCCCCTCCCGCCACCCCATGCTGAATGAATCACAGCCTCCTGTTTATTTAACCACTTCAAGAAGCTGGGTTTCTTCCAGGGGCTTTCTTAGGCAGCAGGGGGCATGCAGGGGAAAGGGGTGGAAAGAAAGCAGGGCCCTCTCTACTAGTGATGTAGAGAGGGGAATGCAGGGAGGGCGTGCAAGGAGCGTCCGTGGGGAGCTGGTGTCCCCATGTTGTGCGTGGGCCTTGGGCATACAGGGCCCATGTCGCAGCCCTCAGGGTCCCGATGGGGCCTCCTACATCCAGGACTGGAGAGGGGCTGCCACTTACACAGGAGTGTGAAGCTGCACTAGACTAGGGTCCTGGCCCCAAAGAAAACAAGAAGCTGGTTCAAGCCTGGTGCCAACACAAACCCTTTATCTGCCCTAAAAGTGAAGCTGAGGCCACCAGGCTTTCAGGTGGGCTTCAGCAGCCCCCAATGCTGATTCACACCTGCACCAGGCCTGCTGAGGGGGCTGCTGTCCCAGAGAAGGTGCGGCTTCGGGTTGTGCTTTAGTGCACAGACAGCAAGGGTACAACAGGAAGAAAAGACGCTGTAGGGAGAGAAAGAAGACAGGGGAGGGAAAGAAGATTTGATCCATGATTTCTGCCATGCAGTCAGTGCTTCCATACACAGATGTGTGCACACGTATATGTACGTAGGTCTTGATTTATTTGAGTATGAGCACATTTAGAATTTGGATGACACCAGAGTGGCTCAAGGCTTGCACTCCAAACTTGAAAGAAACAAATCTTTTTCTGTGCTAGAAAAATTTAGCCAATTAAACAAAAACACCAGTTCTATCTTTTTTTCTTGTAATGCTGAAGAAATCCATTTTGAGACTTGGGCATTTTTAATTTTCAATTTTCCCAAGTGCAGCAAATTTCTTTTCAGGGATTGACATTAAGGATATGTGGAGTGTCAAAATTCACATACGCAATGGTTCTTCAATTCTATTATGAAGTTAGAAAACAGATGAAGTACTTAGTGCCCCTCCCAATATTTGTCTAGACCAAACTAGACACAAAAAATGACAACAAAATAATTCAATTAACCAATACTTTTGAACAATGGAAAAACCTTCAGTTATTTGTGTTTTTAATTACAGGATGGATTTGTAAATGCCAAAGGTTCTGAATGTATTTTGAAGTTAATTCAATGATTAGTTTCTCCAATAAAACTTTTGCTCCCCTGGCAGACAGGAGCACAAGGAGAAAGAGGACCCTCGCCTTAGGGGTGACAAATGCTGGCATCTACGCACAGCCATTTGCTCTCATTGTCCCTGAGTTCTGGTTTCTCTTACCAATGTTTGCACATCCGAGTTACAGAGAGAAAGAAAGGAAAGCGCTGTAGCAGGAGCCGGGCTGTGATTTAGGCAGATCATATTCAGGTTGGTGTTAGCCAAATTCCATAACACGCAGACCCCTGGAGATAGGAAAAGGAGCACAGATTCCCTGAACAACTGATTCAACACACCAGCTCTGTTTGTAAAGCATTTCTATGCCCATAAACAGACCTGTGGATCTAGCATCCCAGCACTTTTACTTAGATGGAAAAAGTCTATGCTCTCATTCCAAGCAGGCACCTCCCTTCTTTCCTGTCCTCTGAGAAGACACACAGACAAGGGTGCTGGGGTTACAGCACAGGAGAGGTCGGAGGGTGCGTGGCTGGCACGTAACCGTCAGTGACTCTGAAAGGATATCTCCTGTCCGAGCCTTCAGCCTTGCCAATGTGCATGGGGCAAGCCCAGGGACTCTGCCAGCCCCTGGTGAGGGTCTGTGGAGACAGGGCCAAGAAACGGCTAGAACAGCCTCTCAGCCTGGCTGCTGAGCCTTGGTACGAGCAAATGTAAGGGGCGTGTGGCTGGTCCTGTCAGGTCAGCAGCCAGGGGACTCCAGGAGCCTTCCACAGCCAGGGCAAGCAGCTGCCCAAAGCAGAAGACACAGAACAGCCTGCAAGTCTCCTCAGCAGGCAGAAAAGTTGCTCATGGGCCTCTTAGCAAAAGAGAAGATGCTCACCAAATGTGCTGTTTTGGCTGAAGATATGAAAGCAAACCCAGTGTACCTTTGGAGGGAGAATATAGCTTCATGTAAATAGCCAGTAGCTTTCTAAATGTGCTCTCCAGAGCTCTGGGTTTCCTGAAAGTCCAGGAACGAGGCAGGAGCTTGGAGGAAATGTTCTTTGGTTTTCTATGCATGCATTGGTCTCTGAAGGGGCAGAGCAGCTCTGTGGCGCTGGACCCAAGACCTTTGGACCGTGGGTGGGGAGCGCCTGAAAAACAATAGCACGGAGCTGGGCAGAGCTCCCCTGGCCCAGCCGCTGTCTCAGGTTGAACATCTGAGACCTTGTGAAATGTTTGTAGGTAGCCAGATGGCCTTTGAAAGGATCTGGAGAAAAGGTCCCTTACATCAGTGTAAGGTAAACTCTGGGATGTATTTTTCTACCATTATCCCTGAACTCTCAACAAAATTGTATTAAAATATGTAGACTGGTTTCTGCTGTACTATGTTGGATTTGGGAAACAGGAGATGAGGTAGATCAATGTATCTGCCAAGGCCAGGGTGACGGCAGGACCAATGTCACTGAGAGAGCACAGCTTCACAGAGGAGCATGGTTTCATGTCAGGACAGCAGGGTAGCAGGTGATGCTCCAGACACCACTGGGAGACCTCTGTCAGGGGTGCTGTGCTTACAGCAGGCTGGCTTAGTTAGAGCAGTTCAAGGTAGCTCTGGCGGCAAGAGTGATCTGTTATATACAAAATGCGTAGAGATGGAAGGGCAATTAAGATTAAGATGATGACAGGCAAGACAGTTCAGATAGTGATTCTTTTGCTTTAAAGACATTGAAAACAATGGGTTTCCTTTCTAGATATCTTTCTTCCTACTCTAAGTTAAACACCAAAGAACAAATTCAACTGGAGAAGTGCGCCATCAAAGCATGCCTGTCTCTTTTCAGACGTCTGGAACTGGTTGGGGAATCAGGGCTCTGGGGGAGTATGGATGGAAAATCATGCGAGGAGTCATCGGGTGTCTGAGGCTGTTTTTCTAAAACCATAAAGACTTGGGTTCCCAAAGATGGTTTTGGAAGTTGAAGTATAAACCAGCCAAGGCTGTTAGAAGCCATGCTTCAGAGACTAGAAGACACTGTAATTTTTCTGCATCATTTTATAAACACATGCACATTGATTTTTAGGTCTGTCATACACACAGTGGGAGTCAGAGGACCTGATGTCCCCACACCAGAAAGCCAACTTTTCCCACTCTGAATGTCCCCGCATTCTCAGGAACAAACCTGCAGCAATGACCCCGAATGGTTTATCTCAGAGGTTTATTTTGGAACCTGAAGACCAGAAACTAGTTCAGTCCCTGCTCATCTTTCTCGCCCCGAAACCCTCTCCAGAGGAAGAAGAGCCCCCACTCATGTCATCCCCGCACACTGAGGGAGGCTGCGTTGGGCCCATCCCTCCAAGATCCACTCCACCCGTGTGGACTCCTCCAGGAATATTCTTCACAAGAGCAGTAGCTGCTCCTGGGAGTGCATTTTCTCTCAGATGTACCAGTGAGGGTCACCTGCATGAGTGGAAGCAAGACCATGAGATGCAGAGGAGGCAACCAAAGGGCTGCCCTTTTTCTGCACTGGCTCCCTGGGCAGCCTGTGGTGCAGCCCTGCCCTCAGCGGCAGCTCTGAGACATCGGACATTGCCTCTGTCACTTTACAGAGTACAGACTGATTATAGTTCAGGACTTCTCCCTTCTCTCCAATGCAAACAACACACAGAAAAAACGAACGGACTTGCTATTAAGTAAGAAGGAGGGGCACAGATGTAGCTCCCAGAATCAAAGAAAGGGATCTGCATGAGCTTCCAGTGCTGCTGTAACAGCTACTACAAATGCAGTAGCTTGACAATATCACATTTATTTGCTTAAAGTTCTAAAGGGCAGAATTCAAAAATGAGTCTCACTGGGCTAAAGTCAAGGTGTCAGCAGGGACATTTCCTTCTGGAGGCTTCAGCGGAGAATCAGCTTCTTTATCTAGCATGGTTTCGAGAGGATGCCTGCATTCCTTGGCCCATGGCCCCTTTTCTGTCTTCAAAGTGCATTGCTCTGACCTCTACTCCGCTCCCATCATCACGTGGCATTCTCATTTCTCTCTATCTCCTCCTGCCACCTCTCATAAAGAACTCTGTGATTATGCAGATGACCCATGTGGATAGCCCAGGGTCTTCCTTTTTTTAAGACCCTATCCTAGTCCATTTGTGCTGCTGTAACAAAATGCCACAAACTAGGTAATTTATAAATAATAGAAATGTATTTCTCACAGTTTTGAAGACTGGGAAGTCCAAGATCAAGGTGCTGGCAGATTCAGTGTCTGGTAAGAACTTCCTCTTTGCTTCTAAGATGGCATCTTGCTTCTGTATTCTCACTTGGCAGATGGTGGAAGGGAAAGAGGGACGAACACTGTGTCCTCAAGTGGCAGAAGAGATGGAAAGGCACTTTTGTAAGGGCACAGACCCATTCATGAGGGGCTCTGCTCCATGACTTAATCACCTCCTAAAGACCCCATCTGTTAATGTTGCCACATTGGTGATTAAGCTTCAACATATGACTGTTGAGGGGGCACATTCAGGCCATGGCAGATCCTTAACTTAATCACATCTGTAAAGTCTGTTTTGCCATGTAAGGTCTCATAGTTATAGGTTCCAGGATTAGGATGGGGACATCTTGGTGGGCCACTGTTCAGTTAACCATAGGTTCCAAGGTCAGAGATTTCAGGGACTGGACTCAGACACAGATCTCAGAGTCCCTGTTGGCAGGGGTCCCTCTCTTTGTCCCCAGTTTGCTGTTTCTCTGTGCGCGTTCATGATTTACACAGTTCTTGTACCCATTTCAGATTCTCCTGGTCTCATCTGTCCTTGCCGCCAAGATGGATTATCTGCAGGAACTTGGACCAACTTCACGGAACCTTCCTTATGTTCTGTTCATACTGCCCAGACCTGCCCTGGCTTCCCTGTTGCTCCTGAGGCAGAAGAGGCCTTTGGACTTACTCGGCCCCACATCTGTACAGTCCAGAGATGCTGGGGGAATTAACACCACAAAAGGTTGACTTTAGATCAATGTGAGACAAGTATTTCAACTATGATTGTGTATTTGTCAGTGCCTCTTTGTAATTCTGTGAGTTTTTTCCTTCATTTATTTGATAACATACTGTATAATAATGCACATTTTAAATTCTCATGTCTTCCTGGTTAACATTTTTATTTAGTCCTAATGTCGTGGGCTTCTTTGCTGGGGATTATGGTGTCAGCATCCTTTTAGGGATCATTTTTCTGCCTACCACAACTATGATTAACTTTTTGCCAACAATTTTGAGAATATAGGTGAAGTGTGTATTTTCTTGGGAAAAATCTGGTTGCTTATTTTAATTGGTAATACAGTAACACTTCCTTTTTGTTGATTCTTGATCTGGGATGTAAACATTTCTTCTTTCAGTGTTCAAATTTTCTTGTCATTTCATGTTATGTGTTTCTGTTGTAAAGTGTATATATATTTGAATTTTGTTTTATCATCCAATATGAGAGTCTGTTTTGTGAGTTTAGTTTCTTTATATTTATTGAGCGGCCATTAGCTTTGATTACTTGATACTTCCTTAAGTTGTGATTTCTAATGGCCATGTTTCTTTTTCCACATTTTTTGTTTCCTTCTTTTTTCCTTTTACTCCCTTAATGGTTTCAGAGTCACACACATTCTCTTGTCTACTGTATTATGTTCAGTATATTTGGCTCCTCTCTCTGCAGAGCTTCTGCTTCAGGAGGATTAGACTTACTGGCTCTATTGAGCCAGCCATAGCTGACTTTCTCTGGCTGATGAAACATATGTGAAAGTGACGGTGTCACTTCCAAAGAGAAGCAACAAGAGCCAGCACGTGGCTCCCCAGGTCTCTTCTCCCTCTGCTGAGTGGCACAGAGAGGCTGCTGGGTGGCCGGCATCCTAGAGTGATGCTGACAGAGAAGACGGCCTCTGCTGACCCCCAGTGGACAGGCAGCAGAAGCGTAAAAGAAACATTTGCTAGTAGTGTAAAGCACCAAGATCTGCAGGCCATTTGTTAGCGCAGCGTGGCTTAGCTTATCCTGACTGGTATGGTAGTTCCGATAAGCAAGTAGGAGGATTTTAAATGCCTTTATTTCACAATCATCTTAGATTGCTAGTTTAGACCGCTAAACTTTTAAATATAATTCAAGTGCTCTACAATGACTTTTCTGCTTCTAATAAATGTTTGACTATATTAAAATTGTTTATCAAAAATAAATTTGAAACTGTTCAATAAAAAGAGATTGATAGTTTAGATAAGGGTAGGGTTCTAGATTTACAGTGATTTTCATTCATCCCTGAATCTCAAATACCTTTCCAATAGCTACCACTAATATTAACTGTTATGATTACTTATTGGCTGCTTCCTAAGAACCCATCACTTTGCTAAGAGCTCCACATTGTTTTCTCATTTAATCCTCACAACAACCCAATTTAGCAATTGAGGAAACTATGACTTAGTGGCAGTTAAGGAACATATATATGAGCACAGCTAGTCAATATTAATAGCAGAGCAAGAACTCAAAGTCAGGGCTGCCTGATTTCAAAATTGTGTGCCATGCTGTTGTACCAATAAGCCCCTTCCATGGTACTCCACTGAAGAACAATGTGTGCCAATGCAAAGCAAATCTAGATCACAGTTGTTATTTCTATGATCACTCATCAAATATATACTTGCCCCTGTCTCCCATTATGAGTGGAGTCTACTTCCCTGCCCTGTGGGTTTTTCCCTTGTTCCTGTGCTTACACAGAGCATGGGATGTCAGCAGTCTTGTGAGGGGAGGATTGGCACAGGGCTGTGAGGTTTAGCTTGCCCTCCAGTGCATGGCTGATCCACTGGGAGAAGAATGTGGCCAGACAGCTGTGGAGCAAAACTGAACCCAGAATAGAGCTCAGAGTCAAGTCCCCCTGAAGGTTAGGCTGAAGTTGAGCCATCCATATCCTGCCCCATCAGCCAAGCCGTGGCTCTTGTGCTCACCCATGAGCATGAGAATACAGCTTTTTGTTGTAAGCCATTGAGTTTTGCCTCCTTTACAAATGTTATTTTAATTTTTTAAGTAGCACAGTAATGATTATTCCTGTTCCCAAAATGTTTTGTCACATCCTAGATTACTTCTTTAGAAAGATGACTAAGAGAAAAATTACTGGGCCCAGTGAATGGGATTCTTGAGGCATTTAATATGCTCCTTTCATCTGAACGTTTGACACTAAGGATTTCAAGATGTCTCTGTTTTCTTTCTGAAACTTCATGTCTAAGTGATCATTATTATCCATGGCCTCAGGCTCAAGGAAGCTCTCTGATTTCTTTCCTCTGTGTCAGTCGGTGAGAGAACTAAGACCACTAAGGTCACTGGCTTTGCCTTGATGCATCCACCATGCCACTGCGGGAACCTAGGCAAGCAAACACCTCACTTCCGCCATTTACAAAATGGAGACACCCAGCCCCATAGTTTTGCGAGGATGAAGTCACATATATTGAGAACACAGCAGTGTACTAAACTAAAATAAAGAACTTAATTCAAGCAATACATACACAGGCAAAAAATCACCAGCTCTCCGAGTTGGAGTCTCTCTTCCCCTTCTGATGACGAAAGGACTAATGACCACAACCTACTGGTGCACCTGGCATATCCACACCTGACTCCCAGCAGCTGCTGTCAGGGTGGACGTGAAGGCCAAAGGCTGGGGCTGAGCAATTTAGCATGTGGTTCTTTGAGAAATCTCACAAAAGCTTCTTTTATCACTTGAGGACACATCACCATCATCACCATCAGAGATGACCATTAGTTTTCATTAATGGCATTAATATATTAATATATTTCCCCACTTGCTTTACAAAAAATATGGAAGGTAGTTACCAAAAAACATTCAGGAGAAAGAGAATTAAGTACAAGAGCTGGGTGTGTGGGCAGTAAGTAGAGGGAAAGGGGAGCTGGCAAGTTGAACAAGAAGGAAAATGAATGCCACGTGCCTGTGAACAGCTGCTGGGCTCTGTATTCAGTTTGAGCTCTCTACAAGCCAAGGCAAAATGATGGAAGTAACCAATTGTAAGATACACAGTATCCACAAGGCCCTCTCTTGACACCCATATCAGAGAGCAATTTCTCACTTAAAACATTACTTGGTGATACAGGGCACAGCCCTTTCCATATTTCAGTAGAATACACGAGTCGTTTTCTCTGCCTCCTTCTCATACTGTCGCCCCAGAGGCACAGGCCCCAAGCAAGTGCACAGTGAGGGCTGAAATGGAGAGACTGTAAATCCTCAGAGCTGCTGCCCCAAGCATCAGGGTGCTCAAGAATCACTGGGGTCTTGTTAAATGCAGATTTGATTCAGTGTGTCTGGACTGGGGCTTCCAGGCGATGCCCAACTTGTGGTCCAGGAAGCACACTTTGAGAATATTTTTCACAACTGAACCTTTCATAAAACCTGGATACAGAGTGTTTGGGGTTAATTTTCTGATGAGAGCTGGGTGCTCTCACATTCTATGCGGCAGTCAAAGGCAGGGCCACATGGTTTGAATGTGCAGGGCCAACCTAACGGTCTCTGATGATATTAACAGGCTGGACCAGGGCTGGAGCTTGCAGCTAAAGCCACTGCACTTCTCCAAGCAGAGGGGCCATGGCACTGCTCACCCCCTAGCCATTCCCTTATGCCAACACTGCAGGTGACCGGCTTTTATTCTTAGTCGATGTCCAGGATAATTTTGTTAGGTTTTGTATATTTTAATTTTTGCTTAAATTTAGCATACATGTGGATTTGATCATTTAAACTGGTGAGTGACAAGTGTGTGACAAGCCCCTAAAATAACGCCTTGGCTGGGTCTTTTAAATAATTTTTGTTCTCTTCATCCTCACAAAATAACTAATGGGTACTGCGCTTAATACCTGGGTGATGAAATAATCTGTATAAGAAACCCACATGACACAAGCCTACCTATGTAACAAACCTGTACATGTACCCCTCAACTTAAAATAAACGTTAAAAATTGTTCTTAATTATTAGGAATTCAGCCTCTAATTCCCCATAGATTTTCTTCCTTGCCAAGTCTTAGTAAACTTATCCATTCCACTCATATGACAAAAGAACTGACGACTCAAGGGCCAAACAAACTATTTAAAAAGCAAGAACATGAAGAAAACCTTTTTTTCAAAAATATCTAATAACTCAAGAGCACTTCTTCGGCCCTTAGAAAAGACTTATTTAAGCCTTTGAAGGGACTGCGTTTCAGCCAGCAGTGATGGTGATCGGACATTCAAGGAATGAAGTGGTAGGAATGACCCTACACACCAAGTGAGTTATGGCAGCACATTGTAAACAACAAGACACCGGGTGACAGCGAGGAGTGAGAATCAAGCAGATGTTTGGCTCTGGCTAAGCACATGCTTTACACATCTCAACTCAAGAGGGTTTTCAAACACAGCATCAACCCCATGTGTTTGGTTTTCCTTGTCAGAGCCCTTCTGCTATCTTGAGGAAGGGATGGGTGGAAATACAGAAAAGCTGCCCTGCACAGATTCCTGCATCTACATCCACAGCTCCAGTCACATGAAAGACACCAGACGCAGCATCAAAACATTTAGCCAAGATAATGTTGACAATGTAAGATAATGTTGAAAACTAAAGCTTCCTAATCTTTTGAAGTTGGTCCATATTAAATTGCCTCAGGCAAAGTTAAGGCAGTTGAGGCCACACTCCCATATTTCCATTTACATTCTTTGTATTTTATGACAGAAATACATTGAAAATCTTGTTCACCAGTCTGCTAAAAATCAGGGTTATAAGGGGAGACATCCAACAGGCTTAAGGCTCCCAAATGGATTTGGAATTTTTTGGACCTTACTCGATTGACCTCATTCACTGCCCAACCTCACAAACAACCTAATTCAGTTTTCAAACCATGTTATTTAACCGACACAGGATAGCCATGAAGAGGTTCTTATTACCTTATGCATTATTATGCACTGGGCATTTTGCCCTTTGTCCTGAATTGCTCTTCTTAGAGATCAGGTGCAGGTGCACAATTAGGAGAACATTATTCAATCAAAACTGTTTTTGGCAATTCCTCCCATCATGTGACTCACAAGTTAAAAATGGTCCAGTTCCTCTTTCATTTAGAATGAAATCTTTTCCTGCAGCTCCACCCAGGAGAAAAAATCATGATTCACATTCAGGATGCACATATGCTGGTCAGGTGGGTGCACACAACATGCTCATTCAAGTCCACTCATTTCTTAAAAAGATGTCCAAAGACTCCTGGCTTCCCACTATCTCAATTGACCCAGGAGAATGTCATCAATCATTTACATGAATAAAATGTCCACCCTGGTTTTAGCTTGTCTTTAGATATTTGGATAAAACTACACAATCTTTTCCACTAATTTTGAAAGCTTCCTTTACTTAGAGAAGCAACAAATTCAGAGGAAAGTTACTACTTTGCTCAACCACAAATATGATGCAGATTACTCAAAAGTTATTGACTCTAGCAAAACGGCAAACCCTTACCTTTCTCCAACTGCAGTGATAGCAAGGGTTCTCAGGTGAGAGGAAATCCAGGCATGGCATTTGTTAACAAGGAGGTACTTACTCCAGTTCATGGGCTGCTCAGCTAAGAGGCAATAGATGCCTTTCTTCCCCCTGCTTTTCAATGCAGAGTTTAATTGTGGGTTGTAAAAATCCCCCAGACACACTAAAAGCTAGAAGACTCCTGGAAAACTGCTAATCTCTCCAGGAGGTGTATTTGCCCTTGCTGCTATCATTTGGATGGATGGGGGCAGTGGGGATGGATGCTATCAGGTGGAATTCTGTTCTTCCTGCTTTTGCTATAAAAGGTGGAGACAGGTTAAGGGGAGGGGAGTCCTGGTAACTGTCCTAACATAACCAGTGCCTGAACATTCCTTCAAAACAGCCTTGATCAGTGGTTATTGAACTTGGCTTCAACGGTATCTGACTGATGGGATCCTCACACTATCTGAGACCATCTAGACCATCACCAACTGATACGCACAAGTTGTGTGGCTACTGAGCACTTGGAATGTGGAAGTCCAAATTGGGCTGTGCCACAAATGTAAAATACACATGGGATTTCAAAGATGTAGTATAAAGAAAAGAATGTAAAATATCTCATTAATATTTTTGTATTGATGACATGTTGAACTAATAATATTTTTGATTGGCTAAATAAGATTGTTGTTAAAATTAATTTTATCTGTTTTTCTTTTTCACCTTTTTACTGTGGCATCCAGAAAATTTAAAGTTACATATGTGAGGTGTGTCTTCTAACTCTATTAGACAGTGCTGGTCTAGGCAGTTAAATAGCTCTTCTTTGTGTTGAGTCAAAACTGGTCTTTCTAACCTTCTTGATTTTGCCTTCTGAAGCAATAAACAAAATTATTCCACATGGTGGTCAGTCCAATATCTGAAGACAATCATCATCCCCACCCATCTTTTCTTCTCATGCTGAATAGCCTTTCCTTTTGCAAACATTCCTTCTATGACATGTGTTAAAAATTATTTATCCAAAACTTGGAAAATGTCAAAATGATTGTTGTTATCTTTCTGAACAATTTCTTTAATAAGCCCAGTTGACCTTCATTGAGCTCTCTCAGGGAGTGTAACTTTGATTTTACAGGGCTGTAAAACATCTGGTTCCTTATCAGTTACGGATAGTTGCTCTGAGTTTAACTTGCAGAAAGTAGAGAGTGAGAAATGTTCTTATAACCTGAGATGAAAGGCAAAAATTCTGCAAATGGATTTCTGGGAATTATGTGAGGACATTAAACTGAGCTTCTTCTCATGCCCCTGCATCTAGCTGTTGGGGACCTAACTCCATATTGGTTGTGGCTCAGTTTAGTGCATATTCCATCTCTTGGAAGAAAGCATGCCAACCCGTCATGCTAGTACAATTGCTGAGCCTTGAATAGGCCATTCCACCATTCTATTAAGCTAGATACTTCTGTGTAAGGAAAACTTAAAACCAATGAAACGGTCATGCACCCATTGTCACATCTCCCTGTTCATAAAATGGGTCTCTTGGACTGACGTGATGCTCTGTAGGATTTATTGTTAATAGATGAGACTTTTGTATGTTCTTAGAAGGTGGTGCTGGAGAAGGCACTCACAGTGCATGTAAGGCAAACCCATACTTGGAGTAGGTGCCAATTCCAGTAAGGATGTGACGCTGTTCTTCCCATGGTAGAAGGGGCCAATATAACCAACTACTGGTATCTTCAGTGCTGCCAAGTGGTATCTAGTTTCCTTCTGGAACAGTCATAGTTGACGGCTTCACATCACTCTGCACTGACTCCAGGTCCACAGAGGAAGAAGCAAGATCAGCCTTGGTGATGGAGAACTCACGCTGCCTGGCCCATGTGTAAACCCCATTCCTGCTACTATTATGACTCTATTTATGGACACATTGTGCCAACACAGGGATGAGTGAAGACAGCCTGGCCCACAGGCAAAAGACAAGTTAACTTGTCCACTTCATAGATGACTTTTTCCCGGTCTGGTGAGTGTTCTCTGGTGGGCATTGATGTGAAACACATAGATTTACTTACTGTGCGCCCACTCCTACAAGTCCATTCGTGATCTCTTTCCCAGACCTCTTTATCTCCAATTTCCTGATCTTTCTCCTTTCAGGCCTCTGATACACAAGCCTAGCCACTTGCCACTGTCTTATACCTAATGTTAAATGACGAGTTAATGGGTGCAGCACACCAGCATGGCACATGTATACATATGTAACTAACCTGCACATTGTGCACATGTACCCTAAAACTTAAAGTATA
Organism: Homo sapiens; assembly: GCF_000001405.40. NCBI lineage: Eukaryota > Metazoa > Chordata > Mammalia > Primates > Hominidae > Homo > Homo sapiens. The sequence goes on along the minus strand of NC_000002.12, from coordinate 237,115,546 downwards.
ATAATAAAAAGAAACAGATGCAAAAAAAAGACAAAAAATAAATAAATAAAGTTCATTCTGCTGGCTGCTGCTACCTCTGTTCAAAGTGAATGGCCAAATGCACGGCTCAAAAATCTGTCCACTTGGAGTATTTCCCCTCACTGCTATCCTTTATGTCCACCACTGAGTGGGCTTGAAATATGGCAGGAGTGCATTTTTAGGCTTGTATCAACATGTCAAGCTGACCTGTTTGTGAATCAGGCCTGGGTTTTTGCTTCCTCCATCAGCAAGTCAGAAGAAACCTCCAATAAAACTATACATGTGAATTGAGAGAGAGGTGTTGGTACAACAGAGGTAAGAGCTATGAAAGTCTAGGTCACCTGATTAGCTATTTGTAATTGTACGTGCTTGGATCTGCTATCAAATTTACCATTTTCACTGACCAATAAATTTCTGCTGTACCCACAAACTTTTAAATCTGAAAATAGGCAGTTACAGCCCACCCATTGAAATCCTAATTTTGTTTTTCTTTTGGAGAAATTCTAGTTAATTCTTTTTCATATATGCCAGGCATGTTTTGATGTCTCTTGCTCACTCTTCATATTTTAATGTCTTGACTTTTAAAAATATTTGAAAAAATTATTTAAACATACACTTAAATAGTTTCGTAAAATAAACATGTTGTTAAACATGCTTTAACATACTTAAACATATAAAACATTTTCATAATTATAATTTCACACCCAATGTCTTTGAGGCTTTAATTCTATGGCTTTTAATTTATGCTGATTCCTATTCATAATGGCTTATTATGCACTGTTTAGTTTTGGATTGTGAACTCATCTTTCTTGGAACCCTATCTATGGCAATTCATTCAGGCATTGAGCTAAATATATTGCCAGGTATTTGCTTTTGTTTCCAGACAACCTTCTGAAGACAGACTTGTGTACTCACATCCCCTTCCCATTACTTCTTACTTGCTCCCCTACTGCAGAATCTTCTAGAGTGGAAGGATTTTTCTCTAGTTCATCTTTCCAAGGCATTATCTTTAAGATGTCCTACTGTATGTGAGTTGAATGATCTTACTTACCTCATCAAATATAAGGTTTTGTCTCCTGCGCCCTTCATATCAGTGGCCCCAAATAACAGAGGTTCTAGGCCATCAAGATTGGTGGCTCCAGTGCTAGAGTATAGTTGTTTCTGGCCTTTGAGAATGTCCCTATTTTACTGTCAGCTCATCGATGTATATTTAAAAATAACTTTAATACTTTAAATAGCGTTTTAGTTGTTCTAGACTGGGAGGTTTTCTCCAGACATTTAATTAACTATATTAGCAGAAATAGATGTTAACCTTATATTTTAGCATGCACATTTAACTTAAAGTTTAAAATTAATTTGTATCTTTTCCCCTACATGAACATTTCAAAGATTTAGGATTAACATACTGGACAATAATAGTTACAAGTTTGGAGGCATCTTATTTTTAAATGGTTCTAATTTAATAACTCTCAATCAAGGGTAGGGACGATGAAAATCTTCAGAAGACTTTTTCAAGTGTTACTACATGTAATGAATGTGTCGTATATGTTAATAATATGAAGGCCAAACAATGTTGAGAATTAAGTGTTCTCATTGATGAAATCATCTTCTTATAAAATTGGCTCTAGTATTACTGACCTATACATCCAACAAAAATATATATAAATATATATACAAAACTATATATATGTATATATTCTAAATTTAGTTTATGTTCTTAAAAGGAAACTTTCTTTTACAACCACAGTAAAATCAACAAAATCAGGAAAATCAGTGTACTATAAAATGATCTCATCCAAAGGCTGGAAAACTTTCTACATAGGGTCAAATAGTAAATATTTTAGCCTTTAAAGAACATACAGTTTGTGTTACAACTACTGAATTCCACTGTTGTAGTGTGCAAGTAGCTACAGATGATGCATAAATCAATGGGTGTGGCTGTGTTCCAAAAACACATTTGCAAAAATAAGCATTGACCTGGTTTGGTCCCACAAGCTATAGTTTGCCAACTCCTGATCTAATCTACAGAGTTAATTCTGATTTTGCTAATTTTCCAATCATGCGCGTTATAGCATTGCGTTGAGTTGTGCCTCTTTAGTTTCTTTTGATCTGGATAGTTTTTCAATCTTTCTTTGTATTTCATGAAATTGACATTCCTGAAGAATGCAAGATAGTTGTTTTTGTAAATTATCCCTCATTTTGGGTTTGTGTGATGCTTCTTCATTATTAGATTCAGGATTTACATTTTGGACATGGATACCACAGAATTGATGTGTTCTCTTCAGTGGTTTGTAGTAGAAAGCACATGATGCTGAAGTGACTCATTACTGGTAAAGTTAACTTGGTTAAAAGGGTCATCCACTAAAATTTTAGTATATTCTTCTTTAGAAAATACTTGTGGGAAGGGAGTTTGGGTCTGTAAATATTCTTAATTCCCAAGCTTTAACCCACTAGTTTAACGTCCATTGATGAACCTTTCCTGTATTAATTATTATCATTATGGTTTCCCAGTGGTGATATTACAAGTCCATTCATTCTACATCTGTTAGTTGGAACTGTTCTTCAGTGCTATTTATTTGTTTATATCCATATGGAATAATGAATTCTTATGTAATTGAACAGGTTATAATCCTTAACTATCATTTATTTTGATGCTCAATCTGTCCCTAATTTGGCCAGACAGATCCCCTTTCAAGCTGGCTCTAGTGTCCTGTTAGTATGTCTTCCAATTCTTTAAGTTCCTCCTTGCTTTCTGGCACAAGCTGTTTTAAGCGGTTCTCTACTTACAGACCTGAAACCAACTATTTCTCCAAGGAGTCCTGTGTCCTTTTAAAGAAATAGCCTTGGTTTCATTGATTTTATTAATTGTAAGGTTTTTATGTTGCTTATTTCTGTTCGCTTCTTTATCTGGGGCTTAATTTGCTCTTCTTTTTCTAAGTTCTTAAGATAGAAGCTTAGATAACTGATTCTAGATTTTATTTTAATAAAATAAGCATTTTAAAACATGAATTTCACTCCAAGTAGGGCTTTAATCCCACAAATTTTGTTATGGCTGTTTTGATTTTCATTCATTTCAAAATATTTCCTCGTTATCCTTGTAATTTCTTCTTTCACCCATGGGTTATTTAGAAGTACATTTTAAAATTATTGAATATTTGGGGATTTAAAATATATCTTCTGCTATTGATTTCTAATTTAATCCTGTTATAATCAGAGAACACATAATGCATGATTTCTAACCTTTTAAATGTATCGACACTTGCTCTGTGGCCCAGCATATGGTTTATCTTTGTGAATGTGTTATTCTGCTGTTGTTCGGTGGAGTGTCAAGTAGGTTTGCATGGTAATAGTGTTGATCATGTCCTCTATATCCTTATGTATTTTCTAATGTTCTGTTAATTACTGAAAAAGAAGTATTAAAATATCCAACTGTAATTGTGGCTTTGTTGGTTTCTCTTTTCAGTTCTATCAGCTTTAGATTCATGTATATTTGAAGCTCTGTTGTTGGAGGCTTATACATTCCGGATTATTATGTCTTCCTGATAAACAGGCCACTTTATCATTTTGAAAGGTCTCTCTTTATCCTTTGTAACATTCCTTGTTCCAATATTGACTTCATCTGATATCAACATAGCCACTCCATATTTCTTCTGTTTAGTGTTTCCATGACATATAATTTCATTTATTTTACTTGTAACCTCTTTTTAAGTATAACAGATTTCTTGTACACAGAATATAATTGGGTCTTGCATTTTTAGTCAGTATGACAACCTCTTTTTGGTTAGAGCGTTTGTAATTATTCATATGATAGTTTTAAATCTCTCATCATGCTATTTGTTTTCTGTTTGTTTCATCTTAGTTCCTTTCCCCCTCACTTCTTGCCTTATTTTGAATGGAATGTTTTTTAAATTATTATTTCATCTATATCCACTATTGGACTTATTTGTTATATCTATGTTTTCTTTACTGGTAGTTATTCAAGAGCAGTGAGGTCCAATAGAATTTTCAGTAATGATGGAAATGTTCTATATTTATGCTCTCAAATATGGTAGCCACATGTGACTACTGAGCATTTGATATGTAGTTGGTGCCACTGAAAAAGTGAATAATTAATTTTATTTCATTTTCATTAATTAAAATTTAAATTTAGTCAGTTGTGGCTAGTGGCCACCATATTGGACATTTCACGCTAGGCTTCAATATCTTTTCCTTATTATAATTTAACTTTACTGTATTTTACCACTTACTATATAAGACCATTACAAAAGTATATATCCATTTCCCTCTTCAATTCTTTGCACTATTGTTGTCATATATTTTACCTTTACATATTAAAAATCCTACATTATTTTTGCTTCAAATAGCTATCTTTTAAAGCAATGAAAAAATAAAGACATTTTACCCACATATTTACTATTTCTGATGTTCTTTATACCTTCATATAGATCTAAATGTATCTGATCTGATATGATTTTATTTCAGTTGGAAGAACTTCCTTTAACATGTATTTCAGTGCAGATCTCTTGTTGATGAACTCTTTAAGTTTTTGTTTGTCAAAAAAAAAGTTGTTTTTTTCCTTTGACCTTAATTTTTCAGGACATTTTTACTGGCTTTAGAATTCTAGTTTGACAGTTGTTTTCTTTTAGGCCTTTAAAGATGTCATTCCATTATCTCATTGCTGTAAATTCTTATCTTTCTTTTTATGTAATGTGTCTCCGCCTACTCTAAGATACAGCAACTCCTTTAAAATTTTAAAAAAAATTTTTATCGGTTGTCCAGCAATTTTATGATGTATTTTGTACAACATATGTGTGTGTTTATTCTAGTTAGCATTGATTGAACTTCTTGGATCTGTGAGATTATGTACTATTCATCAAATTTTTGGCTAATTCTTCAAAAAGCTTTACTTCATCTTAGCTTGTGGGGACTCTAATCACACTTGCATTAGACCTCTTGATATTAATCCACTCATTTTTAATTCTTTCTTTTCCTCTAAACTTCCTCTGAGATATATCCTGTTCCTTATAATTCATTGATATTTTCTTCTGTAGGGTCTATTCTGACATTAAAACAATCCAGAGAAATTTTCATTTCAGATCTTGTATTTTTTTAATCTGTAAAAGTTTCACCTTGGTCTTTTATATCTCTTCTATTTCTATACTCATTGTGTTTATGTTTTCCTTTATATCCTTAAACACTTAAAGTATATTCATCATATCTGTTTTATCATCTCTGTTTGCTATTTCCATCATTCCTTTCATTTCTGTGTCTGTTTCTAGTAAGTGATTTTTCTCCTAGTTATAACATTTTTCTTATTCACATAATGTCTAATAATTTTTTATTTGTTGTTGAGCATTGTGAGGTTAGGTTGTAGAGTGCTGAATTTTGAAGTATGTCTTCAAAGAGTGTTGCAACCAATTATGTAACTTGTGGATTTAGCTGTTTTGAAGCTCTTTTAAACTTTTGTACAGAAGATCTATATTTACCTTTAATTTAGGGCTAATTTAGCCCCACTACTAAGGTGTGGCCCTTCTGGAGTCTCTAGTGAACACTCCATTTAGTCAATGAGGTCTTCTTACTATAGATGAAGGGATCTTGAATGATTTCTAGCTCTTTGTTAATTTTTTTTTCTCATAGTTTTCCAGTAATTGTTCTTTCCTTGGAAGCTATTCTTGCCCACCTCATGGGATTTCACCCTACACATGAGCAGACTGGCACTCAACCAAAGACTCAAGCAGATGTCTATGCAAATATATACAACTATTTCTCTGACTAGTCCCCCACCCTTTATCAAACTCCACCCTACAAATTTTAGCTCCCTCAGCCTTTTGAATCTATGCTCTTCAATTAGTAAGATTGCCACGCTCTATTTGAGCTCCACTTTGCTGAGCTGCAGTGTTATTTGCCCCCAGGCAGAAAGCATAGTAGACTTTAAGGCTTACCTTCTTTGTTCCTCCTCTCTCCAGAATTACATCTAGTATTTCCAGTTGTCTGATGTCGGAAAATAATCATTTCCTATACTGCATGCATTTTTTAAATTTACGATGGGAGGATAATTCTGAATCCTATTAGTCCGTCAGAGCCAAAGTGGAAGTCCCTAATTCCTTTTAGTGGAAAATGCTTCTAGAAGCAAGGATCTGAGGGTTAGGTGTGCTTTTTGCTACACAGTCATCATTTTTGTGGTGATAGCACATAACATTGCTCTATACATTTTTCAAGAATACAATATACCTTGCTGTACAACAGAGCTCTTGATATTTATTCCTTCTATCTAATTGTAATTATGTATGCTTTGACCAACATGTCCCCAGACTACCTTAACCTAACTTCCCCAGGCTCTGGTAACTGCAATTGTACTCTCTACTTCTATGAGATCACCATTTTTAGATTCCACATATGGACAAAATTATGAGGTATTTGTCTTCCTGTGCTTGTTATTTCACTTAACTTGATGTCTACCAGGTTCATCCATGTTGTCATAAATTTCAGTTTTTATGGCTGAATAGTATTCCATTCCACATATATACCACATTTTCTTTATCCATGCATCCATTGATGGACACTTAGGTTAATTCCATATCTTGGCTATTGTGAACAATGCTGTGATCAACAAGAAGGGCAGATTTTTTTTAACATACTGATTTCATCTCCTTTGGATATGAACATACTATTTTACATAAAGCTGTACCATTTTACACTCCCACTAACTGTTTTTAAGCATTCACTCTTCTCCTCATCCTCATCAACACTTGTTAGCTTTTGTCTTTTTGATAATGGTCATTTTAATTGGGGTGAGGTGACATCACTTTGTGGTTTTGATTTGCATTTCCCTGATAATTTGATAATTAGTGATGCTGAGTATTTTTTCATACATCTATTGGACCTTGTATGTCTTCTTTGAGAAATGTTTATTCACGTCCTTTGCCCATTTTTTAAATGGGCTATTTGTTTTTTGTTAAGATCTTTGCGTATTTTGAATATTAGCCACTTGTCATATGTATAGTTTATATGTATTTTCTCCCATTTCTACAGGTTGTCTCTGAACTCTGTTGATTGTATCCTTTGCTATACAGAAGCTTTTTAGTTTGATGTAAGCCCATTTGTCTATTTTTGCTTTCATTGGCTGTGCTTTTAAGGTCTTATCCAAAACATCCTTGCACAGACCAATGTCATAAGGAATTTCCCGTGTTTTCTTCTAATAGTTTCATAATTTTAGATCTGACATGTAAGTCTTTAATCCATTTTTTATTTTTTATACGGTGGAGATAAGGGTCTCATTTCATCTTCCACATGTGAATATCCAGTTTTCCCAACACCATTTATTGAAGAGAATGTCCATTCTCCAAGGTGTGTTCTTAGAATCTTTGCCAAAAATCAGTTGGCTGGGCTCTCTGTTCTGTGTGTCTGTTTTTATGCCAGTACTATGAGTTTTTGGCTATTACAGCTTTGTAATATACTTTGAAGTCAGAGAGTGTGATGCCTCCAGCTTTTTTTTTTTTCTGTCAAGATTGCTTTGGCTATTTAAGGTCTATTGTGGTTCCATATCAATTTTTGGATTCATTTTTCTATTTCTGTGAAGAATGTCATTGGTATTTTGACAGGGATTGCACTGAGTCTGTAGGTCACTTTGGGTAGTATGAACAATTCAACAATATTAGTTATTCCAATTCATTAAACACAGTGTATCTTTCATGTATTTGTGTCTTCTTCAATTTCTTTAATCAATGTTCTGTAGTTTTTATTGTAGAGGTCTTTCACTTCCTTGGTTAAATTTATTCCTAAGCATTTTTGTAGCTATTATAAATGGGATTGCTTTCTTGATTTCTTTTTCAGATGGCTCACTAATAGTGTACAGAAATACTACTGATTTTTGTATGTTGATTTTGTATCATGTGACTTTACTGAATTTGTTAGTTGTAACAGTTTTTTTAAGTGAAATATTTAGGGTTTTCTATATATGAGATCATGTCATCTGCAAACAGGGACAACTTAATTTCCTTCTTTCCGATTTTGGTGCCTTTATTGCTTTCTCTTGCCTAATTACACTGGCTAGGATTTCCAGTATTACAATGAATAGAAGTAGTGAAAGTAGGTATCTTTGTCTTCTTCTAGATCTTAGAGGAAACGTTTTCAACTTTTCCCATTCAGTATGCTGTTAGCTGTAGGTTTGTGGTATATGACCTTTATTGTGATGAGGTACATTCTTCTATACCTAATTTGTTGAGAGTTTTTATCATGAAGGAATGTTAAATTTTGTCATGCTTTATCTGCATCTATTGAAATGATCATATAGATTTTGAACTTCATTCTTTTAATGTGATGTATCTTATTTATTGATTTGCATATGTTAAACCATCTTTGCATCTCTCTTGCATGAATCTTACTTGATCATGATCTTTATAATGTGCTTTTGAATTTGGTTTGCTAGTATTTTGTTGGGAATTTTTGCATCAGTGTTCATCAGCATATTGACCTGTAGTTTTCTTTTTTTATTGTATCCTTGTCTGATTTTGGTATCAGGGCAATGCTGGCCTTAATAGAATGAGTTTGAAAGAAGTTTTTCCTCTTCAGTTGTGTGAAATAGTTTGAGTACAATTGATACTAATTTTTGTTTAAATGTTTGGTAGAATTCAGCAGCAAATGCTCCTTAGTTTTGCCAGGTGACAGGATCACAAATATTAACTCAGTGTATTTTTCATTTGCATTTATCTTATTTTATTGTAAATGAAGTTGAACATCTTTTTCTATGTTTAAGGACCACTTCTGTATTGTGTGTGTGTGTGTGTGTGTGTGTGTGTGTGTTTGTGTTTGTGTGACTTATCTGTTAAAATCTTTTGTCATTTTTTCCCATTGGTTGTTGTTTTTTAATTCCCTCAGTTTTTGACTTTTTATATTAGAAATATTACTAGCCCTTTATGTTGTAAACATTTTTTCTCAGTTGCTAGATTTCCATTTAAATTGCTTGTATTTTTGGCCATGCAAAATTTATTTTTATTTAGTCAAATGTATTCTTCTTCTTTTAAAATTTATTTTTTAATTGACAGATAATAATTATACATATTCATGAGGTACACAGTGATGTTTTAATACATATAATGTATGATAATCAGATCAGGGTAATTAGTATCTCCATCATCACACACATTTATCATTTCTTTGTATTGGGAACATTTAATAAACTCCTTCTAGCTATCTGAAACTATGCAATATGTTTTGTTAACTATAGTCATCCTACAGTGATACAGAACACTAGAATTTATTCTTTCTATCTAGCTGTAATTTTGTGTCCTTTTATAAATATCTCCTTATATCTCCCTTTCCCTTACCCTTCCCAGCCTCTAGTATCCTGTTACTTTTTTACTTCTATAAGATCAACTTTTTTTTTTTTTTAGCTTCCACAGAGGAGTGAGAATATAGAGTGATTAACTTTCTGTTCCTGGTTTATTTCACATAACATAATGTCCTTCAGTTCCATCCATATTGCTGTGAATAACAGGATTTCATTCTTTGTTGTGGCTGAATAATATTCCATAGTACACTATACCACATTTTCTGTCGTTGAACACCTAGGTTGATTCCATATATTTGCTATTATGAACAATGCTGCAATAAACATGGGGGTGCAGATGTCTCTCCAATGTAATAATTTCCTTTCCTTTGGATAAATATCCAGTAGTGGAATTGCCGAATCATATGGTAGTTCTATTTTAGTTTTTTGAGGGACCTCTATACTGTTCTCCACAGTGGTTGCACTAGTTTGCATTCCTACCAACAGTGTATAAGAGTTCCCTTTTCTCTGCTTTCTCACCAGCATTTTTATTTTTTACCTTTTTGATACGAGCCATCCTAACTGGGGTGAGATGATAACTCCCTGTGGTTTTGATTTGCATTTCCTTGAAGATTATTGATGGCCAACATTTTGTTTTATTTATCTGTTGGACATATTTAAATCTCTTTTTGAGAAATGTCTGTTCAGATTATTTGACCATTTTAAAATCAGATTGTTTTCTTGATATTGAGATGTTTCAGTTTCCTGTATATTCTGGATATTAATCTCCTGTCAGATGACTAGTTTGCAAATATTTTTCCCATTCTGTAGGTTGTCTTTTCACTCCACTGATTGCTTTCTTTGCTGTATAACAGCATTTTAGTTAGATATAATCCCATTTGTTTATTTTTGCTTTTGATGCCTGTGCTTTTGAGGTGTTACTCATTTTTCCCCGACTTATATCCTAGGTTTTACTCTCCTAGACCAATATCCTGAAGTGTTTTCCCTCAAGTTTTCTTTGCCTAGCTTTGTCATTTTGGGTCTTACATTTAGGTTCTTAATCCATTTTGAGTTGATTTTTACGTAGGGTGAGAGGTGCGGGTCTAGTTTCAGCCTTTTGCATACGGATATCTAGTTTACACAGCACCATTTTTTAAAGAGACTATCCTTTTCCTAAAGAGTGTTGTTGGCACATTTGTCAAAAATCAGTTGGTTACAGATATTTGGATTAATTTCTGTGTTCGCTATTCTGTTCCATTGCTCTATATGTCTATTTGTATGCCAGTATAATGCTGTTTTGGTTACTACAGCTTTGCAGGATATTTTGGCATCTGGTAGTGTGATACCTCCAGCTTTGTTCTCTTTGCTCAGGATTGTTTTGGCTATTTGAGGTATTTTGTGATTCTATACAAACTTTAGGATTAATTAAATCCAGATTGGGAGCCAGAGAAGCCTTTCCTTTGCCTAGGTTAAAGAGGAATTCACCCATTTTTCTTCTAGTACTGGTATGGTTTCATTTTTGTTTAACATTTTCTTCAAATTTTATTTTATTTTTTATTTTCTTCTTCATCTTTTAGGTTAAGGGGTACATGTGCGATAAACAGTTATTATGATTAATATAGGCTAATTTAATCTTTGCTTGTATGGTCAATGTTTTTAGCATTTATCCTAAGTTTGGAAGAATATTCTCCTATGTTTTCCTTAAAGTGTTAATAATCTTATGTCTATAATGCATTGGAGTTAAAAAAAAACCTGTATTATTCTAAGAGATATCTAATTAAATAGCACAATTAAAATAAATAATCTTGTCCCTCCCTGCTCCCTGTATTGCAATGTTACCTTTGACAACAAAAGTCAGTTCTGGTGTGACTTTATTTGGGGTCTGTTTGGATCTTTCTATATTCCCCTGGTCCCTTTGTTTATCCTACATATGTCTTCACTAATGTAGCTTTAAAAGTCTTGATCTCTGGTGATGTAAGTCATCTAACGTCCTTTGTAAAGACTGCCTTGGCTATTTGTGGTCTCTTATAGTCATCAATAAATTTTAAATTCAGCTTGTCAGCCTCCCAGGTAGCTGGGACTACAGGCGCACGCCAGCATGCCTGGCTAATTTTGTATTTTTTCTTTTATTAGAGATGGGGTTTTGCCATGTTGGCGGGGCTGGTCTTGAACTCCAGGCCTCAGATGATCCACCCACCTCGGCCTCCCAAAGTGCTGGGATTACAGGCATGAGCCACCACACCCAGCCCTATTACCAACTTTTTTGCTTTTTCACTACTGCTGTGTATAATTTGTGTTTTCTCCTTATTATTCTTGCTAGAGACTTAACAATTTTGTTCCTTTTCAAAGCCCCAATCTGTGGTTTTGTTGACTTATTTCTATTGTATTTTTATTTACTATTTCATTGATTTTTGGTCTTAATGTTTCCCTCCAACTTTATTTGTATTTGATTTGTGATTATTGGTTTTCAGCCTCTTTTCTAGTAATTGCTTTTAAGTCTATACATTATCTCCAATCTTAGCCTTGGATGAAGTCCTTAAATATTTCTAATTTATGTTTTCTTTTATGTCTCTCAGGTCATTGAGAAGTATACTACATAATTTCTTTCTTTGAGAGATGGTCTTACTCTGTTATCCAGGCTGGAGTGCAGCGGCATAATCATGGCCCACTGCAGCTTTGACCTCCCAAGCTCAAGCGATCCGCCTGCCTCAGCCTCTCAAGTAGCAAGGACCACAGACATGCACCACCATGCCCAGCTGACTTTTTAAAATTATACTTTTGTAGAGACAGGGGTCTATGTTGCCCAGGATGGTCTTGAATTCCTGGGCTCGAGCGATCTTCCTGCCTCAGCCTCACAAAGTGCTGGGATTACAGGTGTGAGCCACTATGCCCAGACAACTACATAATTCCTAAGCAGTTAGAGATTTCCTAGTAATCTCTATGGCTTTATTGATTTCTAGCTTAATCCCACTGTTTTCAGAGAATGCACTCATTTTGATTTCTACTCTTTGTAATGTATTAGGGCTTTATGGTCCTTTATGTGTTCAATTTTGGTAAATGGTTTATACAGCATAAAATGAAATTATATTTTGTCATTGTTGGTTAGTGTTTTATGTATCCCAATTAGATCAAGTCTGTCACCTTTGCTATGTTCTTTGTGATATTGTCTGTTCATGCCATCAGCTAATGAGAGGTGTATTATGTCTTCCAGTATGATTATAGATGACTCTTTTCTCCTTTTAGTTCGGTAAACTTCCACTTGATTATATTTTGAATATAAAATTAGAATTGCTACATATTCCTGTTGCCTTTTGGACTGATCTCTGTAGAATAACGGACATCCAAAAATGTCTATATTTGAATCCGTAGAATCTCAGGTTATATGGGAAAAGGAAATTAAGATAGCAGACAGAACTAGATTGCTAATCAGCTCACCTCAAAATAGACTGAGTATCCTGAGTTTCCAGGTGGGCCCAATATAATTACAAGGGTCCTTCAAAGTGGAAAAAAGGAGGCAGAAGAGAGAACCAGAGATCGAGCAGTGTGAAAATAACTCTACCCAATGTTGCTGGCTTTGAAGGTGGAGAAAGAGGGGCATGAGCCAAGAAATGCGGGCGGCCTCTAGAAGCTGGAAAGGGCAAGGTAACAGCTTGTCCCCTAGAGCCTACAGAAAAATATGCAGCCCTATTGACATAAGCCCAGTGAGACCCATTTCAGATTTGTGGACTGCAGAACTGTAAGATAATACATCTGTGTTGTTTTAAGCCATTAAGTTTGCAGTAATTTGTTACAGAAGGAAACTATATGCAATCTTTTTCATTAAAAATTACTTTCTATCTCTAATAATGCTTCTTGCCTTGAGGTCTACTTTGCCTAATACAATCACCCTTCGATATTCACAGGGGATATACTTGGCTTCAAGACTGCCAAGTATACAAAATCTGTAGATCAGAGTCCTTTATATAACATAGTATTTGCAAATAACCTATACACATTCTCTCGTATACTTTAGATTTAATACCTAATACAATGCAATGTATAATTGTTATGCTGTATTTTTTTAGAAAAATTTCAAATATTTTTGAGCCACAGTTGATTGAATCACAGATGTAGAACCCACAGATATGGAGGGCCAACTCTTACTATCAAAGGTGCACCAACTTTCTTTTGGTTAGTATTTGCAATGGTATATCTTTTTCCAACTTTTAAATGTAAGAACACAGAAATATTAAAAGAGGATCTTTTGTATATAGCAGTTAGGATTTTATTTTTCTTTCAACATGTTAAAAATGCCATTTCACTGTCTGGCTTTACCACTACTTCTTTGAAGATAATGTCCCCCCGGGTCCTCCCTCTGTGCTTTTAATATATTCTCTTTGTCTCTGGTTTTCAGTAGTTTTACTACTGTTGTCTGGGTGTGGTTTTCTTTGCATTTATCCTCTGTGGGGGTTTTCTGAGCTTTTTGAATCTGTGGATTGATTTCTTTCATCACTTTCAGAAAATTCTGGGCTGGTACTTCTATTTTTCCACTCTATATTCTCGCTCTTCCTTGGATTCCAATTAGATAAATGGTAGATCGCTATGCTGTGTACCACATGTCTCCAACACAATTGCCAGTTAAGTTCCACTGTTTCATTTCTGTACTTCAGCTTAATATTTTATATTGACCTGTCTTCCAGGAGCAGTTTTACTAATATTCTACTTCTGGTTTATATTTATAAGCAAACACCTTCCCCCACCCAACAACCTTGTTTAATGGAGCGCTGACATAGCAAAACTCCAGGAAAACGGAACTGTTTCTCAAAGGTTTTTGACTTGCTTTTTGGTCTCCTACCCTAGGCAGCTTAAAAGTTCACCAAATGTTTTGAAGGGTAAACAGTGTGGTTTAGCCCTCTCAAGTCTCCATTGTTATCACCCCAGCCCTTTCAAAGTGCCCAAATTCCACAGGTTGTTAGGTTATTCAGCAGCAGGCCCCTCACCAGGCAAAGCTTGAATCTTGCTGTGCCCTGTGGAATCAGCAAACACCTGCCACCGACCCTGCAAAGAGCTGCTGCAGATGACCTCATTGCAGTACTCTCAAATCTTAGCTCCACATTCCTCATTGATTTAGGGGCTGATGCCTCTCAAGGGATAAATGTGGGTATTCACCTATTAGTTATTGACACAATTCTGAGTTGGCCTCAAGGTACTTCAACCCAGGAACAGACATTTTCATACTTACTACCACCCCCTGACTTTTTGTCATTTATTTTTCAAGCAAACTCACTAATCCTGTTAAATTTCCCACATTCTGGAACTGGCTGTTTCTTAGTGGGATGTTTAACTTGTTCCATTAATTCTCACATTTTATGTAAAGTAGCAGATCTAAACCTTTAAATATATATATATGTACATGTATATATGTATATATTTATATACTATATATATGCATATACGTATTATATATATATATATATATATATACACATATATATATATACTTATATATATAAAATTAAATTCAGGTGCTTTCAGTCTGATTCATGTGTTACACACTTCCCTTTGATTTGACTAGGTCCCCGATCCCCGCCCCAAGGCAGAATAGCATAGGTATGTAAAGATATGTAGACAGATCACTTCTATTGATCTCCGGGAACAAGAGACAGGGAACCAGGAAAAGTAAAACAAGGAATGAGGAAAAAACAATTGAAGGCTGCATTAGAGAGCTTATGACCATGGGACACCACAGCTCAATTTTTTGGGGGTTCTTTTTGAGGATCTAGGTATAGAACACATTGGAAATAGTCTGCCCTGAGACAAGGAAGAGAGTGTTTATTCACCATGTCATGTTCACAACTGCTGATGGGCTGCCCAATCAGGTTTGTGTGGGCATCCTGATAGTAGTGCCAGGGTAAGTCCCAGAGCAAATTTTAGAGATATCCAATGGATCTGAAACAGGGTGCTGTCAGGCTACACTTGTACACAGATGGCTGGCTCAGAAATAGCCAGAGCACAAAGACAGGCTGATGGATGTACTGGACATATTTCATGCTCAATCTCAATTTCTTACCCTGTGGTCTCAACAGCATTGATATATATTTCCATGATCCCTTCTTTGTTTCATTAAGGGCTGCAAGTACCGTTTTTCTAACTTTTATCTTTATTCGGTGGAATTTTCCAGCATGAGCTTTTTGACTACCCTACAGGTTCGATTTTGTTGCTTTAGAGATTGGCAGCATATCAATTTGTCCTGAGAACTGATAATAAAGGGAAGTGAAATCAAGCACTTACCCTGCCTTTCTTGTACAGTGATGAGGTTATTAAGAGTTAAAAACAGACACATATACAAATATTTCATGCTCAAACTGTCTCATTTTTACATGGCCTGTAGAAATCCCTTCAAGTTGGCTTGTATAACCCTTTGACAGAATCCCAAGTCTTTAAGAGCCTCCTTGAATCCTGGACATCTTGTACCAGATATGAACTTGTACACTTACTGCCCTGGAACTATTAGCTGTTTTGCAAATAAGTTCTGATTCCTTTTAATTGCAAATGAAAATGAAAGAACACCATCTGGGTACTAGTGGTGCTCATTGTTACTGAACTGTAATTACTCTAGACCTTTTCATGTAGACAGGAGTGGGAAATATTTACTGTTTACAAAGAAAAATAAAGCATATAATGAGGTTTCCATGTCAAATTTAAGATTACTGGGGTCTAATGTTACATGATTATTAATTTAATCTATACTTTTAATAATAAAAAAGATATCAAGATTTTGTGAAATTAATCATGAAAAACCACATTCATTAGTCTAAGATTTTTTTCTGTCCTTAGTGTATATCCCACTGACAATGTAAAATTGAAATATTGTGTTTGATCACTTGAGATTATTTTTTCTCTATGTAGTAGTTCACTGTCCTCTCCTTCCTCTTTAGGGAACTATTATATTCATTTTGTATATATCCCCCAATTGCTTAGTTTTGAAATATAAGGAAATATGTACATATATATAATTGTAATCATTCTCCTTTTGTTACCCTCAAAATAACCATATAAACTACATGTGCTTTCTATGTTCTCACTCTGGAGATCATTCCAGTTTAGTATAGAGATCTTCACTCCTTTTACACCTGCGTAGTCTACACTGCTGTTTATTCAAACAATCCCCTATTAATGAATATTTGGATTGACTCTAATCTGCTTTTAAAAAATAACCATGGATACAATTTGTACTTAATACCTGGAAGTTAAAAAAACTGGCACTGTCATTCTCTTGATCACTCTCCTGATCCTCTGACTTCTTGAATTCCCATTTCCTCAACTGTAAAACAAGGAATTTTAATATGACTTACCTATCCGGGTTAAATAAAATTGCAATTCAAAAAGTATTCCCATATATGTTAAGAAAAACTGAAATAGCCACTAAAATGCATTCAAAATAAATAAATTATATAATTATCACTACACAGATTCACCATACAACTCATTTCTACTTAAGAGATTCATATAGACACAATGACAAAATAGATTGTGTCCACAGAAAGATCGAGAGTGAAATTTCCAGAAACTATCTTAGATGAAATAATTGAAGAATTCAGTTAAATATTTATTGAACAAATGCAGAGTAAATGAACTAAGGGCTGTTATAACCTTAAGTTACAACAAACAACTTCAAATATTCAGAGGGCTGTCACACAGAGAATGAAAGACTTGCTCAGTATTTCTCCAAAGGGCAGAACTTGAGCCAAGCGATAAATATAAGCAACCAATGGGCTGCAGGATAGTTGTACAAAGTGTATCATGTATCTTCATAGCTTCTTTGCCCATATAATGCATTCCACACTTAAGTTTCTCCTTCTAAAAGGCGACAGCACAAGTTAATATGTCTCATAAATGTCTTAAATAAGTTGCATTTTCATGGCAAGCCCTCCACTGCCAGCAATGGATATACTCACACTATTGGAAAAAATCTAAAGTTAACAAACTGGTTTAGTATGGAAATGGTCTATTTGTTCCTCAGCTATGTTTCTGTATCTTACATTAGTGGCTCTCAGGAGGTGGGGGGTGAAAAGAGAGCATGTTCTCCAAAGAGGGTGAATCATAATCCCCAGTGATTCAGATACTGTGCCTGGGGACAATCTTTCTTCAAGTCCAAATGAATCATTATAATTATCAACCAATGGTACATATAAGAGTACGGCATGTGCTGGGACAGAGAAAAGACAGTTGACAAACACTATTCTACATGAAACAGGAAATCTTATTTTATGAGTCACTAGAAAACTAACTGTAATACTGACAGGCTCCATCCAGATTATTAAATACTACAAAATGAGAACTGTTTCAACAACTATTCAGCATAACGTTTATGGACAAAATGTATATAGTATATCTTATATTCTATATGTATTTTATCACATAGTAAGGAATGCTGAGGTGCTTAAGCCATCCAATAAATTGAAAATACAAACTTTACATTTCTACGTTTGTCAGTATACAGGATTCTGAAGATGAATCTTGAACTCAGAGTGATAAATCAGTTTTCAAGGAAAGCCACATAATCCGTCAGTCTGGCTAACTGCTGTTCATTGGGTATTGGGGGAACTGGAGCAGGCTCTGTATGTTAAAGAAACAAACACACTTCATGTTACATACCACAGTAACAAAGCTTTGGCCCCAACACCTACCTCCCCTAATGCCTTCAATTTTTAACAGTAAGTTAACTTTCTTAGATTTGTCCTGGTTTTAGACAAAATCTTACATCATAGAGGCTTGGACATTTTTGAAAAGCAAGCCAAGAAGTTGCAACTTTTATGAGTATGGTTTTACCTAACTGCTAGTAAAGGCATGTCTCATGTTGTTGTTACTGAAGTATTCTATGTAAAGGTTAAAGACACTTTTATCATGCAACATGTCTTTTAAAAGATCACAGCTCTTCTTGAAAACATCCTTACCCATGCAACATTAAATTCAAGAAATAGAGTGCTTCCCATGCCCCAGACATCACTGAAGAATATTAAATTGTCAACAAACCAAAAAAAAAAAAAAAAAAAAGAAAACCCACAAAGAACCTCAAGGAATTTACATTCCAACATTTAAATTACTACACGTCAGCCTGGGGACGCCTTCTGAATAACAGTACTGGTGAACAGCTCTGGCAGGCCTCCCTGACATGAGAATAAGAAGGCTCTGCAGCTGGCCCAGAGGAGGGCACCGCCTCAAGGCAAGCTCTGGGGGAGCCCAGTTTCACTCTTGTAACCAGATGTATTACTACGCATTTATGAAATTTAACCTCTGTTTACAAGGTAAGAAATAGATACACACACTCACACACACATATACATATATACTACAAAAAAGAAATTAGGAACAATGAGACATTAAAAAATGTGCATATGAAAATACATACCTGATAAGGGAATAAACTTGTTAAAGGAAACATCCAGGGCCCCTGCAACTAAATTCAAAAAAAAAATGTACAGCTCAATTTACAGAAGTCATTGTAAAGATCTTTCATAGAACATGCTATTTTCAGCACAACATGCATTTAACGGCCATTTATTTCTCAAACAGGGATAACAACTGTGCTCCATTATAATTCTTTATTATATTACTCTTCCCCCACTATCTCACTTGACTGGGATCATGTCTTCTCACTCTTTGTAACTCAAAGGGCTGAGCACATTGAGAATCCTTTACTGTATGTTCAGCAATGTCTAAACATAGGCATTCCGAGTAGGTGGAAGGAAATTTGGGCTGACGTGGATGAAGGCGGGTTTATGGAAGTGGGCATTAAGCTTGGCTCTAAAGACCTGGCAGAAAAGACACTCCTGGTCAGCAGGAGGAAGAGAAACTATCAGGCGGGAATGAGTGTGGCTCACTTCCAACAGGAAGACTGAGGGGCTGGGAATTCAGATAAAGACAATGAGGGCAGGTCATAGAAATTAAGGCCTTAAAAGGAGGGCTAGAGAAGTTAACTCTGTGAAAGTGGAAGCCACAGGAAAAGTGCCTGTATGACTTGAGTGCAAACAGAAAAGGGGGGCAGTTGAATATTTAAACATTTTTTTTTAATACAGACAACAGCTTGGATATGAAGGATAAGCTCAGTTACAAATGGCTCCATAAAAGGATGGAGATTAATATTTAGTAAAAACTAAGGTGTAAGGACCATGAAAAACCTACGTAAAATCATTTATATACAGGAAATACATTTTTAAGAGTTTAAACTAGGTGATCCTTTCTACCCCGTCTACTACGCTTTATTTAAAATGAGTTATTTCCATTGTGTTAGTATAGCCGAATTTTACATCCAATTATCAAAAACCAAAGACTGAAAACCTGAAGCAGTCTTAGAAGAGTCCAGTGCTGCGTAAATGGGTGAAAGCTCCACCTACCTGGCTTTCTGGGCAGAACCATTCTTGTGGTGGAATCAGCTTGCCATCCTTGTTCTAATATGCCTAAAAAAGTATATTACACATAAAGATCCGGAAAGAATAAAACACCCCACAAAATCCACAACTTGTCCATGACATTAGTTGTACAGAAGACCTGATGTGTTTAGTATAACCCGTCATATGCATTTTTACTAGAAAGGTATATTACAAAGAGCATGGAAACTTATTATTGAAATATTTCTGAAACAGGTATCAAAGCCTCATTTTACTCTATTAGGTTGCTATAATCATTAAAAGATGGTTAGTTTTCTGTCAAGAATATATTATAGTATTAACCTAATCAGTATTATTTAAAACAAACAGAAGGAAAACTGATATGGCGCCTTTTGTGACCATCATATCAGTAATAACAAAGATGGCAATAATAAAAACAGCTTCCATATATGGAAGGTTTACCTGTAGGTACCAGACTACGTGCTTTTATAGGGATGATTTTATGTAATCACCACAACTCTATGAAGTGGGATATAGGGCCATCGTTTGACAGGTATGGAAAATAAAGTTGAGGGAAATTCAAGTGATTTGTCCTAAGTCACATAGCCACTAGCATCAGGGACGGGTGGTACCAGCATTCACATCCAGGTGGTCAGCTGAGAATACGAGCTCTGAAGTATGTTATATATAGAAAATAAATGATGGACCAATTTTAAGAGCCAAAAGAAATAAATGTTTGTATGAGTAAATAAAAGTAATAACTTAGAACTTTCATTAACCTATCTTCATGTATCTACAACTATGCTAGGCCCTGGAAATTTAGGATGTAGTGCGTGATGGTGCTCATATTTTAGCTGGAGAATCAAAAATGTCAATCATGGCAAAACAATGCAACAAGGTGTATACGATATATATATATATTTTTGATATGGAATCTCACTGTGTTGCCCAGGCTAGAGTGCAGTGGCACAGTCTCAGCTCACTGCAACCTCCACCTCCTGGATTCATGCGATTCTCCTGCCTCAGCCTCCTGAGTAGTTGGGATTACAGGTGCCTGCCACCACACCTGGCTAATTTTTTGTATTTTTAGTAGAGACGGGCTTTCACCATGTTGGCCAGGCTGGTCTCGAACTCCTGACCTCATCATGATCCACCCGCCTCGGCCTCCCAAAGTGCTGGGATTACAGGTGTGAGCCACTGCACCTGGCCAGGTGTATACAGTATTCTATAACAACGAGCAACAGGAAGGATTAGTCTGGGCATCAGCTGAGAAATGAAAATGCAAAGTTACATTTGGAGAGACCAGCAGGTATGAGTGGGGAGCAAGCAAGCGCCTAGGGTATGGGTCAGAAATGGCAGGGAAAATGAAAAGGGACGTGGGGATGATGCTGCCTTTATCAAATAAGGGTGAAATAAGGATTTCCAAATATGAGTAAAGAGACCAATTAAGACATATTTTTGTAACCAACTGTGTGGATACTCACACATTTGCTTGCTATAGAACTATTAATATGCTTGACTGCAGGGTGCCTGCTGGGTGTTCCACAACACCTGTTTCATATCACCTCTCAAAAAACACAGCCTGGACTCCAAAAGCATATTCTGTTCCAAGTGTTTCAGAGGAGACTGTGAACCTACAATTCACACTTCTATTTTCCATTTTCCTTATAAGTAAAAAGTAAGCCAAAATTACCTTTCACAGCCTCTTCTACAGGAAGTCCAACAAAGGCTGCAAAATCATCGGCGATGATTGAAGTATACGCTTGAGAGACCAGGGCAAAGGCGCGTCTCCTTGTTGCATCTATTGTGGGAGTGGTGGGTTGGCAGAGAGTGAACCAGGGAGCAGCATTTTCAAAGCACATTGTTAAATCACACCACTGTCCTTGTCTAGTTTTCATAAGCAAGGCCAGATGAACCCAAAGATTTCTGTGCTTATAGATACAAATACATATGCCCAGTATGTACGGGGGGTTCAAATATTGCTGGAAAAAAATACATTTCTTACACTTCCTCTTGGATGAAAAATCTCAGATAATGAAAATTACAAAGATGGAAAAAGGTTACTAAACACAAGGCTCTAACCCTAAGAAAATGCAGTATGTTTATGCAATGGGGATATAAATTTTACTTATCTTATTTCATTTACAAATGCTGGAATCAAAGGAGCAGAAAACTGATTTGCGTAATCAGCTGTCCTTTTCAAAAACGTCTCTAATACAGGACCACACCTGGGAGTTACAGAACAAATCTTGTAACTGGAGCATTCTTCCAAGTCTGCATCAAACTCTTGACTGAATTAAGGTTCAAAATCCTAAATTCCCACCTTGAAAGAATGACTCTAAGAAGGGACTGCCAAACAATACCAGCAACGAAAACTTTCCTGAAAGTGGCATTTAGGATTGTCCCCAGGCTTCCATACCCAATTAAATAAACTCAGGAGTACGGTAGAGTTGAGCACTGTGAAACCAGCTGGCCTTTCTCCCTGGGCATTGCTCATTGGTAATGCAAGAGCTCCTCCACCTGGTGGTCAACATGCTTAGGAAATATTCTGGATTTTACTTTCCATATTTAATAGGCCAGTGTACATATGTAAAACAAACACCCTAACATATTTAAAATCTTCTCTCCATTCCTGGGACATTGTCAAACTACACCAATTCCCCCAGATACCCTTTGTGCCAAACGAGTCCACTGGCTCTCAGACAAGTCTTACACCTTCTCCCCCTGGGGCTTTTGGTTTATGCTATCCCGTGGCCTGAAATGCCCTCCTGTCTGCTCTCTACCATTCCTAAGTCTGTTTATAATTCATTACGATCTCTGCCCTTCTCTAAACTCAGCAGTATTGTTTACACTTCTACTTTAACAAGCAACTTTCCACTACGGCAGACACTGTTCCACCTATCCCCTTCTTTTCAATTATATTCCAAACTTCTCGACAGGAAGGGGTATCTCTTATCCTCAAAGTCCCCCAAACACCTAGCATCTCCAGTGAAATATATGCCAAATACATGCTTGTTGATGGCATCACGAGGACCAAAATGGGGCACGACTCCAACACTTAGGCTTTGTTTTCTCAGATTCCTTAAAAACTGCCGACACTCCCATCCCTTCCCCTCATCTGAGCCCGACATCCTCTCCAGCTTTCACTCAGCCACTGTCTGCTCTTCCTTCTGTGGCTTTACACTTATTATTGTAGGTTCCTTCCTTCCTTCAACCAGCCTGTAACCTAACAGACTTTGCAATACCAAGAAACGTTTTCTATTAAGGCTGCATACATTCAATGGAAAAGAACTGAGCCAACAATGGAAAAGAGCCAACAATGGAAAGTATACTTTTTTTTTTTAGAGAAGTAAAAGTATACACCATAAAACTATATTCATTTGGTAAGTCAACTGTATTTCAAAAACATTTACTTCAGTTCAAATATTCTGGCCATATTTTCAGAGTGGGGAATAAAACAGGAATACAGTAAGAATGGAGGAGATAAAAGGGAGAGAAAAGTAAAAAGATATCACTGGAAAAGGAAAGAAAAACATGTGATGGGAGAAGTGAGTTGACAAAGCAAAAATAAAGGCTAAGTGTTCTCTGTCTCAGAAGCTGCAATATCCACTTGGCACGAATCACATCTACATTCCGACTAGTCACTCTGTGATCCTCAAGTTGTGAAATCTGTAACCTCAGGCCCTAGAATGACACGCTGGAAGGTGGAATAAATTGAGCCAGCACCTAATATCTGTGGCAGTAGTTGATGGAACACATTTTTGGTGAAAACAAATGCTAACAGAATGCAAACTCAGTTGTTCAACAAATACTCAAGTGCTGCTCATCCATCACTGCCAGTGCTGGAGACAGAAGGGAAGATGAACTAGTCACTCCCATCCTTTCGAATCCTCTTCTGTCTTTCCCAGCCATGCTGTGTGCCAGGGAGGTTGGCCGCCAATGCCTGTTGCACCTGAGCTCTCTTGCTTTGGCGAATTGGGGCTCTATCAGGTCAGAGGCTGGGAAGGAAGGTCAGGGAATTCACTTCCTATGCCCTTTCCCTGCCTTGCTCCAGCTGACCTTCTGTATCCATCCTGTGGGGCAGCCCCAGTAACACTGGCCCCTCGCCTTGCCCTTTCAAGCCTCAGATGAGAATGGCTACTGTCTACCTAGTTTCTAAGTACTTCCTCAGCCCTTGTTTCCTGCAAAAATAGTTTTCACTAGCTTCTCTTAAGTCATTTTCAGTTTTCTAATAGGACTGTGCCTAATTTAGAAGAGAATGGAAAGAGATCTAAGAAAGTGATTGTTCTCAACTAGAAAATAAGTTTCTAATAAGTTAAGAAGCAAAATGTTAAATTCATCAGTAAGACCAATCTGTTAAGAGACTATCCTGACCTGGCTGCATTTTACAAAGGAAACCACAGTACCATTCATGAATCTGGAGATTTGTAAAAGTCTCAGGATATGTTCAGGAATACTGTAGTGCTTTAGAATAAGGTACATGTTTATATATTAACTCATTTACAACCTGAAAAAGTACTATTTCTAATCACATTTCACAAATGAGGAAAATAAGACACTGAGGAGTCACCCTAGTAAGTGACAGAATCAGAATTTGAACTCCGGAAGCAAGGACCCAGAGCTTAAACTCCCGCATGGTACGCTATATAGCCTTTCCTGGGTCTACTGAACTGCTTGCCAGGAATTCTCAATCTCATGGAATTCAGTGAGAGGCGGCTCCGGGAAGGAATAAAACTACGGACCCGACGGTGCACAAGAGAATGCTTGCTGAACGAGTAAGGAGTTCCCAAGCCCAGTCCTGCCAATCAACCCGCTGTAAAACACTGGGAAAAGGCACATGGCCTGTGACCGCCCCACCACAATCACAAGGCTGAATCACGAGGATACTATGGAAGTCCACTATAACGCTAATTCCTCAGGGCTTATATGAAGAGGTTTCTGGTGCTACTTTCTGAAACTGCCCCTGCTGTACCTGTGCAATCTTCTTCCACACTCCTCCCTTCCCATCTATCTGCCTGCCTTAGGACTCTGCTCATTTCATTCACATTTAAAGTAGCTGCCTCCTGTTCTGTCACTTACATTGTTATGTTTTATGCTGCTAAGAATTTTACCATTCCAAGGGAATTATGTGCATTTCAGAAACAATCTCTGCTGTCTGCTGCCCTGTAAAGCTGATATCCCTTAGCAGAGTGATGAACAGTTATTAAAAAAATTCCTGCTCACTGACTTCCTCCACAGCAGGAAGGCATACAGTGAAGGTGGATATTAACTATGGAAGTAAGGGTAACAATAAGAAATAACAGTACATGACAACATAAAACAAGATTATATAATTTTATAAAGAGTGAACCAGGAGGACTGGAAGCAAATGCTAGGGGTGAGAGACTGTAGAGAGGCAGGGAATGAGATTTTATTGTGGGATCAGTGCTCTGTCACACCAGGCTTGTAATCTTTCAAAGCAATTAAAAACACATTTGAGCATCTATGTATTAAACTGATAAATTATAAAATCCAGAAGCTTAAGACAACACCTATCAAAGGCTGAGGCTGACAAAATTCAAAGAGCAGTCTCTATTTTCACATCTCTACAAACCCATACCTTAAACTTATTAGAATATTACAAGATCTCGTTTTAATAGCAAAAAAAACTCTTAAAACTGACGAGCAATTTCTGTCTAGAATTAAGAAACAACAAAAGCACAGCAGCCAATGTAATCTCAAGCAACAAAAAATGAAGAAGCATGATTAGGGCAAATCTAAAAAATTCTGAAAACTGCTCTTTTCACCTATCAAAAATATCTACTTAAACACACACCACTGATTTATTACTTCAACACTGCAGCACTTAGGGACTAAGTCTCATCTAATTTCATTTTTAACCACAAAGAAACACTACCTCTAAGTGCTTCCATAATTGGCTGGACCGTCTCAGACCACTGGTGAGCGTTGATGGTTGTATAGATCCCAGGGAAATCTCTCTGCCAGATTCTTTGTCCTACTGACCAAATTCCCCCAAGTTCAGAATTTGCCTGCAATAAATATTATTGCCTTAGAGGGTATTCACTCTGTAAATGCACCAATGATTGTATCTTAAAACAAAATACCAGAAATGATATAAAAACTTGTTAGCTACATCATTAAAACCTAATTCAACATTTATTTTAAAAGATGCAATTACTTTTTCAGCCCAATCACTATCAAAAGGTTTTTAAACACTATGAGCAGTAAGGTAAAATTTATCTGTAGGGCTGATATAAATTTATTACAATAGCAAATTAAGGCATGAGAAAGTAGTCAAAAAACATTTCAGAATTAAGCCTGGGGACTAATTAGCTTAAGGATTGTTTTTAAAGATGTTGTATTTGTATTTCATAGATATATTATGAATATATATTTAGGTCAAAAGTAATAGCAAAATGGTTAACAATAGAGACTCTCAATCTAAGATGTCATACATTGTAGCCTCTCTAAGGATTGAGTTTCCACTAACGCCATTGAAACTTATGTGCATGATTTATAGTACTTCTTTATTTAGCCAAAGAAGCTGAGGAATATTCCAATCTTACTTAACAGAACAGAATGTATGAGGGAAAAAAAAAGAGTAAAAATACTAATCCGATCTCTTGATGAATATCAATAAACAAAAGTTTAGATGAATTCTTGGTAATATCCCGAGAATGTTAAAAATTTCACTTGACACTCATGTTAGACACATGGAATCATTTGACATTAAAATTTTACTTCATTCCACTTTGGAAGAACCTTTTCACAGGCTATTTCTTCTAATCTCCCAACCAAAATAAGAAATTTAAAATCCTAATTAACAAAAATAATCTTATTGCTGTCAATCATTCTTAGAGTATTCTTGTAAACGATGGCAGTTTCAAAATAAGTACCATTATAGGAAGCAACATAAACCAGCTGAAAATCACCTCAGCTGCCTCCGCCACCTCCAGGAGCTTCCTTCATCTAAACTGGCTCAGCTGTTTAACTAGGGAAGCTGCACATAAAAGCGTCTCAAGAAATCTAATCAGTAGGAACTGAGCAGAAATTCTACACCATCCCAGCAAAATTCAAATTTCTGATTAGAGGACTCTGAAGATTTATTTCGAATCCTTAATACCAATCTGATGACTATTACTAGGACGTCAGATAGAAAACATAAGCTTATAAAAGGTTGCCATTTAAGGGAATGTCATTACATTAAAGCAGTAAAATAGGTTTAAAGGATACTTACAGATTTTATAGCAGGTGGTATTCTTTTCCAAAGATATCTTGCATTATTCCTAATTTACGCCACCACAAAGAAGAATAATCAATTAAAAACATAATCATCTCAGGAAATGTTAAAAACTACCAGGTCCCAAGCCAAACATACAGAAGTATACTTCACATAACACAAAGTAAAATTTAGTTTTATATGAATTTGTTTTGGGGAAACAATAGTGGTTTTCCAGATAAAAAGGACATGAAATATTTTTACCAAAGTAATATTTTGCCATTTCTAGTGAATTTTTTAAAAATAATAATCCATATCCTAAATTTAGGCAACAGCACACTAAAAACACGAGGATTTATAGACGGCCCAAATTATTTATTAGGATATAAAAGTAAACAAATTTATGTACTATCAAGGCTGTAGCATTCCCTGACAATAAGCCTGGTACACAACACTTCTCTCCCGATTACAGCCCCTCCTACCAGTGGGACACAGCTTCTGAGGCAGGAGTTTTTATGGGTTTGGAGGCTTGAACTACAACAAACATATAATGACAGTTTTACAAAACAAAAACAAAAACCTTACATATGTGTAATAAAAATTTCAATTTAGTTTTTAAAAAGATATAAAAGAAAGGTTTTGGAAGAGTTTAAAATAAAATGTTATCAGGAATCATCAGTGAGTCACAGAACTATAGGAGACTTTTTTTTTTTTTTTTTGCAGTTATGCTTTCCTTTTGAGACAGGGTCTCACTTTGGTTGCTCAGGCTAGAGTGCAGTCGCGCAATCTTAGCTCACTGCAGCCTTGACTTTCTGGGCTCAGGTGATTCTCCCCACCTCAGCCTCCCAGGTAGCTGGGATTAGAGGCACACGCAACCATGCCCAGCTAATTTTTTGTATTTTTAGGACAGACGGGGTTTCACTATATTCCCCAGGCTGGTATCAAAACTCCTGGACTCAAGCCATCCACTTGCCTTGGCCTCCCAGAGTGCTGGGATTACAGGCGTGTGCCACGGCGCCCGGCCTAGAGTAGTTATGCTTTCTGACTTTTCCATGTGAACGTGAAATAGGAATAATTAAAAACAAAAAAAACTTAAAAAATCTCATACATGTTTGTAACGAATTCCTCTTGGCTGCAATCTTCTCTTTTCACTTCTTTTGTTTTATTGATTATATATGAAGTTAAGTAAATAGAGGTCATAAAAGTTTCTTAAAAAGACAAAAAGGTTAAATGAATTTACTGACGTAATTTGTCATAATAAATTGAAATGTTTTCTAGAAAGTATATGTAAGACAATGACGACCTAATCATAATTCATTAACCTATGATTCAATAGGAAATAGACGTTAACAATTACTGTAATAAAAAAGGTAGCTCGTTGTGCCTATGTTTAGTGGTGCTACTTCAGTGCAGAAATATTTCCATATAACTTTGAGAAACCTGTTGCTCTTAGCTTTAGGTTAAACATACTTACATGTCATTATGGAGCAAATATAAAGCTAGAAGCTGACCATACACTGGGGGTGTAGCAATTCCTCCAGGGGCCTAGAAGGCCAAAAATGAAAACAAAACAAAACAACACAAAATTTTAAAAACCTCATTTACCCTTTAACTTTCATTTTTAAAATAATATTTTATAAATGCTAATTTTAAAAGTAAGCCTTTTTAGTCTAAGACTATAAGTAATCTTATAGTCCTATTATAGATTTAGAAACAGCTTAGAGAAGTATCAAACACGAAAATTCTGAGTATTAAGTTTATATTCGTCATCAGCTTTGATTTATCTCCCTTTGGGCTTCAGTTTCTTTATACATTCAAGAATATGTAAGTGGATCCCCTTCCCCAGTTCTCAAATTCCCATTTAAATGATCTTACTATTATAAGAAACAAATTCGACAGATTCCTGAAGCATTCTGATTCTGCCCATTACATCAAGCGTCCTGAATAAGAGACAGAAAATCACCACAGCTGCGTTGCAAAGACAATTCTTTCCATTTTAACTCAACTGGAAAGTATCTATTATCTATTAGTGAGCTGCTGCTTCTGGATGTTGTCTCCTTTATTTAATTTTAAAACTAATGATATAAACCCTTTTTAAGTGTCTAAGAAAAACATTAACTTTAACAGCTGCATAACTTTCATCTGTCTTACTGAAGACAAAATGGCAAGCTAACTTGACAACATTACGAGAAAGGCTTTGTGAGTTAAAAAAAGGTTACAATGGTCACATTTTTCTTGGTGTGCGTGTGAGTTGCGGTGTGTGTGTTAGTGTGTGTGTGTATACCAAGATCTTTAATAAAACCCACTTTACTACCCTCTCCCAACCCGATACTGGGAAGGAAAGATGCCTAATTAATATGAGCTCATCGGTAGGTGCTGGAGCAAAGACGCACAGGGTTTTCGGGCTCACAAGCTGAAGACACATAACAAAAAGGTCCCGGCGAGTTCGGGGAGACCGGGCCCGGTCGGAGCAGGTTGCGGCGGTCAGGGATCCACACGTCCACCTCCCACGCCCGCCCCGTGAGCTCCCAAAGCCCGCTAGCCTCAGACCCCGTTACCCTGGAAACTGGTGCCGCCCCAGGGCCTAAGACTACTCCGCAGTTTCTCCCAGCGCGACGCAAAGGGTTACCTCGAGCTCCTGGTTCTCGCACTGATCCAGCAACTTTTTGAAACTAAAGGCGCTTTCCGCCATCACCGCCACTGGCATCTTCGCGGCCGGCCTCGCCGCTGCACCGTCCGGACAGCCAAACCCCAGACTGTCCCTCAGGCGTCGCGCCCGCGATGACGTTTAAAGCCGCCGTTGCCGCCGAGCGCCCCTGCGTACCAGACCGTCAGTTCCGGGGCGCCGTCAGACATCGCTGCGGCCGGGATAGGGCGCCGCCGTTCTGGCCGGCTTTCTCGGTGCCCTGGAGGACCTGGCCGGCTCCGCGGGAAGCTGTACTCAGAGCGCGCGGCCGCCCTCTGGCAGGGAGGAGTTCGTTGCACTTTTGAGGGTTCTTCACGAAGACATCCAATACATAGAAAACAAGTAACAGCAACAGTAACGAATTTTTAAATATTAAAATTGCTGGGGAACACGACGGATCCTGCAGCTGCTCGGCTGTCCCGGTCGTCAGTGACGCTAGGGCTCCGCACCGTACCCTGCATACCGTAGGTGCTCACGAAACGTTCGTGAGTTCCCTGCTCTGAGGAAACAAGCTTAAAAACTCAGAATCTAAGGTGTGAGTCTCCGCAAACCTGCTTGTTGGGCAGCGTCCCCCGCCCGGGCTAGCCCTGCACGCCCCACCCCGGAGCCACGCTTCTCCAGCCGGGACCCCTGCCTCCTTCCAGGCTATTCTCGGAACCGCAGCCAGAGGGAATTTTTTTTTCCTTTCCTGAAACGTAGAGCAGATCTGGTTACTCTTCTGCACAACGCCCTAAAATCTAGGGCCCTTCCCATCCCTCAGAATTTACATCTAATTCTCAGCTCCCCTCCGGCTTGCTGTAGCCATCCTGGCTTTTGTTTAGCACAGCACTTACTGTTAGTGACATTATATTGTATATTATTAACATATTTGTGTTTTACATCCCTCACTAGACCCCCAGGAAAGAGGCTTTGATGTGTTGCCTGCTGCAAGGCTGGCTGCATAATTTGTGGAGCTCAGAGAAAAGTGCGGAGCTTCCTTGTTCAAAAAACAGAAAGAAAGTGCCTCTGAGGTCATAAAATATAAAACTTTCTCTTTCCTCTCAGTTTCTCTCTTTTCATAGTGTTTTTATGTGTTATTTAATATCATTCCAAGAAAAATTTAGATTTAAATTGTTAGCATGAAGTTCACCATCCATCTTTACGTTGTGCAATGCCAGTTTTAAATACTAATATAAGTGCACTGATCTCATATGTGGAATCACAGAAATTATGCAATTTGTACTTCATAGCTTATACATGCATATAGATTTTGTTTTTACCAGAACCACGCTGGTAAAAACAGATGCTGCACAAAGTGAACTTGCCCGTTTTCATCGCACTTTACGTGCACGAATTCTACCTCTACTCTCGACCTGGGACTCACCGATGCGTAAGGAAGGACTGAAAAGCAAAAGAACTATGGACTGGCCTTTTGGCATGATCAGGTGTCTAATATAAAGAAGTGCATGAATAAGAAAATATATGATATGAGTGATGGTTAATACTGACTGTCAACTTGATTGGATTGAAGGATGCAAAGTATTGATCCTGGGTGTGTCTGTGAGGGTGTTGCCAAAGGAGATTAACATTTGAGTCAGTGGGCTGGGAAAGTTCGACCCACTGTTAATCTAGATGGACACCATCTAATCAGATGCCAGTGCAGCTAGAAATGTAAAGCAGACAGAAAAATGCGAAAAGAGAGACTGGCCTAGCCTGCCAGCCTACATCTTTCTCCCA
Organism: Homo sapiens; assembly: GCF_000001405.40. Taxonomy (NCBI): domain Eukaryota; kingdom Metazoa; phylum Chordata; class Mammalia; order Primates; family Hominidae; genus Homo; species Homo sapiens. Next base: position 237,084,269 of record NC_000002.12, on the reverse strand, counting down.
CGCTGGATGCTTCCTGCCCTCGAACATCAGACTCCAAGTTCTTCAGTTTGGGACTTGGACTGGCTCTCCTTGTTCCTCAGCTTGAAGACTGCCCATTGTGGGACTTGTGATCATGTGAGTTAATACTTAATAAACTCCTCTCTCTCTCTCTATATATATATATATAAATATATATATCCTATTAGTTCTGTCCCTCTAGAGAACCATGACTCATACAATATGGTTTCTTCATGCTTCTTAAGACACCATTGCCTTCTTTCTGCCTTCGAAACAAGTTTACTCTCTTAAGGGGAAAAGTGCGGCCTTTTGGGGTGTCAGCACCCAGCTCCCTCAGTTGTAGATACAGCACGAGTACCTTGTGCTCACTTTGAGTCTTGCTGGCCTCGCAACATCAGGGGTCCACAGGGAATTCAGTGTGCATGGTGCATTATGAATGCTGTATGGAACATCAGTGGCCACACGTAGAGGCCCGTTTCCCTGGCTCATGCTCCATTGTCTTAATGGACCTCACTTACAAACCACAAGTTTACAGATAAAATTATTAAGCATTTCAAGACAGAGACAGCCATCCTTGATTTTTTTTTTTTTTTTGGCGTAATCCACAACATCTCTGTGTGGAAATGATTGTTTAGTAATTCCCTGAATGAAATGTAAAGAAAAAAAAAAACACTTGTGTGTTCCTCAAGGAACTGCCAACATTAAATAGAAGGGCACATAAGTAGTTAGCAGAACTAGAGAGATCTTGGAGTAATAAAGCAACAGAGTTTCATCCACGGCTGCAAGGAAGAGAAGGACTGAGGGCAGTATGATTCTAAGATCACTTGACAGAACTATGAGGAGCAGGATTTTGAAGCTTGTAATAATGGTCTCTAACCCTTTTCGGGCAAAGAAATATTCAATAGAAGCCCTGCTTGGCTATTTGATCATTTAAAGGGAAAACTATAATGTGAACGCTTTGGCAGGTGCTTTGGGCCTCTAAGAGGTGGAAACCTACAAAGGTGGCTGTTTGCTGAATAGGAAATCCCGGTGAGGCTTTTGATACATATCACAGGTTAGAGGTGGAGATGGGGTGTCACTTAAAGGACTAAGCTGTTCTTTGGAAGGCCAGTACAGGAATTTGGGAGTTGGAGCCTGGATGCCAGAGAGGGTAGGAGGAGAGTCCTTGGGGGGCAGAGAGGAGTCTCTGGGAGCAGTTGGGGTCTAAGGTGAGACCCTGGCCTGGACACTGGGAACTCCAAGTGGCAGTGAAGCACTGAAGCGTCTTCAGGGCTGTGATGGTTGACATTCAGTTTTAAGTTGTCACTGTACTGTGCTGGAGCCACCTTTCCCCCCAGACTTTTGATAGTAAATGAGAGAAGTGAAGGGGGACAGGAAAGAGCAGTGTGGTGTAAAAGGCTGTCATCTCCGGAGGTGCGACTCAGAAGAGGGATCGAGACTGGGAAGAAGCAAGAAAGTCAATGAGAGGCACCCACAAGGACCCTCTGTTCCTGGAGATGCTGGCTTTGGAGTGGGAAGGACTGCGTTTCTCTCTGCTCTTGCAACGAGGGATGGGGTCAGCGTGCTGAAGGGAATCATGCACTCCGGAGGCTATAGGATGGGGGTCTCAGACCCATTACCACACCTGGTCTTCTCCTTGTGCAAACTGGCCCTTGTCCCATAACTCTTCTCTGGGAGAAGCACAGTGATTGAGGAGGTTGGAAATTGTACTAGGATGGCTGATGCAGTTTGGATGTTTGTCCCCTCCAAATCTCGTGTTGAAATGTGATCCCCAGTGTTGGAGGAGGACCTCATGGGAGGTGATTGGATCATGGAGATGGATCTTTCACGAATGGCTTAATGCCATCCACTTGGTGATGAGTGAGTTTTCACTCTAGCAGTTCACGTGATATCTGGTTGTTTAAAAGAGCACGATATCTCCTCCCTCTGTCTTGTTCCCTGTCTTGCCATGTGGCATGCCTGCTCCCCCTTCACCTTCTACCATAATTGGAAATTTACTGAGGTTTCCCAGAAGCAGAAGCCGGCACTATGCCTCCTGTACAGCCAACAGAATCATGAGCCAAAATAGACCTGTTTTCTCCATAAATTACCCAGTCTCAAGTATTTCTTTATAGTAACGCAAAAATGGACTAGCACAATGGCTAATTCAAAACTCTGAAATTTGACGTTTTTTGGTCCTATTTTCTGCCCTTTCAAAGTCTTCTTCTCCATTTGCTCCTGGGAACTATAGAGTCATTTATTATGAATAAGGTCCCTGAAGAAGTGATGTCACAAGGGCCTCAGGTGTGCTCCCGCCAGTTTCACACTGGTTGCCCATTTGCTTCGGGATCACAGTTTCCATGGCTGGGTCTAGGACCACATGATCTGTCTGATTCATGTCGTGAAGAAACCACAGCAAGCATTCATCAAGTGGCCCATCTCCCTTCCTGGGGCTCTTTGGCCCATGAACCTGCTCTTGAAGCTCTGGGATGTGGATGAGTCGGCCAGTGTGGGAGAAAGAGTGGGAGAGGAGAACGGATGATGAGCCCGGGTCACCTCTGTGCCCACAACACTCCCATTGTGTCGGTCTGGATTGTAGCAGGAAACATATGGAATACTCAGTGTATTCATCTGTTTTCACACTGCTGTAAAGAAATACCCAAGACTGGGTAATTTATAAAGGAAAGACGTTTGATTGACTCACAGTTCAACATGGCTGAGGAGGCCTCAGGAAACTTACAATCATGGCAGAAGGGGAATCAGGTACATCTTACATGGAGGCAGGTGAGAGAAGAGCAAAGGAGGAATTCTCAAACACTTATAAAACCGTCAGATCTCGGCCGGGCGCGGTGGCTCACGCCTGTAATCCCAGCACTTTGGGAGGCCAAGGTGGGCGGATCATGAGGTCAGGAGATCGAGACCATCCTGGCTAACATGATGAAATCCAAAAAAATACAAAATTGGCTGGGTGTGGTGGCACACACCTGTAGTCCCAGCTACTCAGGAGGCTGAGGCAGGAGAATCCCTGGAACCTGGGAGGTGGAGGTTGCAGTGAGCCAAGATCGCACCACTGCACTCCAGCCTGGGCAACAGAGTGAGACTCCATCTCAAAAACAAACACACACACACACAGAAAAACCCCGAAACCGTCAGATCTCATAAGAACTCACTATCATGAGAACAGCATGGGAGGAACTGCCCCCGTGATCCAATCACCTCCCTCCCTTGACACATGGGGATTACAATTCGAGATGAGATTTGGGTGGGGACACAGAGCCAAACCATATCTCAGATTGGGCAATTTGAGGAAAATTTAATAAAATGGCTATTTACAAAGGTATTGGCAAGATACTGGAAAACTACAAAGGATAGTACCCCAGGGCTCACAATAGTTGACATCATTACCACCCCTAGAGTTTAAAAAGTGCACGAAGGGGAGTTCCACTTCTGTGGAGACACTTCCCACTGAAACAACCATAGCTGGAGAAAATTTCTAAGAAAACTTAAAAGTTTCTGGAAATTATCTTAAAGGTATATAAAAAATGAAAAAAAAATTTATTCAATAAAATCTATCACAACTTGGTAAGAACAGAGAGAGTGTGTGGCATTTGAGCCATAATCTGCTCTTTCCAGCCCCGCACCTAGCTCAGCTTCATAGAAGCTCCACTGTGGGTGGATGTGGTCAAGAAGATGGGGCTCACTCTCCCTTCCTCTATCAAACAAGGGATAAGGTGTCTCACAAGAAGGCGAAGGTTGCAAGCATTTCTCATCCACTCCAACTCCAAGTTTAACGCTAAATTCTAGCTAACTGTGGCCAAGAGGCAGGAGGCTCCCTTCCTCCACCAAGCTCCCACTCATGGATGGAGACTATACACTAGGCATAACAGGTCTGGAATACAGGGGTCCTAATTGCCCTCACTCCAGCTTGCTTTCTGGGGTAAACATATATTCTGTGTCCAGTAGAAAAGCTGAGAAGATCAGAGGCTACCATTCCTGCCATGTGCCAGAGTAATGGCTCTGGCATCCAAAAACCAATCAGTGTAATAAGCCATATCAACAGAATAATGGATCAAAACACACGTTCATCTCAATAGATGCAGAATACATATATAAAACAAAATCCAACCTCCTTTTATAATAAAAACACTTACTGAACTAGGGAGAGAAGGGAACGTCTTCAAACTGACAAAAGACACCTATATAAAACCTGCAGTTAACATTACATTTAATGGTCAATGACTGATGGCTTTTCTCTATGATCAGGAGGAAGACAAGAATGTCAGCTTTTGCCATTTTTATTTAACAGTGTACTACAGGTTCTATCCAGTGCAATTAGGGAAGAAAAATAAATGGAAAGCATCCAAATTGGAAAGGAAGTAGTAAAGCTATATCTATTAAAGATGACATGATCTTGTATATAAGAAATTCATCAAAAAAGAAAAAAAAACAGGTAGAACTAATTGTGAAAGGAAAATAAATCTTGGTATCCTAAACTTACTAAGCCAAAGGGAAAAGTCAGGCTGGGAAGTGGGTCATGCAAGCCTGCCTCCCATTTTGGTTCCTAAATAAGATGGCTACACACGTGAAAAGCTACACACCTCCCCTGTGGGCCCCAAGATCTTTACCCTAAAGCATTTATGTTAAAGTTCACCATGGCAATGTAAATTAATAGCTTATCTTCACAGGTGCGGGGACATAGGGCATAACTCAAAGCGATCCCTCTGCCCACCTGAAACAAATGCATATCTGATTTTTTCCTCTCCCCTATCCTCTGTGTTATCTTAAGTAAAAATGCATATTCACAGAGCCAAAGACACGAATGACTCTTTTCCTCCCCCGCAACATGAAAATTGTGCATTTCTCAATATCCCACACTTTCCCCTTTAAACATTGAAGCTCTCAAAATCATCTCTCGAAAAAGGCATAGACATGTCTCCCAGGCACACCCTTAACTTTGGCAAATACACCTCCTTAAAATGATTGAGACTTGCTTTGGTCATTTTCCTTGATTGACATAGTATTGGGTCCAGCGAGGTTGCAGGATACAAAATCAACATGCAAATATCAATTTTATTTCTGTATATTAGCAATGAATAAGCCAAATATGAAATTAAGAAAACAATTTCACCTGTTATATTAGTCCATTCTCACACTACTATTAATATAAAGAACTACCCAAAACTGGGTAATTTATAAAGAGGTTTAAATGACTTAGTTCTGCACACCTGGGAGACCTCAGGAAACTTACAATCATGGTGGAAGGTGAAAAGGAAGCGCAGACCTTCACACGGCAGCGGGAAAGAGACAGCAAGAGCAAGAGCAGGGAAAACTGCCTCTAAAACCATCAGATGGCTGGGCACAGTGGCTCACACCTGTAATCCCAGCACTTTGGGAGGCTGAGGCCGGCAGATCACCTGAGGTCAGGAGTTCGAGAAAATCCTGGCCAACATGGCGAAACCCCTGTCTCTACTAAAAATACAAAAAAAATTAGCTGGGCGTGGTGGCACACGCCCGTATTCCCAGCTACTCGGGAGGCTGAGGCACCAGAATCACTTGAACCCGCGAGGCAGAGGTTGCAGTGCACTCCAGCCTGGGCAACAGAGTGAGACTCCTCAAAAAACAAACAAATAAAACAACAGCAAAAGAAAAACCATCAGATACCTTGAGAACTCACTCACTATCACAAGAACAGCATGGAGGTAACTGCCCCCATGATTCAGTTACCTCCCCCCAGGTCCCTCCCATGACACATGGGGATAATGGGAACTACAACTGAAGATGAGATTTGGGTGGGGAACACAGCCAAACCATATCACCTGTAATAGTATGAAAAAGAATAAAATACTTAGAAATAAATATAATAAAAGAAGTGTAAAACTTAAACTCTGAAAACTACTCAACAATGTTGAAGAAAATTAAAGACCTAGGTAAATGGAAGACATCCCTTGTTCATGGATTGGGAGACTTTATATTATGATTGCAATACTAAAATTCACAAGCTGATCCTAAAATTCATATACAAACTTAAGGAATGCAGAATACCCCAAAACAGTCTTGAAAACAAAGAACTATGAGGATTCATACTTTCTGATATCAAAACCTACTGTTAAGCTACAATAATAAACATTAGATAGACATTTCGGTAAATGGATAATAAGAGTAGACATAAAGATCAATTAAATAGAATTGAGGATGCAGAAATGAGCCCTTGCATTGATAGTCAATTGATTTTCAACCAGGGTATCAAGACCATTCAGTGGGGGAAAGAACAGTCTTCTCAACAAATGATGGTTGAACAACTGTATAGCTACATGCAGAAAAATGAAGTTGGACCTCTATCTCAGACCACCTACAAAAATTAACTCAAAATAGATCTAAGACGTAAGTGTGAGAGCTAAAACTATAGAAAAAAATAGGATAAATCTTTATGTCCAGGCATTGGGCACTGATTTCTTAGATATGACACCAAAAGCACAAGGAACAAAAGAAAAAAATCGATAAATTGGACATTATCATAATTAAACTTTTGTTCTTCGAAAGACACCATCAAAAAGTGAAAAGAACCAAGAATTGAAGAATATTTTTACAAGTCACATGCCAGATAAAAGACTTGAATTTAAAATATATTGATAATTCTTAAAACTCAAAAATAAAAAGGCAAATAACCTGATGTTAAGATGGAGTAAGGATTTGCTCAGATGTCTCTCCAAAGAAGACAGATGTTCAAAACACACGTGAAAAGATGTTCTACGTCATTAGTCATCAGGCAAATGCAAATCAAAATCACAGTGTGATAGCACTTCACACCTACTTGGGTGGTTATAATAAAAAGGCAGCAGCAAGTGTTGGTGAGGATTTGGAGAAACTAGAGCCCTTATGCCCTGCTGAAGGACTATACCATGGTGCTGCTTTGGAAAACAGTCTGGTAACTCCTCAGAAGTTTTCATAGAGTTGCCATATGTCCACTCGTAGGTGTATTCTGTAGGTATATTCCACTTTCATTCCAAGAGAAAGGAAAACGTATATCCCCACAAATGCTTGTAAGTGAATGTTCATAGCAAGCTTAATTCATAATAGCCAACAAGAAGAAAAAAACCAAATGTTCATCAACTGGCGATTGAATAAATAAAATGTGGTATATCGATGCAACAAAATATTATTCACCCGTAATGAGTAATGCTGTGCTGATACATTCTACAATATTGTTAAATCTTGAAAACATATATTAAGTGAAAGAAGATAGATGCACAAAGCCCGTATTGTATGATTTTATTTACATGAAGTGTCCAGGATAGCAAGTCCATAGAGAGAAGCAGATTGGTGGTTGCCATGGGCTGGGATGTTTGGGGGAAATAGGAAATTACTGCTAATGGATCTGGGGTTTCTTTTTGGGGTGATGAAAATATTATTATTGTTTTACAGTCTCACTCTGTTGCCCAGGCTGGAGTGCAGTGGCACTATCTCAGCTCACTGCAACCTCCACCTCCCTGGTTCAAGTGATTCTCGTGGCTCAGCCTCCCAAGTAGCTGGGATTATAGGCATGCACCACCATGCCTGGCTAATTTTTTGTATTTTTAGTAGAGACAGGGTTTCACGATGTTGCCCAGGCTGATCTGTAACTCCTGAGCTCAGGCAATCCGCCCACCTCAGCCTCCTAAAGTGATGAAAATATTTTAAACTTCTATTGTGGTGATGTTTGTACAATTGGAAGCTTTCAGTGGGTGAATTTTTGTAAGACAATTGGAGGGAATATTTAGTAGAGCCCAGCAAAGACTGCTTGGCTGGGACTCTGATCTTTCACTGAAGGGCCAGCCAGGCAGTGAGGGAGTGAGGAATCAATACTCAGAGGACCTTCCTACCATCTCTCCCTCTGACCTCCTGCGGGGGATCCCCATTGGCTGAGCCCAGCCGGAAGCCGAGGGCAGGAAGTCTGCAGCAGTTGCTTATACGGCTGGCCTTCTGAGGCATAATGGGGAGGAGAGCATGGAGAGTGGATGGGAGGGACAAATGGAAGACACTCAGCGCACCTAGTCTGGTGACTGTGTGGTTGGGGCCCCAGTGATGGTAGAGTGGCCTCTGTGCTGCAGGGCATGTGTCACCAAGCCCCGGAAGCCCCAGGCAGGAAGGTCACCTACAGAAGAGAGGAATGTGACATTAGCCCCTGCCAAACCCACAAGAAGAAAAGTAAACACAGATCATTTGCAGCCATGAAGTGTATCAGGTTTAGAGTCCAGCCAGGCAGGCAGGCAAGAGGTGGAGAGTTCATGGATATCAGTGAGAAAGATTTCCAGATGGTTCACCTGGCTGGAGGCCGCAGGACCTGAGGCTAGAAGATGGGCCCCAGGCGATGACGATGGCTCTGCCAAAAAGGGTCTGTGTCAGAGTTGCTGGAAAGCAGCTGCAGAAATAGGCCAGCCCTGAGCCAGCCCTCCTTGTGGCCAGGAGTCCTGGGCTTTCTGCTTAGGGTGGAAACCAACCCTGCCCCACAGCATGAGTGGCTGCCTCTTGGAGCAGGGGTCACTGGGGTGAGAACAGATAGGGAAAGAATGGGATGCATTTATTATTATTATTATTCCTGAGGCATTGAACATTCAGCAGACTAGAGGAGATTACTAATTCTGATGAGTTGTCCTCTGGAGGAACTGGAGTTTGGGGGATGCTGCCATTGGACCATTGCCATTGGACATTGATGTCCATGACCAGCGAATTTTCCAATGGATCTCTTGGCAATGTCATCCCCAGTGGCAGTAGATGCTACCCGTTTGGAAAGCCAGGTAACAATACACAATGAGGGCAATGAAACAGACTTAGCCTTGGACTTAGTGTTCTGGCTCTGGGAAGTTATCCTGAGGAAGTTATTAAAAAGAGGAAATAAGCTACAGCTAAAAATGGGACAGCAGCATAAAGTACAATAGCTATTAAATTCATAAATATGAAGTCTATGTAAAAGTAGTGTTTCTGAAATAACTTTGAAAAAACATGAAAAATAATATTGTGTATACCTCTTGGTTATTATATATCATAACCCAGACTAGATTTTTGGGGAAATGTTGAAAGGAAACATGCAAATGAACATTACGATAAGCTTAAAGAGCTAGATTATGGGTGAAAAGTATCTCCTTACAATATTATAAAATCAATGAAGATTTTGTTCTTCTAATCTTAGACAACTTTAACATTTCAAACTTTAAAAATAGGGCACTTTTCTTTCTTTTTTTTCTCCTCCTTTTTACTAATGCTTGTGTTGGCAAGTGAATAATAAAAGAGAACATTTTTGCAAAACTTCAGAAGGGCCCTGGAGCTAAGGGCAGATACATGTTAGGGGAAATTTGGAGGAATAAAGAAAAGCTGTGAAAAATGATGGCAGTGGTAGAGGCAAAGGCAAAGGGGTTATAAATAAAGCATGGAGGAAGAGCACAGGCAGGCAGCGACCTGAGAGCAGAGCGATGGTGCTTCTAGAGCAGGGTGGCTTCCAGGCACATGACATCATTGAAGGCCGCTCTCACACTCATTAGCTGTTTCCTGAGTCAGGACATATGTCGTGGCTAACGGCGTGAGTGGAAATATAGAACAGGTCATTATGCTTTTGATTTCTAGTTTTATTTTAATTCTGTGATCTCAATGAAGCTTGCTGTATTATGAGGACTGCACATAGCAGGCGTTGCATAAATGTTTGTTGAATGAATGCTAAGTGTGCTCACTTTTCTTTACTTTATTCCCTGAGCACAGGATCTCACCTTGCTTTTACCTTCCTTGTTTTCCATCCACTCTTGCTCTTTTCCTTTTGCCTTCTATGACTCAAGCAGTGGGATCCTGTATGATTCTGTTCTCACACTGCTATAAATACCTGAGACTGGGTGGTTTATTTTAAAAAAGAGGTTTAATTGGCTCACAGTTCCACAGGCTGTAGAGGAAGCATGATTCTGGCATCAGCTTGGCTTCTGGGGAAGCCTTAGGAAACTTACAATCATGGCAGAAGGCAAAGGGGGAACAGGTGTCTCTCATGGTGGGAGCAGGAGCAAGAGAGAGTGAAGAGATGCCACACACTTTTAAACACCCAGATCTCAGGAGAACTCACTCACTATCGCGAGAACACCACCAAGGCAATGGTGCTAAACCATTCATGAGAAATCCACCCCTGTGATCCAACCACCTCCCACCAGGCCCCACTTCCAACACTGGGGATTACAATCAGACATGAGATTTGGCGGGACAGATCCAAAGCATATCAGCTGGGCAGATGCTTTCAGCTCCCATGGCAATTCTGACAAAGAGGACAAAAGCATGTCCAGATGCTGCTCTCCCCTCATAACTTGCTCTCCTGGATCTCAGTTCAGGGGCCGGGCCAGGAGAGCCAGGGACAGGACAGCCATGTTGACCTCCAAGGAGTCCCCTTCTCTCTTTATAGTTGCCCTCCCCAGTATCATCTGTCTGCCTGAGACATCTGTTTTCTGTCCTGCAATACTTCCTACTTGTTTATGCTGATTACTTCTATCTTCCACATTCTTCCATGCCCACAGAATCACTCAGAACCCTATCCATTCCCACTGGGTTCAGGCTCTAGTACTCTTATCTCGTTCTCTCGGATTTTCTCCTGTTGTGTTAGGTCATTTCCTCCACGCCCAGCCTTTTTGCATAGTTTTCTTGTGTGCAGGCAGCTCTCTTCTAGTCAATCACAGCTGACTTTCCCGTGGAGCCTGGGCATGGCTTCAGAGTCCTCCCAACAAATAACTTCAGCCTGCTTCTACCAAAAGATCAGAGTGGGCGTGCAAGAAGAAACTTGTCGGCATTTCTGTGCTAAAATGAAGGCTGCTACCAAATTATTTGCCCCAGATTTCTTGTGGTTGCCACGTCCCGTGTGCTTGATCAGGGGCCCTAATCCTGAGCATTGCCCGTCCCTCCCCTCTCCTGCCTTCTGCTTACTCAGAGCTCTCCAACTCCAAGTACACTTTGCACCCAAGCCCGTCTGTATCACAGTGACCCCCCAAGCCTAATCCAGTTCTTATACTAGCGACACACATTGATTTCAAAGCTTGGAGCATCTCAGCGTAGCCTTATGTCAGAGTCACCAAAGTCACCTTAGGTTATTGGGAGCCTCCCGCCAGTGGACTTTTCCCACAGTGCCTAGCCCAGCCACCTTGAAAACAGTATGTGATCAGTAAGCTTTCTCAAAGGGATGACTTATACTTTCTTAGAAAAACTAGGCTTTGGAGTTGCTTAATGGAAAGTCAATATTCAGTGAGAAAAGAAACATAACAATGTTGGGAATCAAAAAGAATTAATCATGTATTTTGAGGGAACCAAGCAGAGACGGTCATGTTTTTCCTAGGCAGTTAATAGCGATGCGTTTGAGAGCCCAGGCTTGAGAATCCTGGCACTGACCGCGTGACCTTGAGCAAGGCCATAGCCCCTCTCCGAGTCTATGCCTGCACCTGTAAAACTATGGTTAACAGACAGGCTGCATGGTAAGGCTGTCTTAAGCATTGCGTTAGATTATTCTTGGCTCAGGACGTGGGCAAATAAATGGTGATTTTTGTTAATTATAGGAATGCTAGGTTGGGATGTCCCACGACCTTATTCACACAGGGTTTTAAGACATGTCTTTTTTACCTTTGATAGTGGAAATCAAGCATTATACTTAACTTGAGGGAATGCAGTCTTGGGAAATAATTTCCAATGTTCTTCCCTCCCAAGTAGAGGTGAGAGGGTAAAGCCAGACATGGATGTCTGGAGATCTTCAGTGCAATCTCAGTCTTTCCCACCAGGGGGCGCTGTGGCACCATGCAGGATCCTTAATTTCCCACTGGCTGAGGGAAAGCGGACAGGCCTTGGGTTGGGCCTAACTTTTCCTCCTCTCTTTATTTTTTCTTTCCCCAAAAATTACTTTTTAAGTGGCAGTCCCTTTAAGTGTGCTTTCGGGGAGTCCCTTTCCAGGTGCTGTATGTTTGTCTAAGTCTTGACAGGCTTCCTCGCGCTGCATCCCCTTCTTGGCTCCATCCTGAATCAGGTTGTCCAATCCGAGTGGACCTCGTCCTTGTCCGTGAGGCTGGGAGAAAGGTCGTGATCAGCCCGAAGCATCCGTGGAAAAACTGGATGAAGTTCCCGGGAGAGTAGGAGGGGAAGGTATCAGGAAGGCTTTCCTCTGGGCACCGCTAGGTCTTTGCGCTAGGAAGGGCGTTCTGCAGGGAGCACAGTCCGGTCCCTACAGAAACGCCAGGCGCTTCTACTGCAGGTTCCCGGGGAAATAGACTTTTTGTTCATCATAACTTTACACAGCGTTCATGGCCTTCTCAAAGGGGTGTGTGAGCCCCAGGGGTACTGAGTCCCTGGCCTCTATAGAAAACTTCCATGGCCATAGGAGGGGCCGACAGGAACCAGCTTGAGGCTGTTGCATGTCCTGGGAGGTACCTGTCTGATAAGAGTTGAGGATGCTTTTTAAACTGGATTCGGCTGGATTTGAATGACCATTTATTAAGCTACCTCATTTGATTCATCTGCAATACTCATGACACCAAATGAAGAACCGAGGTTCAGAGAAGTCAGATAACTAACCCAAGGTCACACAAGTCTCAGGGATTTAAACTCAGGGCTCTCTGACTCCAAAGCCCATGTTCTCAGCAGCACTGCACAGATTGAGGAGGCCCCACAGCACCAATGAGTGTTCACCCCAGTTATGTCCAAACTCCTGGGGATCAGTGCCAGAGACAGCCTGGAAATGGCTTTATACCCAGTCACAGCAGAATATCTGAGGCCACACTGTGAATCCATGTTCTTCCTGATAACCCTTTCAATTTCAAATGGACTCCACACTGGGATCCACTCTGCCTACTTCCCCATTCCAAGTTCTACTCATTCCCACCCAGGTCTGTTCTTCTCTTTCCAGGAGCCATTTTCTTATTAAGCACCTACTGAGTGCCAGACACTTCACTAAGTGCTGGGATACAGCGGCAAATACACTCAGCCCTCACACTAGAGTGAACCATATTGCCTTGAGGAATTCCTTTAGTTCTCTTGGGGTTTTCTAGAATTTACTAGTCTATTTCTTTATCAATTAAGATTACATATCAATCCCAAAACTTAGCAGATTAATACAACAGACATGGGTTATCTCATGCTTTTTGTGGCTCAGGAATCCTTGTGTAGCTTAGTTGTGTTCTCTCTATCAGGGTCACTCATGAGGCTGTGATTAAGGTGTTGTCTGGGGCTGTGGTCTCATCTCAAGGCTCAACTGGGGAAGGATCCCATTCCAAGATCACTTATATGGTTGTTGGTAGGATTCATTGTACCCTTCCCCAGCAGGATTTCTGCGATATTCTGGGGGAAGGGTACACAAAATGTTGCTGATGAAAAAGAGTCAAACTGTGTAAAATATTTGAAGCGATTCATTCTGAGCCAAATGTGAGGAATCATGACCTGTGACACAGCCCCAGGAGGTCCTGAGAACATGGGCCCAAAGTGGTTGGGTTTTATACATTTTAGAAAAACATAAGATATCGATCAATACAGGTAAGATATGCATTTGTTTGGTCTGGAAAGGTGGGACAACTCAAAGCACGGTGGGGGTGTGCTTATAGGTCATAGATAGATGAAAAGATTTTCTGATTGGCAATTGGTTATTATATTATCTAAAGACCTGGAATCAATAGAAAGCAGTATCCAGGTTAAGATAAGGAGCTGTGGAGATCAAGGTTCTTATTGTGGAGAATAGATGGTATATGTCTCTTATTAGGCCTTAAAAGGTGCAAACTCTTAGTTAATTCTCTCCTGGATCAGAAAAAGATCTGAAAAGGGGAGATGATTCTGTATAGAGTGTAGGTTTTCCCCACATGAGACAGCTTTCCAGGGCTATTAAAAATATGTCAAAGGAATATATTTTGGGGTAAAATGCTTTGATTTCTTTCAGTGCCTGCTATCTGTCATGTGATGGTACATTAGAGTCAGGTTATCTTATTGCTACAAAGAGTCTGTTTTGTCCATCTTTTTTTTTTTTTTTTTTTTTTTTGAGATGGAGTCTGGATCTGTCGCCCAGGCTGGAGTGCAGTGGCACAATCTCGGCTTACTGCAAACTCCGCCTCCCAGGTTCATGCCATTCTCTTGCCTTAGCCTCCCAAGTAGCTGGGACTACAGGCACCTGCCATCACGCCCAGCTAATTTTGTTTTTGTATTTTTAGTAGATGGGGTTTCACCATGTTAGCCAGGATGCTCTTGATCTCCTGACCTCATGATCCACCTGCCTTGGCCTCCCAAAGTGTTGGGATTACAGGTATGAGCCACCATGCCCGGCCCCTGTTTTGTCCATCTTAACATTCCTGTTCTAATGTTAATGCTGGCTAGTTGTGCCTGAATTCCAAAGGGAGGAGAATATAATTTGGCATGTCTGAACCCCCCTTCCCATTATGGCCTGAACCATTTATTCAGATTTACTTTGGTATGCCCTTAGCTGAGATGGGGATTCAATTCAGTCAGTTGGGGGGCTTAGAATTTTAGTTTTGGTTTACCAAGGTTTCAGCTGTGGTACATGGGTCATCATTGTCTTACTCTTTGAACTTTTTTGTGTATCTTTTAATATTTCATAATGAATGTTTTAAAATGAAAGTATTTTAAAAATAAACCTTACGGTATTTGTGCATGACTAGACAGACACATCAGTGGAATAGAATAGAAAGTCTAGAAATAACTCAAGTACATATGGAAATTTAATGTATGATAAAGATGACATTTCAAGTGCTGGAAAAGTGATTGGATTTTTGATAAATGACGCAGAGAAAATTAAATAAACATATCTCACATGATACACAATAAACTCTAAATGAATTAGAAATGTAAGTGTAAAAGATGACATCAAACAAGCACTCGGAGGCAACATGAGTGAATTCACCTATGGGGAAAAGCTTTTTCATTATGACTCAAAATCCAGATGAGATGCCAAGAAAGAAAAAACAAACAAAATTGGACATATAAACATTGCAAAGAAATTTATTGTCTTAGTTCATTTTCTGTTGTCTATAATGGAATACCTGAAACTGGGTAGTTTTTAAAGAAAAGAAATTTATTTCTTACAGTTATGGAGGCTGAGAAGTCAAAGGTCAAGGGGCTGCATCTTGTGAGGGCCTTCTTACTGTTGGGGACTCTCTGCAGAGGCCCAAGTTGGGGCAGGACATCACATAGTGATGGGGCTGAGTGTGCTAGCTCAGATTTTCCCTCTTCTTCTTGTAAAGTCACCATTTACCCATTAATCCATGAATGGATCAATCTATTTGAGAAGGAAGAGCCTTAATGACCTAATCATCTTTTAAAGGTCCCACTTCTCAATACTGCCATATTAGGGATTAAGTTTCAATATGAGTTTGGAAAGGACAAATATTCAAACCATAGCACCTATGTATACAAAAAAAATTGCCACAGCTACTGTTTTTAAAAACATAGTGGAAAGTAGCTGCAATGTATATCAGAGACACTGGGTTAATTGCACTAATAAATAAAGAATTCTTAAAGATTGGGGAAAGACAAGTGAGGAACTGCCATACTGATGATAGTATAGTTTTTGAAACTCTCTGAATTCCCCCATAAGAATAGACAGAAAACTAGATAGAGAATCAGAAAGCCATGGATGACATAAACAATAAAGCTAGGTCACAAGGCATTCTTAGGAACATCAAAATATAAGCAGATGGGAATAAACCATTAACAGCCTGAAGACTTGTAAGTTTGTGTGTTTGTGCAAGAAATAACATAAGAAAGCAACAGGACTGAGAAGGGGAGAACCCCAAGGTAGCCAAAAGGTTTTCACCATAAAGCATAGAAAGATGATTTGAGCACAGCCGCTGAAGCTGAGAGGGGCATTGCCAACTTTAGTAGCAATGATTGCAGTTGTCGCTGCTAAAGTTTGAAGGGACCAGAGCTGTCTAGACCCTGTTGACCCTCAAAATTACTTACAAGGGCTTTCTTCCAGGACAGGGCCCCATGCCCAGAAGAAACATCTAGGGGTGGAATAAACAGTTTGAAGAAAAGGGGCAGTTGAGAAACAGGAAAGAGAAGGTTCAGATACGGCTGGAAGAAGGAAACAGCCAGGAAATTTCTAAAGCCAAGCTGCATGTTTTTAAAACACACCACAAAAATACACAGCAGAGGGAGCTCTGTGGAGTCAGAAAAGCTGGTGAGCCATGATTCTTTCTAAATGATCAAGGAAACAACATCACATAAAAATGAACAACAGAAAGAGATTAATAGAAAATCCCATACAGATTCTATATAAAAAATTGAGGAAAATAGACCAAAAACCCACAAGAAAGATGGGCAAACACATGAACAGATTATCCCCCACCAGTGTACAAATGAATACATAAGAAAAAATGTTCATCTTTATCCATAACATAAAATAAAAGACTGAGATATTGGTTTTCACACATCAGATTGGCAAAAATTCAAAAGCTTGACCACAAGTTGCATTACTGTGGCTATGGGGACAAAGCTGCTCCCTTTCATCCTTGGGGGAGAGCAACATGGTACTATTCCATGAAGGGGAACTTGACACCATATAACCACCATATGCATGCCTTTCCTGTAAGAGGTTGAAGAGTGTTTCCCCCCAAATTCATGCTCACCTGGAACCTGTGAATGTAACCTCATTTAGTTATAGGGTCTTTGCAGAAGTAATCAAGTTAAGATGAGGTCATACTGAATTAGGGTGGATATTAAGCCCAATATGACTGGTGTTGTAAGAATTGAAAAACAGACACAGACACACAGGGAGATGTTCATATGATGATAGGGGCAGAGGATGGAGTGATGTGTCTACAAGCCAAGGAATGCCAGGGATTGCTGGCAACACCAGAAACTGGAACAGGCAAGGAAGGATTCTTCCCTGTAAACTTCCTGGAGAGTACAACTTGGCTGACTCCTTGATTTTGGAATTCTAGCCTCCAGAGCTGTGAGAGAGTAAGTTTCTGTTATTTTTAACCACAAAGCTTGTGGCACTCTGTTACGGCAGTCTCAGGTAACAGATACATTTATCCTTTGGCCCAACAAACCTCTTCTACAAAATAGCATTCACAATTGTATTCACTAAGGCATTATATGTAATTGAAAACAGCCTAAATACTGAGACATAGAAGATTGGCTGAACTATGGCACACTCTCTCAATAGAGTGCTATATAGCTTTAAAAAGGAGTGAATAATATCATCATCAGCTGTGAAAAATTGACTCCAAAGATGGTGCCCTATGCACGTGCAGCCAATCACATCAAGAGCCTGAGCTGACCTTGCATTTTACTTTTCCCAGTAGAACATAGAAGTGAATTCAGTTCTTTAAGAAAACTAGTCTCTAAAAGGACTGACAACTTCTACCTTCTCTCTCAGATATTATATGAAAGATGAGGAAAGATATGGAATATGGCCAGTGCATCTGTAGGGGTGGAGAGAAAGCATTCCTTCCACCCTCTCTGAAGTTTCACTGAAGTGACTGACAATAGACAGATTCATAGGAGAAAAATGGCTTACACATTTATTAAGGTGCATATGGCCATGGGAGTCCTACAAATAGGAGACTCAAAGAAGGGCCAGATGGTTGAGGCTTATATATCCTCTTCATAGGAGACAGGGAAGTGGGGGACTGTAGGAAATTTTAGAGGGGTAGTAAATGATTTCTAAGGAAAATGAGTGAGCCCAAAGAATAGATAATAGCCTGGGACAAAGTTCCTCTGAGTTCTGGGGCAGGTGGCAGGAGGGTGAGGGGCAGAACTACGCTGTGAACAAAGGTTGTCTTCTTATGCAGGTAAAGTCTCCCAGGTCATCTCTTGGAGCTGTCCTCAGACGAATAGGTGAAAAGTCTGTCTGGCATGGTGATGATTCCCAGTCTTTTCTCTTCTCCAGTAGTTAATCTTTCCTGGTTATTTGATGAGATTCCTAGGAAGAGTGTCTTAAGACAATTACATCTCTAGCCAGGCGCAGTGGTAAAACTTAGATAAAGAAATTGCAGAAAGAGTCCTTGCTGGTACTTCAGGAAAGAAAGAGGATCAGATAGACTAGACAGGGGGTTGAAAGGAGACTGGAGAAAGACCTTAGTTCTAAAGCTTATTTTTGAGGCCTTTTAATTTCCTTTAACTCAAAAACCCTCAGCATACCAAAGTGCCATATTTTGGGGTACTGTTTTCTGAGCCTCAACTCATGCAAGAATGTCTTGAGGTATCATGGTCAAGGACATTGAAATAATGGTCTCTTTGGCAAGTGTAACCCTGAGGGAAGACAGAAAAGCCCCTGACTCTCCTGGCCAGGGGTAAGGAATGTGGTGGGGGCCTTTAAGATCATGTAAGTCCTGGCAGGGCATGGTGGCTCATGCCTATAATCCGAGCACTTTGGGAGGCCAAGGTGGGAGGATCATGAGGTCAGGAGACTGAGACCATCCTGGCCAACATGGTGAAACCCTGTCTCTTCTAAAAATACAAAAATTAGCTGGGCATGGTGGTGCGTGCCTGTAGTCCCAGCTACTTAGGAGGCTGAGGCAGGAGAATCGCTTGAACCCAGGAGGTGGAAGCTGCAGTGAGCTGAGATCACACCACTGCACTCCAGCCTGGGTGACAGAGCAAGACTCCATCTCAAAACAAAACAAAACAAAACAAAACAAAAAACATCATGTAAGTCCTTCATTCCCACTCTGTACCACCCACAATGACCTTCTGGTTGGAAGTTGGTTCTCAGGAGGGCATCCACAGGCAGGAATGGACTGGTGGGAGGTGTCTGGTTAATCTGAGAACTGACCTGTGTCTTCAGCTGCCACCATCTGCTGAGGTTCTGTCCCGAGGCTCTCTGGAGGGCCCTGTCACACCCAGCCCTCCAGCCTGTGAAGTCAAGGTGCATTTCGTTTTCCTTCCCAGAAGGCTCAAATCCACATGATTTGAATTCTTTGAAGAGTTCAATCATTGGTGAACATAATTTGGGTGGATAGTAAAACGTCGTACCCTTGCCCAAAGGAAGAGGAAAGTGCTCATGTTTTTACAAACATAATAATTTCCTTTTGGAGCTACTTATTTTGCAATAGTCTATAAGCAGAACTTTGTGTTAAATGACTTTTCTGATATCCACCAGCAAATCCTGTGGCCCACTCACACACATGCCAGCTTAGATGACTGTTGATACAATGTTTTCACTTCCCTATCAAGGGGACAAACCAGGGTGAAGTTCTGAAATTTGAGATGATTGATAACATAGCTCTGGTAAAACAGATGGTCTTCAATGGAATATGATACTGATATTAATTATGGGATGGGAAAATAAAGTTCTTTACAGAAAGTGAGTAGGCCAAAGTGGCATTATGCATACAATTATAGGATTTTGATGATTTTGCTGTTTTGTTAAATAGCAATCTCACTGCAGAATTTAAATGTAATTGCTCCTATCATAGAGCCCTGTTCTCCTAAAGGGAGGTCAGTTGCTGGTTTGTGTAATAAGGATTCTGGTTGGCCTTTGTGGCAGGTTCCTCAAAAGAACCTCTAAAGCTTAGGATTACCTCGCCCGGTAATCTAATCTGCTTTCTTTCTGTCAGTGGAGCTGGAAGGAACCGAGAGGCCGGTGAGACATTAGCCCGGCCTTGAAGACATCGGCTCCACCGAGCAGCAAGCAGGCCCCAGTGGTCTCTGCTCTGCCTGGAGGGGGACAAGGGTGGGGATGCATTTTGGGGCTGAAGCTTACACCCCAGTGCTTCCCTGAGAAGCCCCGATGCTATGGGCCAAGATAGGGTCCCGGCTGCAGGCAGGCTTCCTGCGTGGGCTCACGTGAAGTCACACAGCTGGTGTCTCGTTGTCCATTGTTGACCCAGTTTCCTCGAGGTTGGCTCCCTCTCAGACAGGCCCTCCGCCCGGTACTGCGGCAGCGATAGCCTCGCATCGTCTCAGGCTAGTCCAGCAGGAAGAAGGGAGACTCTCTTTTTGGGGAGTCCCAGCCCCGGCAGTGTCATGTGCCCACGTGGACCAATCACTGTGGAGACGGTAGTGAGATGCTCTGATTGGCTTAGACCCAGGTCATGTAATGGACCCTGCCCAGAGTCCCCGGACTTAGAGGCAGGGCGGAGTGCTTTCCCAACTTAAGTGTGGATGGAGTTACCAGGCGAATCCGTCGTAGGCGTCAAGATCAGCGGATGGCAACCAACATTTGTAGAGTGGTCACTGCCTGCAGTAGGGATAATGATGTCCAACCTCCAAGTTGTTGAGCGAGTTCAATGAATTAATACATGTAAAGTAGTTAGAACAGTGCCTGGTGCACAGCAAGCTCTCAGCAAATGTCCACTGTTTGCCAAGCAGCAGTCTCAGCTCCTCTTGCACCATATTACTTCATCCTTATGGCAGCCCCATCAAGTGAGTGCTGTTTTCTCCACTTTACAAATGAGGAAACCAAGGCTCAGAGGGGTTAGGTAACTTACCTGAGGTCACACAGCTAGTGAGAGATGGAGTCAAGATTTCAACCAGGACAGTTTGACCTCAGAGTGTGGGTGCTTAATTCTTCCACAATGCTACTGCAAGAGGGATGCCCGTTCTGTATACATGCCCGTTCTATATATTAGAGCCAATGGCAGTAGGCTGGAGGGAAGTGTATTTAAAGCACCCCATAATATAATAGTATAAATAGGATTCTCCCAGTGGTCAATTTTCATCCTGGTTTTAATTTGGAAACCCTTTAAAACTACATTAATGCTTTTCAGATACAATTCTGAAACATGAGGACTAGCAATACCTGTCATCCCAGCAGCCAGAAAGAGTTAATGTAGCTTCCAAGGCTTTGTAACTTACAACGAGGGAGGAACTTACATGCTGGGAAAGTGTAATTCAGTGAATAATGGGAATCTGGATTAATTCCCAAATAAAGTTGTTATCATAAGAATTTATGAAGAGGGAAAAAAGAAATTTAGCAGAATCTCCAGGGGCAGATATTAGACATGAAAATCAAACTTTGCAGTGCTTTAAATGTTATTTATCACGTCTTTTTCTTTTCTGTGTCCGGCATCTGGAGCCCCAGGCCTGTGATCATATTGTTTTAAATGGACAGGATCACAAGTGGCTGCTCTCACGTGGAAGTAAGGGCAGGGAAAGACAAATGAGGCACAGATGAGACACGAATGTGTTCTGTGTTTGTGAACACAGAACACAGGATGTAGGTGGTATGCCCAGCTCAAGTTCAGCACTGAAAACCCTTTTCTGGGAGCTTAACATCAGGATTTTTTCATTAAGTCAATCAGAGGATACTGGGAAGTTAAACAAAGTAGTCCTTTCCCCCCTTTATCTACTTGTATCCCAGGATCAGTGGGGCTTAACTGTGTGTGAATTGGGGTGATGAGGTGTCAGCTTTTGTTCATCCCCTGCAGGGGTCCTGGTCAACTTCTAGGAGAAACCTTCAGCCAAGGGACATGGGGAGCTGCTTCCCATCTAAACAGAAGCCAAGCCAAAACAACTGCCATTGTGAGCTCAGCCGGGGTCAGCGTGTGCCATGCTGTCATTGCGTGGGGTTTCAGGGAGGCCTCTAATGACACCAGTAATTCCTTCCAGCAGGTTGCAAATCCTGAGATTCCTTCAAAACTAGTCCATTGGAGGCCAGGCGTGGTGACTCATGCCTGTAATCCCAACACTTTGGGAGGCTGAGGTGGGTGGGTCACATGAGGCCAGGAGCTTGAGACCAGCCTCACCAACAAGGTGAAACCAGGTCTCTACTAAAAGTACAAAAATTAGTGGGACATGGTGGTGCACGTCTGTAATCCCAGGGAACCCAGGGAACTAAGTTCAGCCAGCAACCTAGCAGAGCAGGGACGGGCCTTCCCCAGAGCTCCAGGAATGGATGCAACTTGCCAATACTTAGATTTTAGTCCAAAGAGATCTGTACTGAACTACCGACCTGCAGAACAGATCACAAACTTAGGCTGTTTTAATCCACAACGTTTATGGCAATTAGTTACAGCAATCAAAGATTCACACTGGGGTACAGAGGAAAGCTGTGCCTGCCTCAAAGTGGCCCCATAGCCTGAGCCCTGTGGTGACAGGGCTTTGGGCAGAGCATGATGCAGCAGTTTTTGGGTGTGCCCAGGTTCCCAGGTATGATGCCCAGTGGGTGACAGGGCGTTTTGCCTACCTTGGTACGGAGCGCAGCCTGGCCACAGCAAGGACAGGTGCTCAACACCATGGGGTCCTCAGGAGTCTGCCCCGAGTGTTCTCCCAGAGGGCATCTGCAGCCATGGTGGAAGGGGGTGCAGCCCTCCTCAGCTCTGTGACCAGCAGGTGGTAACAAAGAGAGCTCAAGAAAAGATGCTCAGAGATGCACAAATCTAACTGTGGGCCTTGGCAGGGCAGCTTCGCTGCTGCTTTACATGGAAGGAGTTAGAAGCTAGTAGAACTTGAATATCTACAGCAAGCTGATCATGTTAGGGAAATTCAAGATAAACAAGCACATTTTCAACCTCTGTGAGCCTTGGTATCCTCATCTGTACAATGGGAAAAATAATAGTTCCCAAAGAGTTATTATGAGAATGAATTAAACACCATGAGCCCAGGTGCCTGCCTATACCCGGTGCATGGAGCCACTTTGTTCCGGTTCCTTCCTCCATCTCCCCATCTTGTCTCTGACTGTGGTTTATTCTGGGATGACACCCCGGCTGTACCTGTTTGCTTCAGACCTTGGCAGGGCTTATCATGGCACTTCACGAGGCACCTTTGTTTGTCCAATGTGGAGCTATGCCAGCATCTGCAGTTGCCTTGGCTGAGATGCCTCCACTGCTCCCGGGTGCAGGATGGGTCCTCATGTGGAGGGATGCGGAGTTTCCTGGTGGGTGGGGCAGCGCTTTCCGTGCTCCAGGTGTTTGTGGTTGAAGTCGACTGTGATTATAGACTAGGGGTGGTGGGCTGCTGGGAGGGTTCCTGTTCTGGGGATTGCCCAGACCCACTACGTTACGCCGAAAAAATCCCAGCAAGTTGCTGAAGGGGGGTGTAGGAGTGAGGAGAGAGAGATTTTGAGCAAAATGGGCATGTGGAGGGACTGTGTGTGTGGGCGCTGTGTAGGGCAATGGTCCCCCGGGGGTGGCCCCAGACAGACCGTGTGGGTGGCACATCAGCTGTAATGGGACACCTGGGCCTTGGGCTCAGGCTAGCAACTTAATGTTCAGTCTTAATTCCAGAAAGTGGGACGAGCCTACTGGGGCAAGCCTGAGATGGGTCTGAGCCCTCGAGTGGGAAGGGTCTGGTAGGGTGGGAAGAAGGCAGGATGGGCTTGGGAGGAGAGGCCAGCCCGAGTGTGATAACCAGGTTTCAGCAAGCACGGGGACCCTGACATTGTGTTCTTGGGAAATGCAAAAGGCAGACCACAAGGTGGTGCTCACTACAAAAGAATTCCAGGACCAGGCAAAACCCGGAGAGTGCCAGCTTTTTATTCACCCCGGATTTTCGAAAACAGCAATATGGACAAAAGATATTTGAGGCTCTCCTGGGCATGCTTTCCCTTTTCTTCTTTTATGTTGTTTTTCTAGTTTGTTTCAGGCAATCTCGCCCTGCATTATTGGAAAGTCTTGTTCAGAACAGTTGGTGTCTTCACAGTGACCGCAAGCACTAATGAATACACACACACACATACACACACCCTGCGATAGGTGGCTTTCTAGATCGATACCCCCACCCCAGGGCACTGAGAGGGGTAAAGTCAGAGCCGGGCAGGGTGTCCTTCAGGATGTGACCCTGTGATTTTGTCCTCTTCCTGAAATTCTCAGGATAGGGAGGATTTCAGTTTGATGCAAATACTCTATTTCTATAACACATATTTTTGCTTTTTTGTACCACACAATCCTCCATCGTCTCTCACTTTCCCCACACACCATTACATGTGTCATTAACTCTCAAGGTCCTGCCAAGACAAGCAGCTCCCCTTCAGCTGTTGAGAGCGATATGGGACTCACCCTGCCCAGCGCATTGCCGTGAGGTGAAGCCCGGGGGACGGGGGCAGAGGTGTGCTGGGAAGGAGCCCAGACCTTGTTAACTTTGCATACAAGAGTGTTTTGTATCCATGTGGAAACTCACATAAGCAGCAACTTATCATAGTTTTTTCCTTCTTATGTCTCTTGGTGTATTGTATATGTGTGAATGTGTGTAAATAAAATGTTAATTTCAGTGCAGTCTGAGATACCCTCACTGAATCCTACCCACCTCTCCCAGCCAGGCTGATTCAAGGGGGCCCTGCCCCGCATCCTTCCTGCTCTACCGGCCATCGCGACGCCACCTTCCATGAGCTCCATTTCCAGGACTGGCCCATCTGGGCATCACAGTCCCAACCACAATGCGTGTTTGGTCCTTGGGGCTTCCTGGATAACTTGGAGCTTTGTGAGAACTCCAAAAGGATTTCTTCTGAAGAACCAAACCCATGTTTCATAGGCGACACGCAGTTTGCTCCTTTCAACATGCACACAAAACACACATGCATGAAACAGCAAATGAGAGCAGCCTCGGCATGATCTGAGAGTCTGCCAGTCCCTTCCTCACCAGAGCAGGGCTCAGAACCATACTCCTCACATCCTCGGATTCTGGGGTGCAGCCCTCAGGGACAGCTTGGGGCTGAGGCCAGAACACAGTTGGCAGGGCCCAGAGCTTCTCCCCTGACCCCACCTAGCACGTGGCTCAGAGCCAGTGGGGCTGGCCAAGGGTTGCTTTTCCAGTATGGTTTGCTCATTTTCTTTTGCTGCTCTTGTTCTCGCTCTCACCTGTACTCTCTGCTCTGTCCCTGCTCCTCAAGGGTTTCAAGATCAAGATGCTTATTGTCGAGAACTGTCTTCCTTTCAAAAATGGCTTACAGTTCTGGCCTCCAAATGCAGGATTTTAGCTACACTGCCACATCATTCAACATTTAAAAAACAAAACAAAAATAGTTCACATTATTATAATTTTTCCATTTGCTAATGGGCAAATGAGGAGGGTCGAAAGTGCAACTGCCTGCAGAACACCTTGACAAAATCTGCAGAGAAAAGGTTTCATTTCTGTTTTTAGTCAGGAACTAGAAAATGCTGTGCCTCATGACTCCTGTAGACGCTCCTTCACCACTGAGCTGGGCTTCGCTTTATAGTGGGCTCATGGGTTCCATTTAAAATATTAACCCTCAGCAGAAACTCAAATTTCAGGTGGATTTAGAGTTTCCTACGGCTGTTGCTTCACATGTCATCTGGAGAAGGCCCCCTGTGCAGTCTTTGCAACTTTCCACAGATAAAGGTGAAAATAATGCAAGAGGAAAACAGATGACGGCCTTTCCCTAAGGCAGAAACTGGGAAGAAGGGAAGCCTGAGAGGAGCAAAAGGACCTGATGCCATGAGTGGCCTCAGTGTGAAATGCGGAGGGCCTCAGTTTGTGTCCCAGCACAGAGACTCTCTACACAAGGTTTTGTTCTTGTTTGTGTTTTTAACTTTTCTCCCATCCCCTGACGGAGACACCTGTGCCTGAGCTCCAGGGGAACTCGGCAGCGCCCATGCTCCATTCCTTGGATGCTTCTGTGAGTTGAGCAGAAAGACTTTCTTCTCATTTCTATCAATCACCTTTCTTTGCTCTCAGCCCACTCACTTCCCCATCTTCTACACCTCACGGAAGCAGGAAGGAGGGGCTGCCGAGGACCCCAGGAATGCGGCCCCAGGAGTCACCATGCAGATGAAGAAGGGAGGCGCCCTCATATTCGGGCAGCCTGGGAACTGGGATGTGTTCCATGCAGTGACAGCTCCCAGCGCTCTGAAGCCATGACAGCGGAGGAGGCAAGGCAAGACCCCTCCTGCAGAACAGCCACCTGCAGGGGAGATCTGGCGAGGAGTAAGAATCGGGTAGATTTACGCCAGGTCCCCTAAGAGCGGTGCAAAGAAATGGATCAAATAGGCAAGCATTTCATCAGGGAAAATGCCTAAGAGAAATGCGGGGGGAAGCTGGGTGCAACTGGAATAGCCTTCAGACTGTGGTGTGAGTCTGACCCCAGTGAAGGAAAGAGGAGGGATGGCTGCGAGGAGGTGGCCCCAGGAAAGTTCTGCAAAGCCACCGGGCATCCTCAACCCTGAACCAGAGGACTCAGCCCAACCTCTCCCCAGAGTGGACCTGCACTGCCTTGCTCAGACACTGGCTGGGAGCAGCCTGTGAGAAATGTGGCTGCATGCAAATATTTAACCGTCAACAAGCCACAGCTGAGGAAACATGGCCACACAACCGTATTAGTCCATTCTCGCACTGTTACAAAAAATACCTGAGACTGGGTAATGTATGAAGGAAAGAGGTTGAATTGGCTCACAGTTCCACAGGCTGTACAGGAAGCGTGGCAACATCTACTTCTGGGGTGACCTGTGGGAGTTTTTACTCATGGTGGGGGCAATGAGGGAGCAGGCATTTCACCTGGCAGGAGCAGGAGGAAGAGAGAGGGGGGAGGTACCACACTTTTTTTTTTTTTTGAAAAGAAGACTTGCTCTTTCGCCCAGGCTGGAGTGCAGTGGCATGATCTCACCTCACTGCAACCATTGCCTTCTGGATTCAAGCGATTCTCCTGCCTCAGCCTTCCGAGTAGCTGGGATTACAGGCACGTGCCACTAAGCCCGGCTAATTCTTTTATTTTTAATAGAGATGGGGTTTCATCATGTTGGCTAGGCTGGTTTCAAACTCCTGACCACAAGTGATCCACCCACCTCGGCCTCCCAAAGTGTTGGGATTACAGGTGTGAGCCACTGCTCCCAGCCTGCACACTTTTATACAACCAGATCTTGTGAAAACTCTTGTCACTATACAGTACCAAGGGGAGATGGTGGTAAACCATTCATGAGAACTCTGCCTCCATGATCCAGTCATCTCCCCCAGGTCCTCCCTGACACTGGGGATTACAATTCAACATGAGATTTGGGAAGGGACACGAGGCAAATCATATCAACAACCATTTGGAAAGTCATATGCAATGGGAGAGAGAAATCATGGGAAATAATATAAAATGAATTCTTTTCAGCAACGAAATCTGCTGACATCAAGATAAATACATATATACATGCATATATACACACACGCATATATTTAATATGAAGTCTGCTTCAAACTCAAACAATAGAGAGATGGATTTATGCATATCTGAAAATGAGCACTATACCTCTATTAAATAGGTAATATTGAAAAATACCCGATGGCATAGAATAATGTTCTGAAATGAAAATAACGGGTGAAAAGCAGTAAATACAAAGTAAAATGTCATGTTTCATAAAACTTCTTACCAGTGGTTCTCTCTGTGTGATGGGATTACAGATGATTTTTGTTTTTTACTATTTTCTTACAAAAAGATCACATGTCGTTTTGTACCTTCAAGAGATTTTAAGAGCACCATCGCATGCGTCTGGCTCTCCTAGTATGTCAAGGTGCCTGCCTCTCATCTGTGGGGTTGCAGGTCGGCACCGCTGGGGGAGTGGAGAGTCTGTGCTCCTTCTGTACGCTGCTGCCTCTGCTGCAATGAAGTTTATGAGGGAGCCTCCAGCCACTGGGGACTGGGGTCTTATTGTCCCTCTGCTCGTCCTCTAGTCAGAACTGAGTGCCCCCGGAATTGACATCTCCCAGGGATGGGGTTGAGAGTGCCGGGAGGCAGGATATGCCAGCCTGAGTTCACAGCCCTTGCTGGCCCCTCTGGGTAGGGGCTGAGCTGGGCTTCATGTTATCCACCTCGGGGGTCAACCAGTGCTGCCCCCAGCATGGTTTGCAGCAATCCCCTTCTGCTTGTCAAATCTCCAATAGCCCCCTCCCTCTGCAGGCTGCCCAGCGCCAGAAAACACGCTGGGCAGGTTCTCCCAGGTTGTACTCCAGGCTGAGCACAGATGCATGTGGCGTCCCCACTGCCAGCACTGTTAATTAAGCCATGTCCAAGGACCCACAACACCACACAACACCTAGGTATTAAGCAGACCCATTGGAATGTAACTCCAGTGAATGCATTCCCGTCCTGTTACATGACTCCGTGAGGTTCTATACGCAAAGACCCTAATCTGTTAACTACTCTTTGGGGCTATAACGTAATCTCCCTGCCAGTGATCTGGATTTTTAAAAAAATGGATTATTCATCTCTAAGGTTTTTGGCCCCTGTCTTTTCTGACCATAGGGGGAAAATGTCTGGCAGAAGCAAGCCTTGGCTGGCCATGTGCACCTCATTCCATGCCATTCCAACAGTTGCTGTGCTCCCAGGCTTATATAAGAAGAACCAGTTTTCCCACTTCATGATTTTGCAGCTTAATGGGATGGATATGGTATGGCTTACTTAGAGGCCTGGTCTCATTTTGACAGTCTTTTGTGCACTTTACATATTCCAGGCACTTTCATTATTACTGGAAAAGTGAAAGTGGACATTGGCAATGGGTTGGCCTCCACAAAAAGCCATGAGAATCAAACTGTATAAACCAAGCTAGGAACGCCCAGCCAAGTTTATTCTAAAGCATTACCTCATATTGCTGGACAGCTGTCTTTTGGCTAAAACTGGGGAAAATGTCAATTCAATTCCTATTTTAGGGGTCAGAGTTATAGAACATTAATGAAAGCACTGAGCTGTACTTACTGTATCCATCAACAGGAAGAGAATAACTTAGCTTCTAGACAGGCACAATCGCAGACGTACACAGAGGCTGGAAGACGGTGCACACCATTGAGATACGTGTCTCATCCAGCCCGCCACATGCAGCCGGAACCAGGCCACCGCCTGGGTGTCCCTTGTGTCCTGTCCTCCTACCTCTTCTCTCTGGTCCCCACATTCCTTCCAGAGTTTCTCATACATGGATTGCTCCCAGGCTCCCTTCCATTGGGGGCCAGAGGTTCTCACAGAGCACAGAGAAGGGGACCATTCGCCCCTGGGACCATCAGGGGAATGATCTAGAAGTCAAGCAAATGTTCTAGCCCTTCAGGGTCTTCAAGGTGAGTCGCTTGGGGTGAACGAAACATTTCTCATGCGCACAATGGCTCTCTCATAATGATGAGGCTGCATCCTGCCTGCTAAGTCTCCCTTTCTTTACTCTTTGTTACTGAAGATCTTCCTACCGGGAATGAGAGAGTGAAGGGAACAAAAGTTTAGCTGAGAAAACACGTCCCTTCATCCACCTCATATCCCCACTGTGATTGCACGCACCACCCCCATCTCTAGCCTCACTTTTTTCTCAGCCGACTTGTACCCGACTGTTCTAGGGAGATTACGGGGGAAGAAGGCTGAGGTAGAGAGCAGGGCCTCTATACATTTAAGCTCATAGAGATACAGAGCATATGAAGATATGGGAATTCAGAAGAGTTCCGTCCAACAGAAATGTAATGTAAGTCACATAGTAACTTTGAGTTTTCCATTAGCTGTATTCAAAACAGAAAATATAAAACAGGCAAAATGTATTTAAATACTATAACTTATTTAACCCAATATATCCAAAATGTTATCATTTTGTCATGTTACCAATTACATGATGAGCTTATTAATGATCTTTTATAGTTTTCGTACCAAATCTTTAGTGTGTATTTTCTACTTATTTTACATCTCAAGGCAGATGCTAAATTTTCATCAGAACTACTTGATCTGTATTTAAATTTCATAAGCTTTGCAGTTAAAAACTCAGATTCACACACCTAAGTGTCTCCAAAGATACTTCAAAGTTTTCCAATAACTGAATCAAGTCCCAGTTTTAATTTACAATTAAAGTAAAATAAAAATTAAAAATTTAGTTTCTCAGTTGCACTAGTCACACTTTAAATACTCAGTAGTCACGGGTGGTTAGTGGCTGCCACATTGAGCATGTGGATTCAGAATCTACATGTATTTTGTTTCCAAAGATTGTAAAGTAACAGCAGCAGCAGCAGCAGCAGCAGCAGCAGCACTTGAATATGATACCAACAAACAGGAAGTGTCAGGAAGACGCCTTGCAGAACTGTCAGCCTGTGGAGTTGTTTCCCCAAGAGAGTTTGGAGTTAGAAAGAGGTATCCAAATCTGGGAGGTTCAATTCCTAAAGTTCTTTGTCCCAGAACTGCTACCTTAAATTGCATAGGTCCTACGACAAGCTCAGCTTTCCCACTCACTGCTCCATCAGCTCCTAACTCACTTTACTGAAGACCTGTCTCACTTTAGATTGCATGACCTCTGAGGGCAGCAACCATTTTTGACCTCTGATGCTGTGGGTAACTTGCCCATATTGCTTTCGGGTCATTAAACTTCTTGCACAATTTGAATTTTTATATGAAAATTGGGGTAGACAAGAAAGCTTTCTGGCAGAGCAGATAACTCTCTTGGAGTTAACCATGCCTGCTCTTGTTCATTCAACATGTATGCGTTTGTAACGGAAAACCAAGAGGTACTAGAAGTACCTCTTTCATGCAGAAATAGTTCACTCCTGAATACTGATACAACAGTTTTTCCACCGGTCCTGCCTCAGTTGCTGTCAAAATGAATCAGTCCTCAATAACTGTTATAAGTGTGTTCAAGGCCCTCTTTGCTTTAAGGTGTTGGTTATTGATGGTAGAGAGAGGGTTGAGAACTGAGGTGCTACAACTGCTCCCTAGTGAGAGGTATACTATCTGCTCAGGTTGGGCAGACAGTGTGAGTCATTTCCAAGTTACCTTTTCTGCCTCCAGTGTGTGTATGTGTGTGTGTGTTTAAGGAGGGTATGATATGCCCTAAGAAAGCCCCACATGCCAGCAGTTCCATTGATAATCCAATACCCCCAGGTTAGCAACTATCTCCCCACAATGTCCTTCCCCGAGAGCAGATGACAGCACTCGTCACTCATCCAAACTCCTGAGAATCTCCTGGGATCCAGAGGGTGGATGGTTTTTTCTCCAATTCCTTCCTGTTTTATGTGCCAATTCCCACCACAGCACAGCAAGGTGATGAGAGACCCCAATAAAAGCTTGTGCTTTCTCATCCTTCAAAAATCATGCCTTATATTTTTAATTTTGAGGCCAAGCATAATTTTGACTCTAATTGGTTTCAGGCTTCAATCAGTGACATGACTCATTATCAGGATCCTTGAGTGCAAACCCACAATCCCATCCCCTAGCCCCAGGCTTCCTTTTCCAGCATCCGTGGGAATCCTTTTGTCCTTGATCTTTCCTGTAAGGTATTTTGAAGACTTTGATCTGTTAACTCCTCAGCCATCTCTCTCCCCTAATTTTCATTTTTTTCCTGCAATGAACCTTTAGTCTTTTGCAAAATTCCCTTTCCTTCATGGGTGTAACCCTCTGGGCCGGGGAGAATCCTGGGGCCCCTTCAGCATTTATTGTCATAGGTGCCAGCTATCTCCGTTTGCACTCAGATTTTTAAATAAACACACAGGGTGCTCAGGTCGATTTGAATTTCAGATAAACAATGAATAAATATTTGTATAACTGAGTACCAAATATCGCATGAAGCATAGTTATGCTAAAATTTTTTCATTGTTTATCGGATATTCAAATGTAACTGGGCATTTGTGTTTGATCTGGCAACCTCCCTCTTCGAATTGATCCCTGCCCTTCCCTACTCTGATCACCATCACATGAGATGCCCCCTCTCAGCTCCCTTGCCCTTCAGATCCTGGAATGAATTTGGTTGAGACTGGTGGGCCAGAGGCCAGGAAGAGCCAGGCTGCATCTCCTCTCTGTTCTTCTTGTGGAGTCCCCAGCCACAGCTGAGTATCTCCATGGCTCTGACTCTGTCTGAATTTTCCTGCCTCTGTTGCAGTTTCCACTGGGTGGTCTGGATCCCCGGGTGCTGCCAGGATGCTCCTCCCTGTACATGCCCAGCACTGAGATGGTGGCAGCAGCTGCCCACTTTGCTAGTCTTCGCATTGTCTGCTATCCCCTGTTTAGAGATTCCACTTGCCCAGTACCTTTTTAAGCAATTTCCTGTATTAGATTTCATCTATTTGAAATACATAGTTTGGCTGCTATTTCCCTGAATAGCCCTTGATTGAAAATGGCTTTGCTGTTTATTTCTCCAGTTCTCAGAGCCCCCTCATCCTTCTTCCTTCAGCCTGTCAAACACTGTCTTTGCCTATTTCCTCTCTTGTTTTCTCCTCAACTGCCTTTGCCTGTAAAGACGGATCTGTCGTAGGCCATGCACAAATAATGTGTTATTAGTATTAAAGTGCCAAAAGTTCCTTCTTTGTAAATATCTAAGATGCAAGCCTGTGAAACAATGACACCATCCCTCACCTGCAGTCCAATATTGTCATCAGAAAAGTTTAGTCACGGTTCTTGAGGAGAAAAGGAAGAGTTGGGATGGGAGCGAATCCATCTGGCTCTGTTTTCACCGTGCAGTGTGCATCCGATCAGCTTGTGTGAAACAAGAAAGGCTGCACTGTCCTGCTGCAGCGCAATGAGCTGGGCTAACGTTCAGTCTTGGACTCCTGTTCCTTCCCAGAGAGGGGCATCCACATATCTGCTCCTCATCAATCCATGACTATAAAATGAAACCACATTTTCAGTTAATAATGAGATGTTAATGTCCTGAGAGATCCCTAATAATTTAATTGTCAAAAAAAGCCCTTCTCAAATTATTTCCAAGTAACATTGACAAGTATCGGAGACAGCTGCCCTGTGTGTTCAGGAGTGGGCTCTGTGATCATCTGTCGAGTCTCCTGGTCATGCCATTCTGCTGCCTCTGCCTCAGTGACTTTCCCGAGGACATGGCTCTACAGGGCCCAGCTGGGATCTGCCGTGGGTGCACAGTGTCCTCCATGGCCTGCTTTGACTGTGGAATGCACTTGCCCTTAATTCTCCAAAGTATAGCAATGATCAGCCTGTAGTTTTAAAATTGTATGGAAATTTGTGAGTTAATGGAAGGGGAAAATATTACAAGAAATGCATATGTTACCTTCAGAGCCCGCCTGCTGAAGGCTTCCTCTCCCTGTTCCGCATGGCAGGAGCCTGTGGACTCCATTGGTGAATTTTCAAAACATCTGTTTACCTCTGAGTCCAAACCAGACTGGCAAAAGCTCCTACAAAAAAGTTATGCAATTCCTTACTTTTTCTCCCTAGATTGTCCTCTTCCTGTCACATGTGACACTGGGACTACTCACTCTCATCAAGAGAAACATGACACTTCTCACAGGGGTGTAGACTAGCCCCCCACGATAATCATGCAATAGCCCTAACATCAATTCATGCACTGGGATGTTCGTGAATTAATATTAAATAATATTACAGAATGGACAGCAAGGGAATTCAATTCCTTCTTATATCACCCTGAGAGTGGAGCCTACAAATCCTCCTGAGTCTTTGAGGTTCTCTATTCCTGTTATCCTTGAACAAGAAAATGTGCACATGTACACACACACACACACACACACACACACACCACTAATTTCCCTGAAAACACAAGAATGAGCAATAATAGATATGCACAGGTCAGTCTAAATGAGTATTTATCAAAACAGATTTTTCTATTTTGCAGATGAGAATTTAGAACTCTGCCTACATTTAAAAAAAAATCTCCAATAACCACCCACAACAATTTAACTCCTTAGAATTATATTATTGGATATTTCCTTCTTAGAAGAGGGTTTTCTTTTTCCCGAGGAAGACACCTCTGTGAACTGTTTAATTATGCAAATATGAGCAAGGATGGTGAGCAGGGCGGTGAGCCTGAAAGGCAAATTCAATATCTATTCTCCACAGTAGAAGCTGCTAATAACCTAAATAACAGATATTTTAAATTAAGAAATAATTGGGAGACATAAAAATATATAGTGAGTATTCTTTTAGTCAACCATTAGCTCTAAGTAATGCTAATATACTAACATTTTTACATGTTTGTTTGATGTTTTTATTTTAAATAAGACATTATAGATAAAGTTCAAACCCCATTTTATTATTCCCTAGTCCTCTCCTCCAATTTTCTCTTTCCTGATGCATCATCTCCCTTACATTGGCTTAGGTGTTTCTCATACATATGTTTATGTTTCTCTGTATAAAACTGGTATACAGGATACCTTTGCATGTTTTGAAATTATGTAAACAGTTTCAGACAGAATACACTTTTCTTCAAATTGGATTATTTTTACTCAATATTTAATGTCAAGGTCTGTGTTACTGCATATAATCCTAATTATTAATCTAGTTCACTTATGAAAGCTGCAATATTCTATCAAATGCACTTGCTTTTCCAGACAAAATGAAGTGATGGGGATTTTATTTACCTTCTACCCTGAAACAATCAAAACACAGACAAAATATGTGATATAATGTTTTCAAGTCACTGGACATCAAACAATGAAGGGCAGTGAACCCTCTGAGATAGCAAATGAACAATAATGAGGCCTCCAATTGCTCAGTCTGTCTTCCTTGATAGTGTTTCCAGGCTCCTGTTCAGAGAAGGGGGAACCCAGGCAGAGCTCAGTGGAGTCCCTGAGTTGGAGAGACACAACTGAGAGTATAGAGAAATCCCAGAGGCAGGAGCTCACAGGACAGAATTCCAGCAAGGAGAGTACTGCACAGGAAGAATGACCAGGAGGCATACAGAGGGTGCAGAGGGTCACCACTGAGGGTTCCAGTGAGTACTTATGATCACATGAAAACCTCCCAAGTTTGGGGAAGGAACTACTCAAAAAGACTGGAAGTAACTGGAGCTGACCAAGGCCTGAGAACAGTGCCTGTTTCTATTAGCCAGACTGAAGAACTTCATGATTCACAGGACATTTGGTTTGAATACACAGAGAGCCTTCCCTTAATCAGTGGGGAATAAGTAGAAATAGACTCAGCATTGTTATGGTCCTACCTAGAAAATCTTAAAAGCCAGACTCAAAAGGATCAATCTATTTCCAGTAACTTAATTGCATCCCAGAATAAAGCTCAATAATATTGAAAGGACTACAGCAACTTTCAGCACCCAACACCAGGCATTCAGGGAAGCAGAAGAATATAACCCTCAATGGAGAGGTCAGTCCATCAAAATTGACCCAGAACTGGCACCAATGTTAAAATTAGCAGACAAGGACATTAAAATATCAGTATAATAACTGTATTCTATATGTTCAAAAAGTTAAATAGAAGCATGGGAGATATAAAAATGACACAAGACAAACTCCTAGAGATGAAAAAAATACAATGTATGAGACAAAAAATAAATTATAGGATTAGCAACATATTAGACACTGCAGAAGAAAACTTGGTAAATTTTAAGATCTAGTAATAGAAACTATCTAAAATGAAACAAAGAGGGAAAAGTACAGAAAAAAACCTCCAGAACATCAATAAGCTGTGAATCATGTCAGGTGTTTAATATATATGTAATTGGAATCACCAAAGGGAAGGGGCCAGGAAAAATATTTATATAGATAATGGCCAAAATTTTCCAAGTTTGATGAACATTATAAACCTATAGATCCAATAAGCACAGAGAACCTTAAGTATAGGAAGATGTGAAGAAAATTACACGAAAGCACATACTAACCAAATTGGCTAAAACCAATGACTAAGAGAACATCTTAAAAGCAGTCATACAAAAAAGACAAAAGGAAAAGACAGACAAAATAAAGAGGAGGGAAGATAAGGGTGACAGCAGATTTCTCAGAAGAAACAATGCAAGTGAGAAGCCATTGGAGCTGCATTTTAAAAGTACTGAAAGAAAAAAATTGCCAATCTTGAATTCTGTTCCCAGTGAAAATATTTTTCAAAAACAAAGATGAATAAAGACTTTTTTCAGATTGGAAAAGCAATTCCATCAAGTGAATATATTATAATTTTTCTATTGATGGGCATTTAGGTGGTTTTTATTGTTGTTTGTTGGACAGCACTAGAATGAGCATCATACACACATTACCTTTTGTTCACATGAGAGTTTTTCTAGAATACGCATCCAAAGGGAGAATTGTTGGGTAAAAAGACATGCACATCTTCCGTTTTTGCCAAGGTACATACCAAGTGCCTGGAGAGTATGAGCACTGGTATTGTCAGATTAAAATGTTTACTTTTCTAATGGGCCTGTTTCTGGATGTTCTATTCTGTTGCACTGGTCTGTTTGTCTATCATGGGGCTAATATTAGGCTGTTTAAATTGTATAGTTTCACAATAGCAATTGCACAAGACCCTCTGCATCAGTTTGCTAGGGCTGCCATTATAAACCCTATTGTAGTAGGGCTGCCATAAATAACAGAAATTTTTAAACAGCAGACATCTATTTTCTCACACTTTTGGAGGCTAGAAGTTCAAGATCAAGGTGTTGGCTGGGTTGGCTTTTTTCTGAGGGCCATGAGGGTAGGATCTGTTCCAGGCCTCTCTTCTTAGCTTGTAGATGGCCTTCTCCCTGTGTCTTTACATCATCTCCTCTCTGTATGTGTCCGTTTGTGAATTCCTCTTCTTATAATATTCATTAATATTGGATTAGCCCCACCCCATCATGACCACAATTTTAACTTAACTTCTGCAAAGACCCTATCTCCAAATGCAGTTACATTCTGAGGTACTAGGGGTTAGAACTTCAACATAGGAAATTCGAGGGAATGCAATTCAGCCCATAACACCCTCTCTCTTAGTTTTTCATCAAAAGTGAATTTTAGAATCAGTTTCTCAAGTTTCACAAAGAAAAGCCCACCAGGACTGTAAGTGAGAATTGCATTGGATTGATTAGGGGAGAAATGACATATTTGTGACATTGTGCATTCCCTTTCATAAACATGCAGGTCTGTCATTTGTTCAGGGATTCTTTTATGTTTTTCAGTAAAGTTTAAATTCTACTCCTAATGGCCGTGCATTAATTTCTTCCCCCTGGCTTACTACCATAGACCTTCCATCCCTGGGGGGTTCACACAACCTTTTTGAGAAGCTCTTGTATTCAAACTTCTGGCTCCTGTATAAATTTTTCTATCCTTATTTCTCAAGACTCACTGCCTCAAACTCTTCACTTCAGCAACACCAAAATTCTTGAGGTTTCTCAAACATACCATGTTAAATCACACCTCTATGCTTTTTCATGTTCCCTCTGCCATTCATCTATCTATTACCTATTAAAAGATGAGGTACATTAAAGACTCAGCCTAGACAAAACCTCCTCTAGGAATTCAACCTCAGCCCAGACCACCACCCAATCAATAGAGTTAGGTAGCTTTCTTCTCTGCTCTTCTAGCATATGACTGCAGTGCCACAGCATTTTCTAAATGTCTTTATAATGCTAGAGACATTTAGAAATGGGGTTGTATCTTATTCAAATTTGGATACCATCAAATAGTAGCACAGTGCCTGGAATATAAGAAATGATTCCAAATATTGCTAGAATAAGTGGATAAAATAAACCAGAATAGCAATTGGTTAATTTTTTCATGAGTGATATTTCCTTGTTAGAGATTGCTAGCTGGAACCTCCTTCTCAGGATTAGTGGACTTGGGAATGAGAGTGATATGGAAGTTGGGAAGTGAACATGGATTCAGGAAAAATCTCGGTGGACATGATGAACACTGAAAACCCGTCTCCACTTCTTAATAGAAAGCAGCTAACGAGTAGCCCCAGTGTTGGTGTCTGCCTTATTTAACATCTCTCGTTCTTGGAAAGTCTTGGATAAAGGCCGTCGGGTCCGTCGACTTCTCCATTGCCTCACAGTTTCTTTGAGACTCAAGAGCAGCCTTTGTAACTGTGGTCACGATCTCTGTTGCTGCGTTGCTGAGATTACAAACAGCCCCTGAGGAACGACACCATGGATGTTCCCGGGAGGACCGAGGCCTGATTTCTAGACCCTCTCTTTCCCCAAGCCTCAGGATTTTCTCTCCGTCCGAATTCTTGGGGGAAGGAAGCACCTCCCTCTTGTCCTCAGGTACTGACTCCACTTAACAAGAAATATGCAGTGTATTCCCAGGCCTTTTTCTCTGAAATTAGTGAGCTGACTGAGGGTTTCAAAACACCCCCAAGAGGCCACATGGTAAAGGTGACTCTTCAAACATGTTTTAAGTTCCTGGCTTTTGATGGCTTTTATCTCCTCAAAAGTAAGTGAGAGCTTTAGACAGAGCTGTGAGGACTATTCAGTAAGTGTGAGCATATGAGCTGGGGGCAGGCTTCTTGCGGAGAGCTTTTCTGTCTCATATCATCCATGCTGCAGCCTTGCTTCCTCTACAGGTGGAGGAATTTGGAGGGGATGTTGACCTCCAGTAATGTCTCCTAGACATTCTTGTGTAAACCAAATTCTCCAGGCACTCTCCCCTCGAGTTCAGTCTTGCAGGACACTGGACCCTGGAGATTTGCCATGCTTGCTGTTGGGACAGTGATGCTATGGAGATAGCCTCCCTTTGCCCTGTCCTCTGCATAACTGAGAGGTCTCCCTTTCTACCTGCTCGAAAGGCTGTGGGACTCAGGTATAGCACTCAGATGAGAGTCTTCCAGGAGGGGAAAGGATGTTCTAGAAAATGCACCATCTTTGTGGGGAGCATCCACTCTCCCCTTGCTTCCCCTCTCCTGTTGGTTACAGTCTTCCTGTTTTCCTTAGGAAACTACCCTTGGCCTGCCCTTTGCAGCAGGCTGTTTTTGTGGACATCCTAATCAATCCCCCTCCTCCTGAATAGCTCCTCCCAGGTCATGCTTGAAATGCTCCTCATGGAGGTCCCTTCTGGGGATGGTGAAAGGCTACTCGCCTGTTCCAAAGAACTTCTCCTAGCCCCACCATCTGGGGAGGATTTAGTCTCTGTTTGTGGTTTTCACGAGTCAATGCAAGTATTCTAGGAATGGGTGGCAGCACCTCGTCATTAACTTCTTGGGATAGACTTCCATAATGCCTCTGTCATCTGACATCCTTGGGGGCATATTGCTTCACATGAGAAAAACTACAAGATCACTGCACCGAATTTTTTCAGAAAAACTTTGCCACATCATAATCTTCTAGGAAACTTTGAAATGGAACATAGTGGAAACAAAGCCTGATCTAGCTTGTTCTTAGGAGTCATGATGGTCCTTCTGCAAATCAGGTCTCTCCTCAGTGTTGTAATGTTATATACCAAAGTTCTTTGGCCCAGGGAGCTTCAGTGGGAATTCTTATGAATGTTTTCCTTTGTGCTTTTGAAACTTCTTTTTCTACCCAACAGCAATTGGCATTTCTTGCCAATGTGAGTATTTCCCTTCTCAGAGGCTGTTGCCTGCTGCCAGGTAAGCAAAGATGTCTGAGTCACCCTGAAGGCAGAGAGGGTAACAGTGGTGTGAAGAGAGCCAAGGTGGCTCTAGGAAGTTTGAGAGAGAGGGCAGGAGATCCACAAAACATCATCTCCAGCCAGACTAACCTATTTTCCCAAATGTTAGTTCAATAATTGAACACATGAATGAAAGAGAACACAGTACAGTTTTCTAAGAGGAAGCAGATCTTCCTGGAGTTCTCAAGTCACATTAGCACACATTTCCTTTATGCAAGTTTTATAAATTGTGTGTGTTTCCTTGGTTGGCTTCTTAACAGCATCATTCAAATAATGAACATTGAAAAAAATGCCAAGAAAACTGTGTAAGCATCATATTGTCAGATTTCTTTGGGAAAATATATTGAACCAAAAATGTTACTTTGATTATTTCTTTGAAGGGGCAGGTTGTTAGGTTTTCAGATTTTTTTCCTATAAAAGTTGGTTCACTTTCATCTTCTTGTAAAGGAGCTAAACATATCCCAGGAAAAAGAAAGTACACAATTGTAGGGTGTCTGATATCAGGTATGCTTATTTGACATTATTATAAAGTAAACATTGAGTTCTGGCATGCCAGATGAGGCCAGGCTTCCTTTCCACCCTCTATGTCCTAGTTTATGTCACTCTGTCTTTTCTAAGAAACCGATACCCATTATCTCCCTCCCTGCCATTCAAGTCGCTTTTCTTTGACATCAAAGATTCTTCTGTGATTTCCTTTCTTGGCTGTGCTGCTGACAGTGGAGAATGTGGACTCAGCAGCAGGGAAATCTGAAGTCATTAAACATTATAAATTCCCCTTTGGATGTACGCAGTGATTTTTTGGCAAGTACTGCATTTCCTGTGCCTTTGTAAAAGAAAGGAAAATTAAAAAATAAATGACAAATGTCAAAGTAATTAGGTCATCCAATCACAATCCAAATGTTTACATTTGCATGATTACGGCAGCAACATGGGAGCATCCAGGTGATGCTTTGAAGTACAATTGAATAAATGATATGTCACGGTAAAAGTAAATATTTTAAATCACTATTATGTTATCAGATTAATCACCCTACAACTGCAGCGAGATAAACGGAGATGGAAGCATGTAATGTGCATTCATTTGGAATATCTCCAGCAACCTCCACAGTGTTCCATGGGGCAGTTGATGAGGCACTCTAGGTTTTGATGAGAATGTGCCATCTGTTGCTACATGACCTAAATCCTCTATTGGGGTCAGTTCTCACTGAGCATTAGTGTAGTGACTTAATCATCTGTACGGCCCGCACTGTCCAGGCATTCTTGTATAGACCATATCAAAAAGTGGTTCCTTCACTGAAAAAGTAGAAATAAAGACAATAATTAAAATAAATTTCAACTGTACTGTACGTGGCCACGTACGTGGAGTGATTTAACGAACAAGTAACTTCAAATTGAGATGACTGATCATGCGTGCAGACAGACTGAATGGGGTTCTTCCTTGGACCGCTGGCAATGCCTCCAGCCTAGCCTGGATCAGACACTGGGAATTCCAAATCTCGTTTCAGTTTTATCATCATCGCCAGCTTAACATGGACAATGGGCTATTTCACAGTACTTTACATACATTATCTCATTGATTTCTTAACCCAGGTTGGGACTCTGTGTTACATTCTTCAATGCCATCTCTATTCCTGGGACTCTCCCCGCTTTGTAATTATACATGCACTTTTGAAATTAGTTAATTGATATCTCTTTTCCCCTAGTAGGTGGGAAGCTCCATGCAGGCAGGAATCAGTCTGCATTACAATTAGCATCTGATCATGAGTAGGATCCATGCATACCCAGGTATTCTGCAGTTCTTTAATTGGAAAACGAGAAATAAGGACATTGATCGAAAGTAACTATATTGCATATGGATGACAGTGTATATACAGAGATTTATTAGACAAGTAACTTAGAGGTGATTGCTGAAACACGCATATGGCAGGGACTGGGGTTCTTGCTTGGAACTAGGACCCAAGCACAGTTCCTGGTATCCCATAAAAGGCATTCAATAAATGTCTGTGAGTGAGTGAATGTCAATATTCACAATAACACAGTGAGTCAGGAGATAGTATTCCAAGTGTGTATAAAAGGAAACTGAGGCTTAAACAAGGTAGGCTCTGTGTTCAGTAATGAAGCTGGAACCAAAGCCAGGTCTGCAGGGCTGCAGAGTTCTGTGTGGTTGACCGCCACACTAACTGCCTTTGGCATCCTCCTCTCCTATGACCACACTCTCTTCCTGTTGGGTCCAGAGTCATCACTGCCCATTGCAGGAACTCATCGCCGTTCAGCTTACATTAAATCAGTATTTCTCATGTGCAGCCGCATCCCATGGGTGCTAGTTGGGAGGATTTTATATGACAGATGGATACATTTTTTTTATTTTTAGTTATATATTTAATTTGAATTTGAGAAATATAAATGGAGCATTAAATCAGTTTTTTCCCATGGATATTACTGCCTAGGACGGGAAAAAGTATTTAAATTTTCAAATGAGTCAACCTAAAGAAAAACATTAAGTGATTAATATGATAGAGGAGACACATGGACAAGGCACACCTCATAAATTGTGGGAATGTTATGTAAGTTTCACCCGAAGTGGAAAACATTCTCTTTGATCTATTTCTCCCTCTTGTCAAAATTTCGTCTCACCTGCTTCAGACAATGTTGACAGTCTTCTGATGGCAAAGGAGGGACACTCCTTTTTGAGAAGGAAAATCCACTGCCTTATCTGTCTGACAATAGGAAGGCATATTTTTCTGTCCCATGGAGAAATCCCAGACTTTCCAGGGGAAGAGTTTGCTTTGAGAGGTTCTATTTGCAAACCAATCCCAAAGACAAAGCAGCTCTCTGCTTGCTATCTTTCCTGCTTTCTTTGCAAAAAGTTCCTGCTGCCCTGGAGTGGGAGGATGAAAGGGAGTTTCTCCTCCTGGAGTAGGAATGGGCTATCGCTCCTTTGTAGCAGAGATGAGGGCCAGGTCTGGGACAGGACTGGATTCATCAGTGGTTTAAGAGCCAGCAACCTTGTCTTAGGTATACTTAAATCTTTCCCCACAAAATACATGCAAAGCATGTATCTTAGTATTTAAAAATGCTAACTGAATGAGAAATGAGTGAATAGTTCTTTTATTTTTCCCTCAAAGTAGCACGCTTTTAGAGTGATAATATGTTCTTTAATAATTTGAAAACAGAGCTGACCTTCGTGCCCAGATAGTACGAGTATGTGTCCTTGTACTTTCACACTGGAATATGAAATTTGGGAAACCAAGAGACATACCATTTTTTCTTATATGTTAAGCAGGTGCTCAGGAAGTATGTGTGGACTTTTGTCATGGGTTGAATAGTGTCCCTCGCAAAGTTCACGTCCACATGGAACCCGTGAATGTGACCGCTGTGGTTTGAATGCTTCTGTCAAAACTTAATCCCCAATGCAACAATACAAAGAAATAGGGTCTTTAGGAGGTGAGTGGAAGTCGACGGCCTTATAAAAGGCTTGACTGAGGGAGCTCACCCCTTTTTGCCCCTCCTGCCCCTTCCACCATGTGAGGACGCCGAGGCTGCATTATCTGTGAGGAATGGACTCTCCCCAGACGCTGGACCTGCCAGCATCTTCACCTTGGACTTTCCAGCAAAGACTAGAAGAAATAAGTTTCTGTTTTTTCTACATGACCCAGTTTCAGATATTTTTTAGAGCAGCACAACCGGACTAACACAGTGACCTTAGTTGGAAATCGGGTCATTGCAGATATGATCAGGTTAAAGACACACAGGGAGGGGCCACCGTGCGAAGATGGGGGCGGAGACTGAAGTGACCTGGCCGCCAGCCAGGCAACACCAAGGACTGCCAAACGACTGGACTGTGTCGCTTAAGAAATTAATTCTGTGGAAATTTCACATCCATCGGCAAGTTCTCCATGAGAATTTTGTATCGTGTTTTCCATTCTGATGAAAACTTAAAAAATGATCACAGGCCTTCTTGGAATTATCAGGACAACGACTTTTGTCATGTTATTTCAAGGCCACACTTAAACGTTTGCCTCCACTTCAGTGCCCTGTGGTTTCAAAAAATGTATCAGGTCCTAACAGCAGCATCCTTCCCTGTTTCACATTGTGTCAAGTTGAATTCTTTAACCAGCTGTGAGGGCAAAATTTCTCGTAGATCATTGGTAGAGCATTTTTATAGACTTCACTTTCTTAAGTTACTTAGTAAGCAAAGACTTTGATTCGACAGAATTTAAAAGACCTAGTATTGCAAACTGATGCTTTCTTTAATTGTCCTGGATTAATAGGAGCAGAAGCATACTTAATGTTAAAGAGATACTGCTGCATCAACAAGGCCAAATGAAGTCATGTTTTACCTAAGCAATAAAGGTAGCAGAGGTTAGACAGAAAAGCGTGCTGGGTGAACTGAGACCTCCTCCCACACCGGCTGTGGAGCCAAGAGGACCTGGGCCTCTGCTGTCAGCCCAACACGCTCCCCTCCCAGGGATGTGTCCGCCAGATCCCAACATCATATACTTCCTCAGAAGCAATTGCAACAGTCAGTTCTCAGTCAGTGTAGCGGGAGATGGCCCACAAAGAAGTTCTCATTCAATGACATATTTTTATTTTTCATGATTGCATTTTGGAATATATTTTAAAATGATTGGCCTGTCAACATAATGGATTGGCAGTTAAAAATAACCAGGAGAATATGTAAAAAATAAAAAGGGTAAATTATGACAATGATAATGTTGGTGATGCCAACAGTGGTCCACCAAGCTGAACATAAAAACACGTTCCAGGTAGTGACAAGTCAACAGAAAGCCACCAACACATCGTTTTCTAATATTCAACTCAGAACTAGCAATTTTGTTTTAGCAAAATAATGCAATCTGTCATATCAAATGAGTATGGTTGATTTAAATTCTATTAGTTTTTAAGTTAGGGCCTTTCTTTTGTTCCCCCTGTAAATGTACATTGCTAGTGAATAAGGGCTTTATAACTAGTTTTATATTTGTACATATTTAAATAACGTTATGATGAAAGAATTTCTCAACCATGGGAATTCGTGAGAATCATTTTCCTTTCAAAGGAAATCACTCAAAGTGGAGTAGTGTAGCCTTAATAGCATTGTAGCCTTTTCTATGTTTTATTTTCATGTTTTGAAAAAACACATTTTCAGTGTCTATATGTCATTCTAAAGGTGTCCATTGTGAAAAATAATTGTCACATACAGAGAAGTCGCTCATAACTCCACTACCCACACCATTTTAACACCTCTTTTTTAGGGGATTTCTATAAATATTTAATTTATTTATGCAAAAACGATGTGAAACTATAAACCTTCTTTTACCATCTGCTCTTAACACTTAGTCGATATCCATGCCAATCATAGGGTGTTAAAATGAGAATTTTCTGTCTCA
Organism: Homo sapiens; assembly: GCF_000001405.40. NCBI lineage: Eukaryota > Metazoa > Chordata > Mammalia > Primates > Hominidae > Homo > Homo sapiens. The sequence continues at coordinate 237,039,798 of NC_000002.12, read as the reverse complement.
GTGTTTTAGCTGAGAACACCACAACAAACCCGAGAATACATTTCCTAAGGTAGAGGAGAGAACAGATCACTGGAGTGACATGATGTGACATGAAGTGTCTTTTCCCAGCATTATCCTGGGCCAGAACCTGTGTGATATGAGGCCAGGTCGGGGGGCAAAGAGGGTGAGCTGGCTCCTGGAGGGAGAGTTGTCAGCGTGCTGTCTGCCCCTCCCTCCTGCCTGGGACAGAGGGGATGCTTCCTGCACACCTGGAGCCCGGTGAGTGAGGCTTCCATGGGGCCTGCCCGGAAACTTGACCCCCTCCTCCAGAATCTGGGGTGCAGGAGGCGTGGCTCACACTGGAGAGGCCTCAAGGCCTGAAGCTGCATTAGGTGCCTCTGAAGAGGCGGAGCTCAGAAGCTGTGGGCAAAGATAAATGTGCCCGGAAGTTCATCAGTACCCGAAAGGGTTTGAGCCGACTCCGAAAGATGACACTTCCTACCTGTATGTAGATAGATTAAACATATGCACACACACCACGAAGTTGATAAAGAAGGAAGGATGGTTAGAGAGGAAAGGAGGGTACTAGGGGGAGGTGTCTATGAAGGAAATTCAAGTTTGCCCCTCTCCTCTGAGGTCATAAATTGAAAGTCTGTTGATCCAAGGAAATGCCTGAGATATTAGGTGTAAGTGATGGGCTGAACGCCATCTTAGCAGGCATGATTAGTAGGATCATCTTGACAGGGTCGGCCTTTCATGGGTCAGTCTTCTTTGTCAAAAAATAGCATTGAGGCCAGGCACGGTGGCTCACGCCTGTAATCCCAGCACTTTGGGAGGCCAAGGTGGGTGAGTCACCTGAGGTCAGGAGTTTGAGACCAGCCTTGCCAACATGATGAATCCCTGTCTCTACTGAAAATACAAAAGTTAGCCGGGTGTGGTATGACCTGCCTGTAATCCCAGCTACTTGGTAGGCTGAGGCAGGAGAATCGCTTGAACTCAGGGGGCAGAGGTTGCAGTGAGCTGAGATCTCAGCCCTGCACTCCAGCCTGGGCGACAGAGCGAGACTCCATCTCAGAAAAAAAAAAAAAGCACTGAGAAAGCAGTCACATGAGAAGGCTCTTTTCCTTCTCTGATCAGTTGTCCCAGGAAGAAATTCTCTTGGGCTCTGGCCACACGGTGATTTCCTATCAATAAACACAAGCATGTCTAAACAATTTTACTTCAAATTTAAAAACATAACCTTACCACTGTCAGAGGCATATAATAAAATTTCAACTTGTTGCTACTTCTAAATGCCCCTTGCCTTCTCATTTTTCTATGAACCTATGTCTATTGCAAGGCTGTTCTTTTTTTTCTTATTTCCTGGAAATAGAGAAAGAGAAGTGTCTAGCTACAAAATACAAAAATGCAGGTTGTTGTTTTCCTAATGTTAGTATTCTTCGGATGGATTAATAAGAGGAGCAGTTTTGGAACCTGACATGCATAATTTTTCACCTGTTTAAGCATCGTGGCTTTGGGAGCTTGGCACTGCTTGACGCTGAGTCAGCCAGCATCCTAGGGGTTGATGGGGTGGACTCCCCAGTTCTTTGACACAGGCGAGATTATGCATTTGGAGGTGCTGACATGCCATCAGGTGAATGCTTTAAACTTCATCAGTAATTTTTAAAGATATGATTAAAAATGGGGGTATAAATAGCATCCAGCATCCCCAAGGCGACAAAGCATTCCATGAAGGGAGTTCTTACTTCTTGCAGGTCTGCTGTTTTGTTCTGTTTTGTCTTTTCCATTAATTAAAATCAAGGTAGTCTCTAGAGCTCAGAATTGAGCGAAAGGTTGGAATTTAGGTCAGATGCCCTGGGGTGGATAAGTCGGCCTTTCTGGGTTTGGGAGACGATTCTCTGAATTCTTGCTTAGAACTCTGCTCTCAGATTTCTAAAAGGCCTTGCGGAGGGGAGGTCCATGGGGCTCCCACCAGGAGGAGGGGGTTCTGGGCCTAGGTGAACCCCCTCAAATGGGTGCCCATGAGGCTGCAAGAATCAGCTTTGCAACTTCAGGAAACCTTTGCTAGCACTAATGGACAAAGTGAGGAGGTCATGTCAGACTTATTTGCTTCCCGAGAGTCTACAAAGTCAGTTCCATGTGGTTGAAAGAGGAAACTCGTACATGTACAGTGCAGTGACTGGGTTCGAATTCAGACCTACAGAAGTCTAAATCCTGGCTTCACTGCTCTCACTATGTGACTCTGGACCGTCAGTTCCCTTATCTGTAGAATGGGAATAGCAACCCTCCTAGGGCTGTCCTGCACATCAAATGCAGTGCAGCTGCTAGCATGAAACATGCCCTCCGCTGTGACAAGCATCTGCTGAGAGTCATTGCTGCGGACACTAGCTGAAATAAAGAACAGGGTCAAACCCAGCAGGGGACACCACCACTATTGTGGAATCATTCTAGGACCTGGCACAGGATGTAGGGTTTTGTTTTGTTTTGTTTTTTGTTTTTGAGACAGAGTCTTACCCTGTCACCCAGGCCGGAATGCAGTGGCATGGTCTCGGCTCACTGCAACCTCCGCCTCCTGGGTTCAAGCAATTCTCCTGCCTTAGCCTCCCAAGTAGCTGGGATTACAGGCATGCACCACCACGTCCGGCTAATTTTTGTATTTTTAGTAGAGATGGGGTTTCACCATGTTGGTCAGGCTGGTCTCGAACCCCTTACCTCAGGTGATCCGCCCACCTCGGCTTCCCAAAGTGCTGGGACTACAGATGTGAGCCACTGCACTTGGCCAGGATGTAGGTTTTGATAAGTGCTATACTGTGAAATCGTTTAACATATTGGATTTGGAAGAGAAATGATTCATGCAGTAAAATGGATCTAAAATATCTTTTATAAGAAAAAAGCTAAGGAATGCAAAGTCTGCTTCACTGTTTCCTGGAGGGGACTGGTATTTAGCATTTTGTTGTAAATTAATGATTCTGTTAAGATAAATGTTCACACTGGATGTCACATTTCCAATCATAGTTAGTGACAGAAGCTTTTGTGTAAAAAGTACCTTCCATAGGGTGGAGGAAAAAAGACATAATGATGTTAAATAAAATTGAAAAAAGAAAAAAATGAATATTCTAAGGAAACAATGAGAAAAAATAATGAAGAAAAAATGAATATTCTAAGGAAACAATGAGAAAAAACAATGAGAAAAAAAATAAGGGATAAAAAGGCTTGTACGGAGGATACAATACAGTTACATAAGTAAACCTTACCCAAGTATCTTAAAGGCCATGGTCTCAGAATCTCATTACTCCACAAAGGGCATTACTAAAAAATTATTGTCAGAAATATCTTAGCAAACCAGTGCAGTTAGAGAAAAAACCAACTTACTGTATACTGAACACATCCAAACTGTAAATGAGCCATTACTTAGAGTTTGGATTGAACTCAAGTTCATTAGGCTTAAATGACCTTGGCAAACTTATAAAAATTACCATCAACTTTGAACAATTATTAGATGCCTAATTGCACAAGGCAGTGGATTCCTGATTTAAATAGGTCCAATTAGGAAACATGCGAAGAGGAGCCGCTCATGTGGAAAGTGAGACCCTCCCGAGGGTGGAGTCCCTGACACTTTGCAGAAAGAGCTGTGGGGGCAGCAGGGCAGGGCGGAGGTATCAGGAAAAGTTGAGAACAAGCTCGGAGGGCCGGCTGGGAAGCCGACTGTGGGTCTCTCTGGAGTCTGTCTCCCTTTGCTTATGCTAAATTATTTTGGAATTCTGGGCTTTCCTCTCTTTATGTTTTGTTTATTTATTTAAAAGAACAAAGGAAAAACAGAGCTAGAGATGTCAAGCAGAAGTCCATTCTTTCTCAGGGTGACAAATTGCCTTCACTTTCCTCCTTTCCTAGCAACATAACCCCATGACTGTTTCTTTTTGATTTCCTTAGGAAAACAATCTTTCACTTTTTATATTTCAGGGTTTTTTTTCAAGACAGGGTCTTGCTCTGTCGTCCAGGCTGGAGTGTAGTGGCGCCATCTCGGCTCACTGCAGCCTCCGCTTCCCGGGTACAAGTGATTCCCGTGCCTCAGCCTCCTGAGTGGCTGGGATTACAGACATGTGCCACCACGCCCAGCTAATTTTTGTATTTTTAGTAGAGTTGGGGTTTCACCAGGTGTCCCAGGCTGGTCTCAAACTCCTAGCCTCAAGTGATCCACCTGTCTTAGCCTCCCAAAGTATTGGGATTACAGGCGTGAGCCACCATGCCCGTCCGGAAACAATCTTTAGCTTGCTAGAATTTAATTCTGTTTTAGACCCCATATGAAGCCCCTCTTGTGATCATCCTAATGTTCTCATTATGTATTTCTCATTAAACAGGTATATCCTATGCTTTGGCTTGAATGTTTTTCCCCTCCCAAACTTATATTTGAAAATATTAATTGAAAACAAGCTTGTAGATCAGGCTGATCCTCTCAACCATCCTTTAGCATTGGGAGTACTGACGATATCATTCCCATTTCCTCCACCCCCAGCACAGCAGACATAATGGCAGTGATCAAATGCTTGCTCAGGGCCACTGGGGTAGTGTACTAGGGTGAGGACTTGGGTGGGGCCAGGTCCCTGGATTCTACCACCTGTGCTGCTTCTCCTCTGACCCACCCCATCTTCTCCAGGACACCAAGGGATTTGTGTTGCTGCTTTAATTGCTTAAAAAAAAAAAAAAAAAAAAAACCTGGATGGCTGCAACATGTATAGGTCCCCATTAGTTCATTCTTAAAACAAAAATAGGCTCTAGAATTAATTGCAATATAGTTGGCCTTTTAATCCCTCACAAAATAAATGCATTTTGACTCAAATAAAGCAATTTATTTATGCATCAGTGAAAATGTAGATGAGGGCAGTGGATTTCAAACTTCTTTAGCAGCCCAACTTTTGTACACACCTAAATACATGGATAAAGGCATAAACAAATTAGATAGACTGATGAAAATGGCCTGTATTGAGAAAAGGGGAGGGGCTGGGTCCATACTTCTACCTATCTGTTTGGTTCTCCACTGTCACACCCTGGTGGAGAAGCCACTGCCTCACTCTAGTTGAGTTTTCCCACCAGGGTTATATAAGGCTGAAACCAAGCTCGACAGAGTTGCAGCAATGCACAAATGGTGAAATGGTGAGGTCTGTATCTGTAACACACACACATGCACATAGACACACGCACACGTCTTGATATTTATGGGTCTTGAATATCAAAGGTTGCGATGAATTTAGCAATGCTCTTAAATGAGTTGATATAAAATGTCAGTGCCGATTCCTTCTTTCAGATGTGTTCGATCTTGTCATACTTGTATAGAGATAGCCAAAATTAGGCACTAAAATCACTTCCATGTGTTTTCCCTCTTCCTGCCTGTGTTTGGAATTCCCACATACGTCATCTCTGTGCCTTCTAGAACTAAGACCCCCATGAAGAGTACTTGACTGTCCACCCATTTGAGGGCAGCTTTATTCAGAGGCCAACATAGAGAGTTAGAGGACAGATAAAGCAGTCCCTCAGAGTGATTACAATGCCTGCAGAAGTCGTTTTTCCCACAACCCTTGTGCTTTAATTAAAAGTGAGCAGCAAAGTTGCCAGTGCAGCATTAGGAACATAGTATGAAGTGAATGCAGAGAGTGAACTTATTGTAGTGTTGCTGGATTTTTAGAACAGGGGAAGCTAAACATGAAGTGAGTTTCATATCAGGGAAGAAACTTGACCAAAGAAAATTCCTAGTTAATTGCTTGCTATTTGCACTGTCTCTTAATGTCTTGCAACTGAGCTTTTGTTTCATATGTCTTTGTAAACTTCTGATGATAAATATCTCCATTAGAATATATTGTATTCTCCTAAAGACTCCAAATTATGGAGAAGCTGTTCTAAATTTTATAGAGCACACAGATCCCTTTGAGGTTAGCTATTTGAGAGCCTTCTGCATGATAATAGGTGCAGTTTGATTGAAAAATACCTACTGTCAAAAGCATATGTGAGGTCATAACTTGTTGATCTCAAAGTCCTGTGAGGACACATTTACATGACAGTCAAGCCTTGGTGCACAAGACTGTTAGTTAGTATGCAGGAGGCACTTGGCGCCTACAATGACTGCGAGACTCCTTGAAGAAGGATGGGGCTTGGAGTGTCCCCCAGGGCTCTGCTGCCCACAAATCAGGAACCATTGCTCCAGGAAACAGAAATTCTAGAATGTCTGGTTTCAGAGTTAATTTTCCATTAAGAGAGAGAATTTAATCTTCTGATGTTACCATACCCGTTTATTCATCATGATAACAATATGACCAAAGAAGTAAATATTGCTGCAAATCTCTTCTACTAGAGTGATGTGATACAGTTAAAATATGTTACCATTAAAAATGGCAATTACACAGTAAGCAGGCCAGATAGGAAGCTTGGGAAAGCTGATGCATTTTAAGCTTATAGCAGTTTACTAAGAACAAAAAGTTCACATAATTATTCTAAAAGTGGACATAATTTTGTTTCTTGCTTTGAACTTCCATAGGAGCCGTAGCTAGGATGTTGACTCAGGGTTCTATGAAGTGTTTTGGAGAAAAGTTAACAAAGTAGGAACAGGGTGCCTGTATCTGATGATCTGAATCAATTTTGGTACAGAGCTTAAAAAAGAGGGGAAATAGGCAACCAAAACCTCCACTGGGCTTTGTCAGGAGCGTCATCAGCCATGTATGGTTGGCATCCACAGAGAGAAACTCAATACAGGCACCCCAGGGGCCAACTGAGAGGGGCTCCTCCTGCTTTAGATGTGCAGCTGGGGAGGACGCTTTGTGTTCATTCATTCCATTCATTCAGCAGTCATTTGGGGTTACAGCAGTGAACACATCCAAGTTCCTGCCCTCGTGCCACCTAAGTTCTAGTGATGTGTGGGGGGGATGCGGATATACAGCAAGCAAATAAACAAGTTAGTGTAGATTCCACATCATGCTGTGTGTAGACTTCACATGGCATCATGTGTAGACCCCACATGGTGGTGTGTGTAGACCCCACATGGTGTTGTGTGTATACCCCATATAGTGTTGTGTGTGGACTCCACATGGTATTGTGTGTAGACTATATATGGTGTTCTGTGTAGACCCCACACAGTGTTGTGTGTATACCCCATATAGTGTTGTGTGTAGACTCCACATGGTGTTGTGTGTAGACTCCACATGGTGTTGTGTGTAGACTCCACCTGGTGTTGTGTGTAGACCCCACATGGTGTTGTGTGTATACCCCATATAGTGTTGTGTGTAGACTCCACCTGGTGTTGTGTGTATAACTGACACAGTGTTGTGTGTGGACCCCTCAAGGTGTTGTATGTAGTGTGTGCACTCCACATGGCATTGGTGCATGGAGAAAGGAAGCAGAGCAAGGAGAAGGTGACTTGGCACAGGCTGGTCCTAGGCACCTCCTGAGAAGGTGGCATTTGAGGAGAGACCTGTGTTGAGTAAAGGAGTAAGCCATGCAGCTCTGCAAGGGAGGGGAGTTTCAGGAAGGGGCTGCGCCATGTGCAAAGGCCCTGAGCTGGGAGCTCGGGGGCCCACAGGATGGAGCAGAGTGAGGGGAGTGGAGGGAGGTGAGTTAGAACGTGGGGTCAGAGGGGTCTCTGGGCCATGGTAACAAGCTTTCTGAGTGACATGGGGAGCCAGGAGAAGCTTTTAAATAGGAAACGATCTGACCTTTGTTTCAATAACACCACTTGGGCTGGAGGGGTGCACATGCTGTGTCCATGGCACTCACACAGCGAGACTTTCACTCTGTCTGGGAGGGAATTCAGACCATCCCTTTACAGAGTCATAGACATACCTCCAGCAACTCCTGCATCTCCTTTTCCCAGCCCAGAATCCATCCACGGGACTGCTGCCCTGGGGCCAGGACATGGAACAAGAGCCACCTCCCCTGCTGGCGGTGTGTGTGTGAGGGGGCCCTGCCAGCGAATTAAACCCAGGCTCAGCCTCTGGCTTTTGACTCCCTCCCTCCTTCCTCTTTCCCCATACCATGAGAAAATACAGCATAGGGGTTAAGAGAATGAGCCCAGGAGCCACGCTGCTCGAGTTTAAATTCCAACTCCACGAACGCTAGCCTGGCAAGTTACTTCATCTCTCACTGCTACAGTCTCCTCATCTGTGCGAGGGGTTTGATGCTATTCGCACTTCCCTCACAGGATTGTTAGGAGTTCAATGTGTCATCATATGCCCAGCATGGAGAAGACTACCTGGCTCACAAGAGTGCCACATGAGTGAATGCCACATGAGTGAGTGACATGGGAGTGAGTGCCACAGGAATGAGTGCCACATGAGTGAGTGCCACCTGGGTCTCAGTTCCTGCCTTTGTTGTTAATGTCAGCATCTCTGCCACAGGGATGGCTTTGCTTGGGTCTCCCTGCAATACTGCAGCCATCTCTGTGGGCCTAGGGTGAGGAGCCGGCCTTCTCTGTGGCCTAGGGTGAGGAGCCAGCCTTCTCTGTGGGCCCAGGGTGAGGGCTGGCCTTCTCTGTGGCCTAGGGTGAGGGCTGGCCTTCTCTGTGGGCCTAGGGTGAGGAGCTGGCCTTCTCTGTGGCCTAGGGTGAGGAGCCAGCCTTCTCTGTGGGCCTAGGATGAGGAGCTGGCCTTCTCTGTGGGCCCAGGGTGAGGAGCTGGCCTTCTCTGTGTGCCCAGGGTGTGGGCTGGCCTTCTCTGTGGCCTAGGGTGAGGGCTGGCCTTCTCTGTGGGCCCAGGGTGTGGGCTGGCCTTCTCTGTGGGCCCAGGGTGTGGGCTGGCCTTCTCTGTGGCCTAGGGTGAGGGCTGGCCTTCTCTGTGGGCCCAGGGTGTGGGCTGGCCTTCTCTGTGGCCTAGGGTGAGGGCTGGCCTTCTCTGTGGGCCCAGGGTGTGGGCTGGCCTTCTCTGTGGCCTAGGGTGAGGGCTGGCCTTCTCTGTGGGCCCAGGGTGTGGGCTGGCCTTCTCTGTGGCCTAGGGTGAGGGCTGGCCTTCTCTGTGGGCCCAGGGTGTGGGCTGGCCTTCTCTGTGGCCTAGGGTGAGGGCTGGCCTTCTCTGTGGGCCCAGGGTGTGGGCTGGCCTTCTCTGTGGCCTAGGGTGAGGGCTGGCCTTCTCTGTGGGCCCAGGGTGAGGGCTGGCCTTCTCTTCGGGCCTGGGACCCTGCCCAGCTCCTGCAGCCACTTCCCTGGGAGCCCCGCTTGGGGCCATGGGCTGCTGCCAGGCCTCCATCACCTCGAAGCGGACCTTGAAGAAAGCACTGAGCCAGCCCAGCCCTGCTTCTTGGGTGTCTGACTGCCCCTGGGGAGCCCTGCGGCAACAACCTCCTGGCTGGGTACCTGGCACTACCTGCTCCACTGAGGGGTCAGCCACTCCGGACCCTGAGCCTCGTGCCCTCCTGCACCGGCTTGAGTTTGGGATTGCTGTATTGTTTTGACCAGGACAGCCCCCCAAAGGGCCCTCCCTGGACTGGCCCAGATGGGGACCTGAGTGTCCCCACGCCTTTTCAGCACATCCCAAATGCCACTTTGTTTTCCTCCATGCTGAAGGCTGGCATGCCTCCTTTTCCTGGGTTTCAAGATACCTGATGAAGTCTTCAGAAAACTTGGTTATTGAATAGCATGTCTACTTCTTAGATGTTATTACCTTTTTGACCACCTGTGACATACTTTTACCTGATAATGGCTAGTCTAAATTCTGCACCTTAAACTATGGACTCTGGGCTCACCATGCACCCCGCGCCCCCCAGCTCCCTCCCTCACCCTCAAATCCCCTAGGTCCTCTCAGGGCCTCCTGTTCTCCCAGCCTTTCCTGTTCCCTCCTCCCTCCCAGCACATCCCAGCGCCCCTGCCTCCATTAACCCCAGGCCCTGCCTATATAAGAAATACCTGTTTAAAAAACAGCTTTATTGAGCTGTTTTTAAAATTAATATACAAACCTGCACTTATTTAATGTACACAGTTCGAGGAGTTTGATATGTTCATATCCATTGAGACCATCACCACAATCAAGATAATAAATGTACCTATTGCCTCCACAAATTTCTTTGTGTCTCCCCATTTTTTACTGTGTTAAGAGCACTAAGCATGTGATCTATTCTCTTAACACATTTTTAAGTGCACAAAGGAGATATAACCTTAAACCAGGGGCTTACATCTTGGCTCGGGTCCCGTAGGATGGAATTACCTTATGCCAAAGTCTACTGTAAAACTTTACCATGAGAAGCGGACACAGTTGGCTTTCAGAAGAAGAGCTTTAGCAAGCTTTCAGAGCATTGGGGTGCTTCACATTGGGGTGCAAGGACTCATTAGACCATGCACCACTGTGTCATTTTAACAGGCCTTTGTAAAATAACTTTTGCTCTGAGTTTTGAAGCAGCAAATGACTTTTAATCACATTGGAGAATTACGAAACAATCAAAATTGGTGCCTGAGCCATTTAAGCATCCATTGGCACAAGTGGTATTTACTAAGCATCTCTGGGCTGCCAGGCAGTGGGAAGTGCAAGGGACAAGGTGTTGTTCCTATGCTGTCGAGGGACTCACATTTTCCTAGGGGAGAGACCCAGGTAGACAAGGAAGCAAGGCTTTAACCGGAGTGTCAACAAAATGCCATGAGGGCCCAGAGGATGGGTGAGCGCTGGAGCTTGGCTTGGACAGGGAGGAGGGTTTACTTCAGGGAAAGGAGTGGGGTGGGGTGAAGTGGGGGTGAGACCGATGTTACAAGGCGTCGCCATGGCCTTCCTTCAAAGGCTGCAGAAACGGGCGTAGAACTCTGTGATATACAGCTGAAATTTGCCACGTATCTGCTTTGTCCTTGAGTCTGTTCAGAAGATCAGGGTTTCGGCCAGGCACGGCGGCTCACGCCTATAATCCCAGCAGTTTGGGATGCAGAAGTGGGCAGATCACTTGAGGCCAGGAGTTCAAGACCAGCCTGGCCAACACAGTGAAACCCCATCTCTACCAAAAATACACAAATTAGCCAGATGTGGTGGTGCACACCTATAATCCCAGCTACTCAAGAGGCTAAGGCAGGAAAATCACTTGAACCCAGGAGGCAGGAGTTGCAGTGAGCCAAGATCATGTGACTGCACTCCATCCTGGGCAACAGAGTGAGACTCCATCTCAAAAAAAAAAAAAAAAGAGCCAGGTTCTTAAGGGCTTCTTAGTCTGAGGTACAGGGAATACTGACTGTCATAAAACTCCACAAATTATATGTAGAAGTTTTCATGCATGTACATTTTCCTGGAGATTCCATACTTCAGTTTTTAAGGAGTGTGTGTCCCTAAAAGCACATAACTATTGTATCTGTGCAAGGCTGCTCCCCTCTGCCTGGGAAGCCATCTGTGGTGGTGCTGGTTGTCCCTGGACTGCTACCCAGAGACCCGGGCCTTGTTTGACCTTGGGAATGTTAAATCCCCATGCACCATTTTGTCCAAACAGCTCCCATTCTAGGCACCTAGAAAATATTGGTTGAAATGAACTGAATGCTTATCTAAGTTGTATTTTCATTTCTTCAACATACCCTGTATGACCAGTAAGAGCATCTTTACCCAACTCAATAACTGCCCCACTGGCATAAACGAGAAGGCGGGAGGCCTCCATGTGAAACCAGCAGGAAGTCTCCATGTTCCTGGTTGAGGTGCACCTCCCAACTCAACTAGAAAATGAACTTTTCTGGTAATCTTTGGGGAGTGACTAGTTCCCTCACACCTCACCAATAATGGAAAGCTGGAAAAGACTCATTGGAATAGACGCTTCCAAAAGACATCAGCAGAGTTTCTGAAAAGGCAGTAAAAGGGAAAGAAACAAAGAAATGAACATTGTTGATTACAAGGAAATTATTCTTGACATTTCACATAGCATAAAAAAAGAGGACCGTGCACAATAAATTAAACAATCTTCAGGCTCCCATTGCAAAGGGTCACTTTCAAATAACTTTCATTCCAGCTGTGTGTCTTTGGGCGAGTTCGTTAAATCTTCTTTTGGCCTCAACTTTCCCATCTTTGAGAGGTCAAGTCTCACATGGCTATGGTGAAAATCAAATGAGGTGAAGGATGTTGAAAGGACTTAGTAAAAGATCCAGTCTACACAAATCGGAGCTTCCATGGCCGTCATTAATACTGACCATCTTTGATAACTTTGCTGCAACCTATCTTGAAATCACTTGAGATGATAGTACTGCCTTCATGTCACCCACCGGCCACCAGGTGGACTCAGCTGCCCTGGCTTGGTGGCTGCATATCCAATTTCTCACTGCTTCCTAAGTGTCCTCCCGTCTCTAAGCCGCACCTTCAGAAGGGGAGAATGACTTTCCTGTAGAGGAAGACTGTTCCTCAGTCAGGTGGTCAGATGCAGTCCCCTTACCCTGTAACCTCTCTCCTCCCCTGTGTTTCAGGGCTCACTCATGGAGCTCATGGAAGTGGGCAGATGGCAGGTAGGGTAGAGGTTGGGGGTCGGGAGCTTTCCTCCTTCCCTAGGGCTCTGGCACAACTTCTCCTGTTCACCCCTTTCATGGAAGAGACATTTCCCCTGAAGTTCTACCCTTGAGTCTCCTGTCTCTTAACTCATGGTCTCCTGGGCAGTCTCATCTACTCTGTGACTCCGGCTCTTGCCCCCTAGGCCACTCTAAATGCCACCTCCTAATGTGCCCAGGGCTCCGAGGGAGTGCACGGTGCACAGCGGCCTCTCAGCAAATACCCCTGAAATGAATGCACCCTGGGCTTCCCATGCCTCCTTCTTGTCCCTGGACACACTGCACTCCCCCATGAGCTCCCTCAGATCCTTCCTCCCTTCCTTGCCCTCCCCAACTCCATGTTTCCCACCAGGGTTAACTCTGTCCTTGCCAAGCCCGATCCTGTGGGCCGTCACTCCATCCTCTTTCATGTTCCTCCCTTCAGTTTCTTTTTCCTCTGGTGACTTCTCGGCACCGATACTCTGCTCATCCATTCCTGGGCCCCCTGCTCTCGGGCCGCTCGGCACTTCTGGTAGACACAGCCCACCTGGTCTCCATTCCCAATGAGGCCATCTGCGGCTGCTCAGTATCTCCCATACCCTGTTCATCTCTCTCCTCCAAATGACCTGGCCTCCTGGCCTCCTTCTTAGTAAGTTAATGAAATTTCTCTCGCCACTCTTCCCTTCTTCCTTTGGGAACAGAGCGTGCATCTCCTTCTTCACTCAGGTGAGTCCCTCTGTCTGGCTCTGAATTCCATCCAATAGATCCAGGCTCTGGGGCTCCCAGTCATCCCCTCCTCCCGGTGTCTGTTGCTTCTTCTGTCACTGCCTCCTTCCCTTCAGCCTGTCCACCTGCTCTGTGGTTTCAGGTATTTGCACACACACCACAGCCAAAGGCACACACCTTTCTGGGACCCGGTTTAGTGTCAGGAAACCACCTTATCTCTTTGTGCTGCTTTCCATTGATTCAATGCATGTAAAGTGTTTAGAATAGATGATGGATATTAGTGAGCGACCATCATCATCATTGTAATTTTTGTAGCAAACATTCTTAAATGTTTGTCCAAGTTCACCACCTCCATTTCCTCCTCCTCCAAAAGCCCCTGAAATCTCAGAAGCCACAGCCTAGCTTTGATTCTGCCACACCCTGAAGGTATTCTGACTAAGATAATCACTGGCATCCCAGTCACCAAATCTAAAGGAGGATTTTGGCCCTCGTCATACTCTACCTCCCCATCAGCTTCAGATCCAGCTGGAGCCTCTCTCTTTTTTCCCTGAAATGCTCTCCACCTTCCTCAGATTGGGCAGCCCGTACCCACAGCTGACCCCACCCCCAAGCACAGCTGAGGCTCCTCCTCATCTCTCTGACCTTGAAAGTCAAGGTAATCCTTGGTCATCGTTGGAGTCATCAGGGCTCAGTCCTCTGAGCCCCTCTCTTTTCTGTCCTCACTCACCCCTACGGGACCTCATGCTGTTTCCTGGCTTTAGATATCATCTATATCCTGACCACTGGCAAATATACTCGCTGGCCCTGGCCTTCCCCTTGAATTCCAGACTGGTGCACCTGAGCTTCTCCTTGACATCTGCTGCTCTCGGACATTCAGTGGGCATCTGAAGCTCACCATGTTTGAATCAGACTTCTGATGTTTCCACCAAACCTGTTCTTCACATCTGTCTCCAATTTCAGTGAATTCTTCCAATTGCTTAAGTTTGGAGCGAACGTTCATTCCTCTCTACTTCTTACACCCCACATGAAACTACCTAGCAGATTATGTTGGTTGGCTTGAGAATCAGGTCACATTCTCCCCCCTATACTAACCCACCCTGCTCCAAGCCCCTATCAGCTTCTCCCAGCTCCCCACAATAGCCTTTTAATGATCCTCCTGCATCAGATCTAGCTCCCCTGCCCTCTCCCCTCTGCATTGCTATAGCCTTCTGTCAACATCAGTAAAATTAATATCAGTTTTGTCAGTTAAGTCAGCCACAGGGATCCTGTTACAATCAGATCATGTCATTCCTCTGAGCAAAACTCCCCCCTGGCCTCCAGCTCACTCCTTCCAGACCAAAGTCCTCATGACGTGCGAGGCTGTGAGTGGCCCTGTCATACTGACTCATCTCTTACTTCTCTTCCCCATTCCTTCTGTTCAAGCCAACTGCCCTATGCACTATGCCCTGAACACGCGACACACCCCTGCTTTGTGTCTGTGCACATTCTGTTCCTTCTGTTCCCGAAGGTATTTGCATGGCTCCCTCCCTGACTTCCTTCGACCCTTCATTCACACCTTCTTAGTGCATCCTTCTCTGGCCAGGGACACTATGATTTCACCCCTCCTCCCTTCACTACATAGCCACTTCTCCTCTTTGCTTTAAATATTCTTATACTAACACTTAATAGCTAACATTCTACGTGTTTTATTATTTATCTTGTATATTGTTGGTCTCCCCAGTGTCTTACTAGAATAGAAGCTTCATGATGCAGGGTTTTTTTTGACAGCTTTCCCACCCCAGAAATAGAAACAGAGCCCAACCCATAGTTGGAACTCAATAAATAGCTATACAATCAATAAGTGAAGATTCTTTTTAAAACCTTTTTCATATGCCCATCTTCTGCTCCATAGACTTTGGTGTCCCCTTATCTCATTGATATTTTCTTTAGGGTATTTTATCCATGCCCTGGGCTTCACCTGGAATGACACCATGTGATGGAGAGCAATATTGTCCCATAGCTTTTATTTCTTCCTGAAACCACACCCTTTTCAATACAACTTTGAAGCAGAAGCAGAATATACATTCTCCAGCCAACTGAAGATGGACTCAACTATGTGATTTGCTTTGGGAGTCTTAACAAACATGTGGAGCCTGAGTCCAGCCAAGCTTAGCAGCAATGAGCAGAGCCCCCACAGCTGACCATCTCACATGCTTCTGAGTTTGGGGAGGTAGTTTGTTATGCAGCAGTAGCTGACTGATACATATTTTAGTAACCCCCAGGTTCATTCCTGAGTCTAAGTCTCTATCCTGAGTTCAAGGTCCAAGTTCCACTTTTTAACTGCCTCCTGGACATGGGTCCTGAACATCTTGCAGGGATTTAGCAGCTGTCTTTCTCATCTTCCACCCCATTCCCAGCCAGCTCTGAATTAGCCAGGACACTTTAAATTATCAGGCAATTAATTGGCTCATTAAACTGGAAAGCCCAGTGGCAGGATAGACTTTGGGTCAGCAAATCCAGTGGCTCCATGCTGCCATCAGGGATCCAATTTGTTCCTGTCTGGCTGCTTGGCCTTCTATTGTGTTGGTTTCATTCCAAGGCTGGCTGCCTTCTTGGACCTAGGATGGCTGCTGTTGCAGCCTGGGCTTCTTTAAATACACACAATAGCCGGGAGGAGGTCTTCCCACAACTCTCAAGCTCAAATCTAGAGCTTTATGCTGGTTGGATCACCCTTGAAGTGAGCAGTGTGGCCAGGGGAATATCATTTGCTGAATGGCTCAGAACTGTGCTGTTTGAACCACATCAGGTGGATGGTGTCTGGCTCCTTGACAGAGACCTGTGGTGGGGTGGGGACCTGTAGAACTGGCATGGAGTCCATTGCCCCAAAGAACTCAGTTACTGAACAATGGGAGAGGAAGAAAGGATGTCAAGGAGACCCTGGCATCTGCCACATGTCCCTTCTGTAATTCCAATATTTATATGCTGTCTAGTGGTTGTTTTGGTTGGTGTTTTCCTAGCTCCTGGTCACTCTCTTGGTCACCAGGTCTAGGACTCTCTAGATACTCTCATATCTTTTTCTTTCTCTCTCCATTCTCACTGCCACTGCCTGTGTCAGTCCCCCATATCTCAATTACAATGAATAACTTATTGCAAAATGCTAATATGATATTATAGGAACATCAAGCAATACTGCTAAGTAAAAAGAAAAAGAGTGAATATCACCCACACTACCCAGAAATCACAGTTCACGTTTCGATATTTGTCCATTTGAATTATATTCTTCAAAGATTTTAATCAAACTGTATGACTGGGTTTAGAACAGCAGCCTTGTCTGGACCCTGCATGGAGTTAGGTGATTCCACACTTTCTAGAACCCTTTCTGGGTGTTGAGCTGGCAAATCCATCCATGTGCTTGTGGGTATTTGGGGACATTGAAGCGGATGCACAGCCATTTTTTTTTTTTTAATTTAAAGGAGGCTCAGGAGCTCAATAGGAAGTGCTGAAGCTTGGCCACAGAGATGTAGAGATGTGTCTGACCTGGAAGAGTTGGTGGGAAGGGGATAGAAGACAAACTGCCGAAGGATAGAGTGATTCCTGAGAGAAAAATCACATGAGTAAGAAGGCTGGTGGGGGGAGGTGTGAGGAAGCAGGGACATTTCAGGTATAGTGTGGGGGTACACTGGAACCTTTTCTGACCCAGTTTTCATTTTCCTTGAGGAAACAACTTCATGTCCTGAAAGTGCAAAACTGAAAGAGTTATTTTGGTAAGGTCCCCAACTCCCAACCCCTTCTCCCAGAGGAGATCCAATGGAGGAAAGAAATCAAACGAAAACATGTAACGATGAAAGCATTATCTGACCGGATGGAGAGAAAGATGAGAACCCAAGGTTGCCAGCAGCCACTGAGATGCGACTAGTTGACGGTGGCAGCAGAGGGTGGCAGAGGTACTACTATTACCATGAGCACTAGCGGGCAGATCGGGAGAAGGTAGGAAGTGCCGCAGATGGGCTGTCAAAGGTGGCTTCTCCAGCTCTAGGTGGACAGCTCTCTTCAACTGTGTCACCTCAAGTGGGAAGATAGTCCAGAGGGCCCAGTGATAAACAGCTAACATGATAACATGAGCCTTTCTTTCTTTCTTTCTCTCTTTCTTTCCTTCCTTCCTTCTTTCTCTCTTTTTCCTTCCTTCTTTCTTTCTTTCTCTCTCTCTTTCTTTCCCCTTCCTTCCTTCCTTCTTTCTTTCTTTCTCTTTCTTTCTTTCTTTCTTTCTTTCTTTCTTTCTTTCTTTCTTTCTTTCTTTCTTTCTTTCTTTCTCCTTCCCTCCCTCCCTCCCTCCCTCCCTCCCTCCCTCCCTTCCTTCCTTTCTTTCTTTTTTTTCTTCTTTTTCTTTTATTTGAGACGAAACCTCACTCTGTTGCCCAGGCTGGAGTGCAGTGGCATGATCTCGGCTCACTGCAACCTCTGCCTCCTGAGTTCAAGTGATTCTCCTGCCTCAGCCTCCTGAGTAGCTGGGATTACAGGCATGCACCACCACACCTGTCGAATTTTTGTACTTTTAGTAGAGATGGGTTTCACTATGTTGGTCAGGCTGGTCTCGAACTCCTGACCTCAGGCGATCCATCCACCTCGGCCTCCCAAAGTGCTGGGATTACAGGTGTGAGCCACCATGTCTGGCCCTAACATAAGCATTTCTAACAAACATAAAACAAAGATAGTCAACCCCCCAAATTCATACTCAATATACTGTCATACAAACTGAATCTTTTCAATTTAAAAGTGTTGAGAATATTTTATAGTCAATTTGAAACTTGAATAGAGAAGTTAGTGACCACGTGGTTCATATAATTTCGTATTTCTCGGTCCTTTCCTGTTGTAAAGAGCCATGACCCTTTACGCCAGCTCCACGCTGGTGATATATAGCACTCAATGAAACCAACACCTTATTGAACCATCAAATATGTCAAAAGGAAATTTAGAACAAGTGGCAGGAAAAGCTTCATAGCAGGAAAATCTTATGGGAACATAAAATTATTTCCCAAGGAAGTTGTTAAAAATCCATTATGCAAGCCATTTATAAATGTGTTATTTATCAACATCTTGCAAAAAAAAAAAAGTGAGACAGCACATTACCAGCAAAATTCTTATACTGGCAAGCTAGACCACATGCCTCAATAGCACCTTTTTTCAAGTCCACTGATGATTTAATTTATAGCATTCCTTTTTTTCACGTGATAAAGAATGTTATTTGCTTGCAATATGATATGTAATACCAAAATGAAACAGTTGCTTTCTGAGAATGAATATGGAAAGATATTTTTTGTTATCCCTCATAGCTCTCAATTCGTAAATCAGTGCAAAATACATGTGAAAAATCTGTGCAACTTCAAATAAATGTAATTTTTTAATAGTCAGATTAGTTATGCGAATATGTCCTTAGATGATACAAAATTGATTTATTGCTGATTAACATGATGTATTAATATTAACGGGGTTATTAGTACATATTAATTTAAAATGACCCAAGGGAAAGTTGGTTGGGAAGGAAGGCATCATAGGGAAAGCCTCTGGTTGGGGAGGACAATGGAGAAGGATGAGGTGGAAGAAATGGTGAGCAAAGGGCAAGTACAGTCTAGGATTGGGAGGGAATGGGTTTAGGGCATTTCATATAATAAAGATTCGTACTCAAGGCTGAATGAAGATGGTACCACTGAAGACCACTGGCAGAGATCTTTTAAAAATCTAAAATATGGCTGGATGCAGTGGCTCACGCCTATAATCCCAGCACTTTGAGAGGTGGGTGGATCACAAGGTCAGGAGTTCAAGACCAGCCTGGCCAAGATGGTGAAACCTCGTCTCTACTAAAAAATACAAAAATTAGCCGGGCATGGTAGTGGGCACCTGTAATCCCAGCTACTCGGGAGGCTGAGGCAGAGAATTACTTGAACCTGGGAGGTGGAGGTTGCAGTGAGCCGAGATCACGCCACTGCTCTCCAGCCTGGGCGACAGAGTGAGACTCCATCTCAAAAAAAAAAAAAAAAAGAAAAAGAAAAAAACCTACAATATGATTTTTAATGTGAGATCCCACCATAGAGGATAAATTAATTGGAAAAAATTCATTCATATGAGCCACCCTGATCTATGCTTCAGGGATATCTCTATACGTGCCTAAGGCCTAAATAACACAATGCACTTTTAGACATCAAAGTCTGAGAAAAAAAAAATGGTGTGTGGAGCCCACAAGATATCAACTACCAAGTTTCTAATTTACAGAGCAGCCTGAAAGGATCAGAGAACATTCTGTAACCATGTCTGAAGTGACCACTGTAAAGTTCTTCAAGCTATGGAAAATATTGAAGTCAAATATTTACAGTACTGAAGGGCCCACATGCAATGGAAAATAACCCCCAAATTAAGAACATCTGGGGGAAAAGTCTAACGAGAGCCAAGCAATGAAAGCAGCAATAAAGATGCAGAATGCATTCGTGGAAGGCTCATGAAGAAGGGAGCCTTTTTTTCTTTTTCTTTTTCTTTTTTGTTCTGTTTTTTAGGTAATGAGGCTACCTTCCTGTGGTGAGCTTCAGGGAAGTGATTTGATTCTGTCTGACTGAGTTTACAAGCTGCCAAACGAAAAAATTGCTACTTCCCATTTCATGAAATACAGTAATTACTGATGTATAGAACTTGTAGACGATCTTAGACATTAAAACACTGGAGAAGTAAAACATATGCATATATAATTATCTAGGATCAATCAATTGAGGAATGTTTTATCTGGGTTATAGAAAAACAAGAAAGGGAGACAATTTAAAGAGAAGAAGAAAAATATTGGCTTTGCTGTAGTCAAGTCCTGGATCCATGTGTTACTTATCATTATTTTAGGCCAGTTGCCTAAACCTCTCCCAGCCTCAGTTTGCACATCTTTAAAATGGGACTCTGATAAAGATTAATTGACAGAATTGCCAGGCATCGTGGCTCATGCCTGTAATCCCAGCACTTTGGGAGGTCAAGGCGGGTGGATCACTTGAAGCCAGGGGTTTGAGACCAGCCTGGTCAACGTGGTGAAATCTCATCTCTACTAATATTCAAAAATCAGCCAGGCTTGGTGGCTCATGCCTGTAATCCCAGTACTTTGGGAGGCCATGGCAGGTGGATCACTTGAGTCCAGGGGTTTGAAACCAGCCTGGTCAACACGGGTGAAATCTCATCTCTACTAATATACAAAGATTCGCCAGGCTTGGTGGAACGTGCCTGTAACCCAGCTACTCTGGAGGCTGAAGCATAAGAATCGCTTGAACTTGGGAGGTGGAGGTTTCAGTGAGCAGAGATTGCACCACTGCTCTCCAGCCTGGGTGACAGAGCAAGACTGTCAAAAAAAAAAAAAAAAAGATTCATTGACAGAATGCAGATGAGGCACACAGCCTATAGAAAGTGCAGACCACCTGGTGTTTGCCATTACTATTATTGTCATTGTGTTGTTGTTATTGTTGTAAGTGTTGTTATTACATTTTTACTTAGGGAAGCAAGGTGTCAGAAGGAGGTTAAGATTCTATCAAACAATAGTGGCCTAATGAAAAGGACTTATAAATTTTTAAGGGTTGAAACTCTCTTGGAAGCCACATAAAATAATGGGGTGAAGTATTTTTTTTCCTTTGATGAGAACAGTTGCATGAATGCACAGGAATGCCCCTGGGGTATGTTAAGATGCTCTCATGTTGAATGTACTTGGGGGGGGGGGCGGGGAAATTAATAAAACCCAATATGAATGAACAAGGCCTCACTCCCCAAGTTTCCTCTAATCTGATATTTATAATAGGACATCATACAAGGGTAGATTCTCACAGCTGCTGTCTAGCTTAATACAAATGGTTTTGAAGTCTTGGATGCCCTTGGATGTGTGTTATTTATACTGTGCATGGTATACTCATTTAGCATTTCCACCTTGAAAACCTCCTGTTACTTAGGCATCGAGAAAACTTTGAAGTTAAGAAAGTTATAAACTTCAAAAGATTGTTATTGGTTGAGTGTACAGGATTATGGTAGGGAATCAGAAGAGGACAAAAGAATCCAGTGGTATTCAAATCATGTTAGAGACCGTTTGATGTCTGCCTGCTGTTTAGGGGCTCAATAGCAAATTGCAAAGAGCTCCTAATCATAGGTATGGTCTAAGTGCCTATTAGAATGCCTTGAGCAGTTAACAGTAGCAGCAAAAGTCTATTAAAAAAAAAAGTCAGAAACATCCAAATTTGTTGTTGGTCAAACAGGTTGGCTTAGTTACTGGCATTGTCAATGACACCAGTGGCTAAAAAACCATGATATATAATGATACGATAGAATACATATAATCATCCTTTCAGAACTGCAAGGGATGGAAGGAGATACCATGTCTGTTCAATGCCTGATGCAAAGCTAATGACTAATTCAAGTTCTTTTTGTTTTTCCTCTTCTTCCCTTCCCAGAAAACCAAATAAGTGTCCCAGTGACATTTTGCCACGGATGTTCCCACTGTTGGAATTACTGTCAACGATACGTGTTTAGTGGGTGAGGACCCAGTTTTCTTCCTGACCTGTAGGAGGGATGGAGGAAGATGGCTCTGGGTGCGGGCAGACATGTGATGGTCAAACCCTGAGGAGGAGGAACTTTCTATGCCTGGGACTGCATCAAAGCCCCTGAGTTACCAGTGATTGTGCATTCCTCTGGAATCCCTCTTTTTTCTGAACCCCAGGTCTTAGAATGGCTGCTCATAATCTAGAACAGGGTGGGACAATCAATAGCACATTTGCACCTCATAGGCCTGAAGATGTAAGTTCAGGGCCCCGTGTTGAGAAGAATCGTAAAGCTCAGTTGGAAAGCAAGCCATGATCAATTAGTGATGCCATTTAGAACTGGGTTTTCATCCACTAAACAAGTAACATTGACAGCAATTCCAACAGTGGAAACATCCATGGCAAAATGTCACTGGGACCCTTATTTGGTTTTCTGGGAAAGGAAGAAGAGGAAAAATAAAAAGAACTTGAATTAGTCACCTGCTTTTCATCAGACATTGAACAGGCACTTTCAGACATGGTATCTCCTTCCCTGCCTTGCAGTAATCAATTATGGAGAAATCAATTAGTGATGTCTGCCACAGGCTAGGGCTAAAGGAAGGCAGCACACGCCAGCTTGTGAGAATTCCTTTCCCTAGTGCAAGGTTTGGTTCAAATACCATCTTACAACCATATCCCAAGATTTAGAATTAAAGCAATATATGAGCTAAAGGGTAATGAGATCATCCCTATCATTGTTTCTATAATGTAGGCAGTTAATTTACTATACTACCTTATATTATAATTTTTTCTTATTCTTACCACCAGATTCTAAGCTCCTTGAAGGCAGGCACTTCTTCTAAATCATCCTTACGTAGCCATGATTCCCCCTCCCTCTCTCTCACTTCCAACTCTAATGCATGCATTCAGGCTTTCTTCTGGTGACACATTCAAAAAATGTTTGCTGAGCCCCTATTAGGGACTAGAAGTGACAACAAGAGGACAAGGCTCAGCTCCGTGGACCTTGCGGCTCGGCACAAGGCAGGTGCCCCGAAGCTCTGCTGCTAAATCTGCCTGCTGGACTCATGGCATCCTACTCCTAAGGCCTGGCCAGTGGTGACTTGGGCTGTGGCCGAAGCTGAGTGAGCATTAGGGACCAGCACTGGGTGTAGAGCAGCCTTCCGTGGCAGGGCCTTAGTGAGAGGAACTCAGAAGAGATGCTAGCAGAAGGTGGGAGGTGATTGAAATGCCAGAGACTCAGGGGGTCCCAGGGACTAGTTTGCTAGCAGAGGTGGTTGCATTTTCTCAAATTTCTACAAGTTTCTGGAGTAAGCTTGGAAAGCCAGGCAGCTTCTGATGAGTAAGCAGAGGCTGCCACCGCACAATGTGGGGACTCTAACTCCCGCCGGTCAGCGCAGAGGGAATGCCCGTCTGTCCTGCGGTGCAATGATCAAAGGCTTCCTTCATGGAATTCTCCCCCTGCATTCCTGCTTTCTTGTGAGAATTAGTTAGACATTTCACCTTAACTTCACTTATCGGAAAAATTGAAAGGATAAGACTAAATTATTTTGTATCTATTGAGCTAATGTTTGCATTTCTAACTTCCTAAATCGTCTTACCTAGGCTGCTTGAAAGAAGTGTGTCCTAGACTTAGAATAATGTTTAATTTTTAGAAGATGCCATTCTCTTTCCATGGAAGGTCAGTAATTCCAAAGAAGTCAATATAACATTATCCAGTCCTTCTGTTAACATTTTGATTGCTTTCTTTGTCAGAGTCTTCTTGTCTCAATGGTGAAAGGTATAAACGTTTCAACAGCTGTGGAAGAAATGTTTATTACCCTTCAGTTAGGCAAAGAGATCCGTCTTCCCCAAAACAATGCTTGGGGTTAAAGACTTGCCTCCCCTTTGCAATTTAGTTTGCACCTTTATTTCTGAGAATGACTTCAATTCAGGCAGTTGATAAATCAAGGATCTGACTACAAGAAAACCCCCTCCTTCTTGTCCTCTGTGGCCAAAAAGGATGGTGTTCTGGTTTGTGGTGGTTGTTTTGGGAATGAGTGTTGTTTGATTTTCCTGTAGAGGTTTCTCAAAGAAGCTGACTTGATTTTTCCAGGTGCCCCAGTCTGTTACATCACTCCAAGGCATCAAGAACAGCTCAAAACCTCTATACTGCTGGAGATGGCAAGTTAGGGTAGAAATCCCCCTGGTAGAAAATCAAATAGCTTCAGGTTCCTTGAGGTTCTCACCTTTTGCCTCAATCTTCTTTACCTGTTAGTTCCTTCCAGTATGGGAAAACCCCTGGAGACACTGCAATGCCAGTGGCACCAGGAGACCCCATGTGAGGGCCATTCTCATTAGGAGCAGTCAGACCCCCTTGGCAGTGCCACTTTCATCCCGTATCCCATGCTTGGAATCCTTCCAGTCTCCCCAGTGTCAGTGGGACAAAGTGGAAACACTAGAGTCCTCCCTGGGAAGGCACAGGTGACTCCAGCCAAGTGCTCTCTCTCCCACCTTCCAGCCTCTCTGGTAGACATGTCCTGTTCCTGGCGACCTCGGGCATCTGGGCTTTCCATGTTCTGTGCTGGCAATGGCCTCCAGTGGCCTCCGGGGCCCTGCCCTGTGAACATCTCTGACTATGACCCACACTGCAGAGCCCAGCCTCTGTCACACACTGAATGGCCCAACCACCTGTGCACACACTTTTTCTGCACCTCCCTAAGTTAATTATTATGTACTCCATAAAGGGATCTTGGAGATCATGTAGTCTGACACCCCATTTAGTAGGCAAGAATATCGAGACTTAACAGGCAAAAGAGTTAATTCACATAGAACCCAAGGGTCCTGGTGTATACTTGAGCAGTACATACACTAAAATTGGAACAATGCAGAGAAGATGAGCACGGCCCCTGCACAGGATAACATACAAATTCATGAAGCATTCCATCTTTTTATGTTTATTCCAATAATGTTCATGATAGCAAAGTCAGGAAATCAACCTAAGTGTCCATTAATAGATGAGTGGATAAAGAATATGCGGGGCCGGGCGCAGTGGCTCATGCCTGTAATCCCAGCACTTTGGGAGGCTGAGGCAGGTGGATCACCTGAGGTCAGGAGTTTGAGATCAGCCCGGCCAACATGGCGAAACTCCTTCTAAAAATAGAAAGAAAATTAGCCGGGTGTGGTGGTGCACACCTGTAGTCCCAGCTACTTGGGAAGCCGAGGCATGAGAATGGCGTGAACCCGGAAGTGGAGGTTGCAGTGAGCTGAGATTGCACCACTGTACTCCAGCCTGGGTGACAGAGCGAGACTGTCTCAAAAAAAAAAAAAAAAAGGAAAAAGAAAAAGAATATGTGGTGTATATATTCAGCCATAAAAGAGAATGGAATCATGTGTTTTGCAGCAACATGGATGGAACTGGAGGCCATTCTCCTAAGTGAAATAACTCAGAAACAGAAAGTCAAATATCATATGTTCTCACTTAGAAGTGGGAGCTAAACAGTGGGCCCGCATGGACATACAGGGGAATCCTTGGAGACTTCAGAAGGTGGGGAGGATGGGAAGTCGGTAAGGGCTGAAAAATTACCTGTTGGGACCAGTGTTCATTATTTGGGCAGTGGGTACACTAAAAGCCTAGACGTTACCACTATGCAACGTAGACATGTAACAGAACTACCTTCCTACCCCCGAGATCCATAAGAATAAAAAAAATACAGTGGGGAAAAAAGGAGCCCCAGGGTCATTTCTACTACACTGCATTGTCTTTTATTTTGTTGTCTTATCAGCCTTTTTTTTTTTTTTTTTTTGAGATGAAGTCTCACTCTGTTGCCCAGGCTGGAGTGCAGTGGTGTGATCTTGGCTCACTGCAACCTCCGCCTCCCAGGCTCAAGCGATTCTCCTGCCTCAGCCTCCTGAGTACCTGGGATTATAGGCGCATGCCACTACCCTGCCACTAATTTTTATATTTTTAGTGGAGACAGAGTTTCACTGTGTTGACCAGGCTGGTCTTGAACTCCTGACTTCAAATGATCCACCCACCTCATCCTCCCAAAGTGCTGGGATTACCTGCATGAGACACCACACCCGGCCCTCTTATCAGCTTTTGTTGCCCATCTGTGAATCTGTCTGATTTCTCCAACCAGATTCTCAGCCCTTTGAGAATAACTATGTCTTGTTTCCTTTGTGCTACTACTTATTTCCTTTGTAACAGTCAGCAGAGCCTGCAAAGAAAGATCCTCTGGCTGAATTGATGGATAACAGCTGTGTGCTTTATAAAACAGCAAATCACCAGGACACCCATCTTGGAGACTGTTGTGACACTCAGAACAGGGGCTGTTGAGCTGCTGATACCGGAAAGCAAATCGTGCCTTATCATAGAGCAGACCTGCTGGACAGAGATGGAGCGGTCACTTGGTCCAGTGTTGTAATTGTTCAGTGCAGACGCCGAAGCCCAGCATGCTGAGGTCATACAGGTATCTGGTACTGAAACCGGAATTGGAACAATGTCCTGCCCTGCGTTTGTCACTTCAATGCCCCCCAGTTTTCCTGGACAAAGGTTTGCATGAATAGGAGCTGAGGGAGGTAAGGAGGAAGGCAGAGAAGCTGCTGCACTGAACAGAAGTCAGGGTGCTGTGCCTCTGCGTGTGTTCCTGCAGCAGGACCCAGCAACCGAGGCCAAGGAGGCTCCCAAACTTCTCCAGTGTCTTTCCCAAGCTTCTGCTCTTCTTTCTCTTTTCAGCTAACCTCCAGGCTCTCTATCTTTTTGTCCTTAGGCTATAGTCTCTGATTAAGATATACTCGCTTCCCGCTTAATGGAACTCATCACATCAGGTCCTACCTGTCCCCAGAACTCCCTTTTCAATTACAGAAAACGGCCCGCTGATCTTGGAAAGGGCTGGCAGGCGAGGGACCCTCCTCAGACTCATTGATTCTTTTGGTCCTGCTTTTCCAAAACTGCTCCCATTTCTGTCTCTGCCTTCTGTCTCTGTCAAACAACCACTGTCAACAGTTCTTTAAACCAAAAATCATTGCTCAGGAAGCAAATTTGTTTGCGGGAAGAATGACAGTCTGTCGCCGTGCAGAGGGTGGCGTTCATGACGGTGCTTGAAGGAGTTCACAGGTTAGGCCAGACAAAGCCCAGCGCGTTCATCAGGCAGCTTGAGCACGGGTTGTCTTTCGCCTTCTTGCTGGTTTGACATCGTGGGTAAAACCTGGTCATTTTTCCAGAAGGATTCTGAAGAGATTGTGTAAATTGAAGAAATGGCTTGCTCTTGTTAGGAAAGCAAAGCCAACTTTTGAGATATTCAGGGAATGTGAGGTCTAGTGGACTCTTTTACTGCCAAGTTTCTTATCATGAGAAACCGCTCTCAGCTCCTTAGTGGAAGGAAATGAAATGTATGCAAAGCATTATCGGCTTACTCAGATAACTGCACCAGCGTAAACCAGGTTGTGACTAATTTGCAAACTTAGTGCAGGGAAGGTCCTTAGACGTGATTCTGGAATTGCCAACCCTATGAGCTTCCACAGATGCTATGGGCCACTTTTAGAGCCCACGGATTCAGCATGTGGCTGTTGGGAACAGGCTTTGCTATGAAAATCAGTGATGGCTTATAATGCCTCTAACTGCCATATATGTTTTCACAGGATTATTATTTATGATCTCAATTAATATTTCCATCTGATTAGCAGTGAAACAAACCAGGATGTGAGGAAATGGGAACTTAATTAAAGGTTGCTGCCCAGTCAGGGTGGCATTCCAGATCATGGATCCTGTTATGTAGGAGGGACGCCCAAATTCGCCCTGAGCATGCCTCCCTTCCTCTTCTCATGCAGCCTCTAACTCGGGGTGTCTCTTGCAATGCCACTTAGAATAGTTTCGCCGAAGATGTAGGTGATTAATCAAGGCCCCGGGTGTCACAATGGCCCATTGTCCCAGAAGGCATTCCTTTGGCCGGCTTCTGACCTTTTCTCTTGGGGCAAGTGTGCATTTTCCCAAACTCTTAATGGACAAGAACTCACAGACAATGGCCCTGCATGTAACTTTCATTTGCAGGATGGAACAGAGAATGTTCGGGTTGCTGGAAGGAGGGAAAAGGGCATGCATTAACTCAATCTTTGTATTCTCATCAAAAAACAGACACGTATTTTGAAGAGGACAGCTTTCCACTCGGTTTTTTATATTTAAAAGAATCAATTGTTCATAAGCCCATCGTGATAATATTAAAGGAAATTAAAATAAAAGACTCACTCACAGTCCTATCACTCTGACACTCTGGAAATCTAATTATTTCCGTTTACCGTGTTTCCCTCTAATCTTGTCCATATACAAAGTTTTTACTCAGTTGTCATCAAAGCTCCCCTGGCTTTTAAAAGAATTACATTGTGATGGAGATATCTCTTTTAGATAGTTACGTACCATTATTAAAGATTCAAAATATCATTAATTTCCGTCAAGCTCTATTATGTTTATCATCTATCACTGTGTCAGCACACTAATCACCTCCTCAGCTGCCTCAGGACTGCAGCTTAACTATTTACTTTTAATAGAAATCGGACCACTGCAGCCTTTCTCTGCACCAACAAAGACATGCCATTTCATGAGCTGTTGATCCCTTGAAGCAAGTGAAGTCCTTTAATGGTCTCCTACATGGTCGAGATTTTTTTTAGATGATGAAAATGAAAGGTCACAGAAGTCTGTGGAAACAAAGAGATTCATCCCTATTCTCCTGTAGTCCCTGGATGATGAGCAATTGTGGACAGCAGCCAGCCTTTACACAGTAGTGTGGAGAATTCTGCAGGAGGGATGCTTCCTCCAACCCTGTGTCCCCAGGCTTGGCTGACAGCTGCCCAGGCAGCTGAGATGAGGGAATTGGCTCAGGTTACCCTGAAGGTGCAAGCTTGGACCCTGGCTCTTTCTACATGCACGGTCCTATCCCTGTAAGAAAGCATGAGAATAGGGGCTTTGGAATCAGATACTCTGGGTTCAAGTTCAGACTTTCACATTTACTTAATATGTGATATCAGGTAAGTTATGTGACCTTCCTCATTCTTGTTTCTTCATATTTGAAATAGAAATTATATTGCTCATTCATTCAATAGATATTGATTGGGCACAGTTCTAGATACTGGGAATATAACGGAGTTTACAGATGAGGAATGGGGAGGGGGTACAGATGCTGATCTAATTGTCATCCTGTGAACTGCAAGTGCATTCATTAAGGAACAGAATACCATGCTATGAGAGCCCATTAAGAGGGAACTTGAACTTGTTAGGCACGTCAGAGAATGAGTTCACCAGCTGGGGACTGGAGGGAACAGCATTCCCATTACAGGGAACAGAAAGTAGATAGTCTCTATACTAAGAGGAAGCATTGTCACCAAAGGTTCCACAGAAGTAGGGGGGCCAAGAAGCACAGGGGCCAACGGAGATGTGGCGAAGGGGTAGGAGCCGTGGTCCCTGTTAAGAATTCCCTCCCTGTGATGGTGAATTTTAGGTGTCGACTGCATTAAGGGTTGCCCAGCTAGCTGGTTAAGTGTCATCTCTGGATATGCCTGTGAAGGTGTTTGCAGAAGAGGTTGGTGTTTGAATCAGTAACTGAGTAAGGAAGGTCCACCTTCACCCAATGTAGGTGGTCACCATCCAATGGGTTGAGGGTTCAGATAGAGCAAAACACACACACACACACACACACACACACACACACACACACACACACAACGCAAAGGAAAGAAGAATCTCTTCTCTCTCTTTTGGAGCTGGGACAACCTTCTTCTCCTGCTCTCCTGCTCTTGGACATCAGAATTCCAGGCTCTCCAGCCTTCACACTTCAGGATTTTCACCAGTGGTCCTGGTTCTAAGGTGGTTGGCCTCAGACTGAGAGTTACCCTTACCCCAACAGCCGACTGATTCTCAGGCCTTCAGACTTAGATTGAGCTATGCTCCTGGCTTTCCTGGTTCCCAAGCTGGCAGAAGGCCTATTGTGGAACCTCTCAGCCTCCATAATTGTGTGAGCCAAGTCCCCTATTAAATACCTTCTCATATATCTATTTTTGTATCTGTCTATGTATCAATCAATCTATCTACCCATCTATCTATTTATCCATCTATTTATCTTTTCTGCCCTAACACATCCCCTAAGAGCAAAGAGAAGCCATGGAGGGTGTAGCAGTGCCTGCTATAACGAGACACGGGCACTGAAATGTCTCTCTCACTGCAGCTTGAAGCTGGTATTCCCGGTGAGTTGGAGCAGATGCAGGAAGACCAGTGGGTCTCCAGGGAATTCACCTGGTTTCCTCTCTATTCGAATCTGGCAGCTGGCTTAGTTCTTGGGATAGCGTTAGTGCTGAATAAATATTTGTTTCAGTGAATGAATGATCTAAACTGATGATTGTGGAGATGGGGAGACTTAGACGGATTTTAGGCATACTTAGGAGAGAAGGTTGACATTTGTTGCTGCCTGGTCTGGGGAGGTCACCATCCAGGCACCCTTGCTGATTGTGGTTGGGACTCCATGTCTGGGTTCAACTTCACAGTGACCTCAGCCGGGACGACTGGAGCCCGTTGGCTCTGCCCATGGTTTCCATATAGAAGATTAAATTTTCTCTCATATTTCCCTCCTGGCCTTTTATTTCTGCCTCCCGCATTCCCCAGTGTTCCCCAGTTGTATCCTAGTCAATTTAGAATTAACACCCACTAATGAAAAAAACAAAAAACAAAAAACCCAGAAGTGGCATGTTGTTTAAATTCCATATCCCTCTGCCTGATATGTTTAACCTTAATATTGTATAAGTTCATTCCTAAGACCATGAACTCTTTCTTAATGAATTGTCGTGTATTTCATGGACAATGTAAACCACGCAGTACGTATTCATTGCTGAGTAATGATATATTCAGCCTTGCAGGTTCATCCTCAGTCAATATCTTGGACCATTCTGTAAGCATCATTGTCTCCAGAATATTCAGTTTGAGCCTTTGCTCAGTCTCCAAAACGTTCTCCGTTGTTGGCTACATTCCAGAAAACACATTTGCCCCACATAATAACAATAATAATAACAATAACAATAATAACATCAGCAGCAGCTGAAAACTATGTAGTGCTTCCCATATGCCAGGCACTGTTCTGAGTGCTTATTTCACAGAAACATACCTTCTACACTAATCCTCCTGCAAGGTTATTGAGTTGTACGAAAGAATTAGCTCAAGAGGGCTTTACAAAACACATCCATACTATGTACAAACACTATATATTTGATAAGACACTATCAATAGAAAATGAGCCTAAACACTATTTACTTAAATATATGTTTAAAGTCCTTCTGTTTGGTTTGTAATATTAAAGTGTTTTTTCTATAAATGGTACATTCCTTCATTTAAAAATTAAAACACTTAGGGCTGGGCATGGTGGCTCACGCCTGTAATCCCAGCACTTTGGGAGGCCGAGGCGGGCGGATCATGAGGTCAAGAGATCGAGACCATCCTGGCCAACATGGTGAAACCCCATCTCTACTAAAAATACAAAAAATTAGCCAGGCATGGTGGCACGCGCCTGTAATCCCAGCTACTTGTGAGGCTGAGGCAGAAGAATCGCTTGAACCCGGGAGGCAGAGGTTGCAGTGAGCCGAGATCGTGCCATTGCACTCCAGCCTGGGCAAAAACAGCGAAAGTCCGTCTCAAAAAATAATAATAATAAATAAATAAAATATTTACAGTAAAGGATTCTATAATATTTTCTGTTTTGAAGAGCCTGAACTCAGGTGGAGATGCACAGGTAATGGACCTAGCCCCGAAGACTGGTGGCATCTCAGGGCTGTCCCATCCGACCGACGATGATGAAGGAATGTGTGATAAAGCTGAAGACTGTTAACGATTTTACAGTGTTTCCACTCTTTACTTTTAACTGTGCTATAAAAATTCATTTCCCTACTGGAACTTGGCTCTGCAGGTTTAAGTTTGAAAGGCTAAAGTCACATCAAGCCATATTTCTCCCCAAGTGGAAAATAATAGACTACTTGATGTAGAGTGGATCTATGATGAAGAATGAGAGTGTGAGAAGAAAAGAAACTCTTTTAAGCAAATGAAAGTAAGACTTTGGTTTTTATTTGGAATTCCTAGAGCACTCTTTTGATGTTTAAAAATTGCCTGCCAAAATCTCGTGGTTTATATGCAGGTAATGGACATCTTCACTCTGGTTTTGACATTTAAGAGGGTCTCGTCCTAAAAGGCAGAATCTTAATAGAAACACACTATGGGTTAAAAAAATAAAATATGGGAATCCACTGTTTTCTTACTTAAAGTAGTTATGATATCTGGCAATTCCCATTAGTTCTGAGCACCAACCGCTACACCCCCTCTCCACCCCAGCCACACACACATCCCAAGGGCCAGAGATGTTGAATCTAACTACTTCTTCTCTACTCTAATGGGTGGGTGGATCGGGTAGGCATTTGTTCACCTTGGGTCTGTGTTCACATACTTGATTCATTTTATATTATAGTGTACACTTGCCTGAGTTTCTACATGGTCTTTTAACTGTTTTGTTCAGTTCGTTCAACGTGATTCAATCACATTGAAGTACCAGAATTTGCTCATCTATTTCTTTGTTATTCAACATTTGAGTTGTTCCTATTTTTTTCTCTAACAGATATCACGGCAACAATTAATTTTTAAATATAAATTATAGCTTCTTTTTTTTTTTTTTAAGATGGAATCTCACACTGTCTCCCAGGCTAGAGTGCAGTGGCACTGTCTTGGCTCACTGCAACCTCTGCCTCCCAGGATCAAGCAACTCTCCTGCCTCAGCCTCTCCGAGTAGCTGGGACTACAGGCGCATGCCACCACATCCAGCTAATTTTTGTATTTTTAGTAGAGACGGGGTTTCACCATGTTGGCCAGGCCGGTCTCTAACTCCTGACCTCAGATGACCCACTTGCCTTGGCCTCCCAAGGTGCTGGGATTACAGGCGTGACCACCATGCCCGGCCAATTATAGCTTCTATTTAATTATTTCTTTAATCATTCCTGCTAGATAAATTTCTAAATGTGGGAAAACAAGGTTAAAAAATTTAGTTGCCAAAGCACAGTGATCTAAAAAAGTTTGTATTAATGTACAATGCTATCAACTGTGTATTACATACACACAGATGCACACACACATCTATGTATATATTAGTTTTATCCCAACTTCACCACCAACAGATGTTATTATTTAAACTATTTTCTGATTTAAGTTTTAAAAGTTCACATATGCTGTTATGTTAATTTTTATCTTATGTTATTTTATATTTTATTTTACGTTATTTTTATCTTACTTTATGTTTATTCAAGTGCTGGTTTATTATTTTTATCTGCTTATATGTGTATATTTTTTGTAGTTGGCCTTGACTCATTTTTTTTATGAAGGTCTTAAGTCTTTCCAAATATGCATGAGTATTTTCAAAGGTTATTATCAATATTAATCATATTTGTTGACATAATTCAGGTAAATATTTTATCTTACATGTCTCCTCCTACATTTTAGTCTAGTTCTTTTTATTTTAATCAGTGCAGTCAAAATTTTCAACATTGCATTGCCCATCAGTCTGCTTTACATTTCCTTGAATTTTGAAAAAAAATATTTATTATTTCTTGCAAGGTAGGATATTTTCTGCTGATTTTTCTCTACAAATATATTTGTAATGATGAAACAACCTTCTTTATTCAGGGATTATGGTGTAAAGTATGGATATAAATTAGGTTTTCTCCAAATTGCTCCCTGATTATCCCAACATTATTTATATTACAATTCCTTATCCTTTTGTTTTGAGAAGATTGCATAATAATATATTATTCTGGGTCTATTCTGCCATGCCTATTCTATCCTTTCATCTTTATTTTCATTTCTTTGCAATTCTACTTGGCATTTTATTGCCATGGGAGCTAATATTATGTTTTTTAAAAAGGCTAAGGTTTATTTTCTTCTACTTGGAATATTTGTTAACATACCCACACAGGGAAGACTATGTGTTTTGTGGAACACAAAACTTACACCGTATGAGTGCCCTCTTAAGAAAAACAAGACAAAATAATTAATACAAAACATCCAAGCTCCCTCTGTGAAAGAGAGCAAATGAGGGGCCCTGAAACCTCTGTGTCCTTAGCTTCGTGGCAAATTCACCTCTATTTTATTTTTGCTGAATGAATTTAACAATATTTGGCTGAGTTATTTTAAAAAAAGGTCTTTATTTATATTTCAGTTGGAATCACGTTATATCTGTGAAATAGAACACGATGTTTCTCTACTTTATTTGTCTTCTTTTTATACTCCTGATAACACATTCTAATTTCGCTCATTCATCCAGCAGCAATTTATTGAGTACCTCTTCAATAACTTTGCAAGGATTTTTTTTTTTTTTTTTTTTTTTTTAGATGAAACCTCACTCTGTTGCCCAAGCTGGAGTGCAGTGGCGCGGTTTTGGCTCACTGCAACCTCCACCTCCTGGGTTCAAACAACTCTCCTGCCTTAGCCCCGCTGAGTAGCTGGGATTACAGGCACACGCCACCATGCCCGGCTAATTTCTGTATTTTTAGTAGAGACGGGGTTTCGTTATGTTGGCCAAACTGCTCACGAACTCCTGACCTTGTGATCCGTCCGCCTCGGCCTCCCAAAGTGCTGGGATTACAGACGTGAGCCACCGCGCCCAGCCGCGAGGTTTTTAATAATGATGATATGCAATTCTGTTTATTATGATTTCAGATTCTTGAATGTTTTATAAACGGGATCTTGAATTTCACAATGGTTTTGTTTGTTTCATATAATTAATGACTTTGCTACTCTTTGTATATTTTTCTTATATACAGAGGGGTCTTCTTCTTCAGAGGGTTTTTTTTTAAATTCTGTTTATGTTTTCAGTAAGTTTGTCTTTTAGACTTTTTGGGGGTGGAGTCCAGTCATCTTAAACTAATCATATTTTTAAAAATCTAAGTGTCTCTGCTTTTCCACAGTTCCCCATTACCCGTTTTGAAAATTTTTAAAAACTATATTTTTAATTGTTATAACAAAAAAGTAACATAAAATTTGCCATCTTACCATTTTTAAGCATATAGTTCAGTAGCATTAAGCGTTCCTGCGATATTGTTGTGCAACAGATCTCCAGAACTTGTGCGTCTTGCAGAACTGAAACTCTGTCCCCATTAAACGACCCCTCCCCATCCCTTCAGCCCCTGGGAGCCCCCACTCTGCGCCTGTCTTCATGAATTGGACTGCTCTAGGGACCCCATGTAAGTGGAATCATACCGCATTTCTGTTTTGTGACTGGCTTATTTCACTGCGTGTGATGTCCTCAGGGTTTATCCACGTTGTAGCAGGGGTCTGGATCTCCTTCCTTTTTAAGGCTGGATAATATTCCCCTCCATGTGTGTATATTGTATTTTGTTTATCAACCTGTTGCCGCATCCCCATTGCCCTTTGACGGACCCCGACTCCTCTCCCTGCACAGCCCAGTCTCCTCTCTCCTGGCTTCATCCTGGTTTGTCCTCCCCCGTCTAGCGCTGCATCCTCACTGCTTTCTTCCTGTCCCTCAGAAGATGCCAAGTGTGTTCCTACTCCAGGAACTTTGCTAGCACTTTCCCTCCACCCTTGATGTTCTTCCCCCAACTTTCAAAGGGCTGGCTCCTCTCAGCATTCAGGTCTCATTTCCAATATCACTTCCTCGCAGAGGCCTGTTTACTACTTAAATAGAGGCTCAATCTCTGCCGCTTTCTGCCATGCTACCTTTAAAACCCGTATTCATTACATTTACCATGACCTGCCATTCACCTGCTTATTTATTCCTGCAAACCTTGTTTCTGTCCCTCCATAGGTGTATTAATCTGTTCTCACATTGCTGTAAAGAACTACCTGACACTGGGTAATTTGTGAAGAGAAGAGGTTTAACTGACTCACAGTCCCACAGGCTGTACAGGAAGCATGGCTGGAAGGCCTCAGGAAACTTAAAATCATGGCCAAAGGCAAAGGGGAAGCCATCACGTCTTCACATGTTGGAGCTGGAGGAAGAGAGCAAAGGGGGAAGTGCCACACACTTTTGTTAAGCTTGTTCTCGTGAGCACTCACTATCATGAGAATAGCAAGGTGGAAATCCGCCCCCAGGATCACCTTCCACCAGGCCCCTCCCTTAACATTGAGAATTACAATTCAACATGAAATTTGCGGGGGGACGCAGAGCAAAACCATATTAGAAGATAAACTCCATGTGGGTCAGAAGATTACCTAACTAACCACTGCCTCCCCATGCTTAGAGCATCTGGCAGCAACTTATTAAGTATCTCTCCAATGAATTCATTCACCATTATTTATTTTTCTCTTGTGTTATTGCATTGCGGGGTACTTAAAAATATAGGAAAGTAATGGGATTGGTGGTTATCTTTGTTTCATTTTTGAACTTGAGGAAGTCTTTAGATTGCTTCACTCTTATTATGTACATGATTATTATTATTATGAATAGTTATGCATATTATGAATTATATTATGAATCTTATTATGAATGAATTAAGAGCATTTAAACATTTTAAGGAGGGTTTCTTAAAACAATTTTGCTAGAAATCCATGATGAATGATATTAATTCTGCCTCAGCGTCTATTTGAAATGTTATTCTTTGTTTGTCTATCCAAGCCTAAGACAAACCAGCCCCCATAGGAAGGCCTGGATTAGAGATCTTCACTCTGAAATAATGGCATGCTGGAGTGTTCTCAGTGGGATCAGTTGTCCGGCGCTGTGTTAGACAAATTAACTGCTTTGTTTAAAATGAGTCACCCTTGCATTAAATGACTCTCTAAAATTATTTTGATATTGATTGGAACAATTAAAACTGACAGTATCTCTTTGACTGCAAAACAGGGGTGCATAAAGCCTGGACCATTTGGAGATGCTGAAATACGGCACTTCATGCATCTGGCCTCTTTGTTTACAACTGTTTGCCACTGACAGCAGTTAAATTATCTCAGCAATGTCTTTCCCAGACATATGCAGACATCCTATATGGCAGGACCCTGCCCCATCAGAACAAGAAGGCCTGCATTGGAAATCTTCACTTATAACACCAAGGCCTGGGGCTGTGCTCAGCTCTGCCCACTGCCTAGGGCTTCCTGGGTCTCCTTTCCAAAATCCTGCTATTTGGAGGAGGCAGCACACCATGATGGGAGCGGTGTCTGCCTCTAAGTCAGTTTAGAGTAGTAGGGCATCCTGCTAGCTGTACGGCCCTGGGCAACTCATTTACCATCTTCGTACCGCTGTCATGGTATATAGGTCTTGACAATGCTAACACATGCTTATCAGGGAGGTGGAGAGTATCCAACATGGGAGTAGAGTACCTGAGCCAGAGGAGGTGTTCCGCAAACAAGAACTATTCTTATCATCATCAGAATCCTTCCTTGCCACTCTTCCAGTTTTTACCAATTAATTACCCCGGTAAAAATACACCTCTCTCTCTCATCTTCTTTCTCTCCTCTGTCTGTTTCTTTTTTTTTTTTTCTAATGTTCTTGCAGCTGAACAGATTTTTTTATTTTTCAGTCTAATCATAGCAGTGCCCATTTGAATCCATATTGAAGCTATTGTTTCAAAACATTAGCCTGGCCCACAGATTGAATTTCAGATTTGGAACCCTTCTGTCACACAAAGCTTTTGATGAAATCAGTTGACTCTTTCTGGAATTATTCTGAAGCAGACCGAAAAGTGAACATGAAATGTCAAGTCATTGGACTGAAACTGAAATCTCATTTTAGTCAATGAAACCAGATGTCATGGCTATCCTGGAAAACCTTGATAAGCTGAACACATAGCGGAGCCTTGGTTACATCTCAAAGAAGGAACCCATGATGAGAAAAGCCAGTCTAAGTGATGGCACACTCCAGCAGCAGCCTGTGCAGGGGAAAACCATGGTGTTTAATCATGGGAATTCACACTTGGTGATGAGCCCGGAGGATGTCTAACCCAGAGCCATGGTGTATGAGGCTGCAAGGGCTACCATAACTCAGTTCCATTGACTGGGTGGCTTAAACCACAGATATTTACTGTCTCTCGGTTCTGGAGGCTGGAAGTCTGAGATCACTGTGTCTGTAGGCTTGGTTCCTTCTGAGACCTCTCTTCTTGGCTTGTAGACAGCCATCTCCTCCATGTACCTTCATGTGGTCTTCTTTCTGTTGAGTCTCTGTCCTAATCACTTCTTCGTATCAAGAGACTGGTCATGTAAATTAGGACTTACATGAATGACCTCATTTTAACCTAATTGCCTCTTTAAATAACCTGTCTCCAAATATGGTCACATTCTGAGGTACTGAGGATTAAGACTTCAGCAGATGAATTTGGGGAGGGCACAGTTCTGCCTATGACACATGGATTTCCTTGTCTCTCCTGGTGCTCCGTGGCCTGTTTGGTTTCTTGCAAGTTCTCTAACCTACAGAATTAAGTGACCTCTGGCTTGTAATGTGTTAATCAAATGGCCAATTGCCCTGATATTATAGTGGGGATGATTCAGTACTTTTCCCAAACTTTGAATCATTAGTGCATGAGACTTCACATTCTTAAGTTCTTTTCCTTTTTTTTGAGACAGAGTCTTGCTCTTTTGCCCAGGCTGGAGCACATTGGCACGATTTCAGCTCATTACAACCTCTGCCTCCCAGGTTCAAGTGATTCTCGTGCTTCAGCCTCCCCAGCAGCTGGGATTACAAGCATGTGCCACCATGCCTAGCTAATTTTTGTATTTTTTAGTAGAGATGGGTTTCACTATGTTGGCCAGGCTGGTCTTGAACTCTTGGCCTCAAGTGATCCACCTGCTTCAGCCTCCCAAAGTGCTGGGATTACAGGTGTGAGCCACCGCACCCATCCGGTTCTTTTCCTTTTCTTTCATTAATAATTACTTTAGGTAGTCTGTAATTTGAATTTACTTATTTTTCAAGGGAGTGTTTCTGAAACACAAGTTTGAGAACTAAATGTTTCTATATTTTGTATAATGTTTTATGGTTTATTAACACATTTTAAATACATATGTTTTGGACTCTGAAAAATAATGCAAACCTTGCCACTTCTGTATCTGTATTGATTTCAATTTCCTGGATTGAAGTGACAATAACATGGAGGGAGTTTTTTTTTTTTTTTTTCATTTTTCACATAGACCCAGAAGACGATGAGCAGGTAGCCCAATTTAACCTTTTGTTTTTTGAATGAAGCTAATAAGATTAAATGTTGGAAAACAAAA
This sequence comes from Homo sapiens, assembly GCF_000001405.40. Lineage (NCBI taxonomy): Eukaryota > Metazoa > Chordata > Mammalia > Primates > Hominidae > Homo > Homo sapiens. The sequence goes on along the minus strand of NC_000002.12, from coordinate 237,000,929 downwards.
GATATTACATTTATTTAATAACAATGCAGGTCTAAAAATCCAGGCCAGTATTAAAAGCTGAGCAAAGAAAAACAACAGGAAAGTCAGGTGGATAAAATTGGCCAACACAGCTATAGACTCCAAAAGAGAGGACCTTGATTTGGAGCAACTAGAAAATGCCACCCTCTGAAAGAGAAGCTCACAGTGACCAATAGAAAATTAATGAGCTCAGGCACCTGTATATATACACCAGGAACTGAGTCATTTGCCAGCGTGCTCAGAGGTTCAGTAGTGTTTCCGGCGGTGTGTGCTGGAGAAGGTCACTTCTGTAAGGTAATACAGGGATTGAGGGTGCCTGAGTATGCAGACCTCTGTATATTGTTCCCCTTTCTTAGAGAGCTGAAATGCTCAATAATGCTTTAAATGCCCTGAGAGGCCCTACAAGGAAAACAAGCAAATCCAGGTTAATTTTATTTAACCTAGTGTTTTCTACAAGGGGTTTGACTCTAGGCCTCTCATTGTAGGACCACATTCACAGGAGGTTAGCGTAAGCCTCTCACATGCATTATCTCATTGAATTCCCTTATAGCGCTACACAATTTGCCACTGTTAGTACCCACATGTGATGAATAATGAAACAGAATCTAACAGCGATGAAATAAACTAACCTCAGGGAACAGTGAGTGCTGGAACCTGGGCTGACTCCCTGCAGCCTGCACAGAGGCTGTGTCCCACACACTCCCCACCCAGGCACACCAGCAGGCTCTTCTGAGCTGCCGCAGGAGCTGCCCAGTTCCCATGAGAGGTCCATCCCCTGGGTGGAGATAGAGAAACTGGGCATTCAGAGCCCAACAGCTCTCAAGTACTGTTCCTCTTAAGGCCACTCCCCAACCCCTCATCCTCTGGTTGGTGCTCACCAGTGGGTCAATGGTAGAAATTTTGTTTTCCAGATTGGTTTATCAACTTTGAGAGAAGAGTGTGCTTTGCAGACTGGCCTCTGTGAATGCATCATCCTCCTCACAATCTGAGCAGGGCTTCACAAGGTCACAAGGGAAGCACTAACTGTGGACGTTCGGGAAGGGTCGTACGTCATCGTGGGGGCTGTCTTGTGCACTGGGGATGCTTGCGAGCATCCCTGGCCTCCACCTACCGGAAGCCAGTAGCACCCCTCACCCTCCCCAACAGGTTGTGGTGACCAAAAATGTCTCCAGCCATTGCCAATGTCCCCTGGGGGGCAGAATTGCCTGGTGAGAATGACTTGAGTTAGAGCATTATGTTAATTCACACCCCCCATCCATTTGCATGTCTGTGAGCATGAATCAGGCCGCGGGAGCACCCCCCGGTCTTGGGTAAATAGAGAAACTTGGGATTCTGAAATTGCACAGTATTAGGCTGTTCTTGCATTGCTATAAAAAATACCTGAGACTGGATAATTTATAGAGAAAAGAGGTTTAATTGGCTCATGGATCCTCAGGCTGTACAGGAAGCATGATACTGGCATCTGCTCAGTTTCTGGGGAAGCCTCAGGAAACTTACAATCGTGGTGGAAGGTGAAGCGGGAGTACGCATGTCACACATCACATGGCAAAAGCAGGAGCACTTTTAAATGACCAGATTTTGCAAGAACTCACTCACTATCATGAGGATAGCACCAACGGAACGGCACTAAACTATTCGTGAGAAATCCACCCCATGATCCAGTCACCTCTCACCAGGCCCCACCTCCAGCACTGGGGATTACAATTCAACATGAGATTTAGACAAGGACAGAACCAAACCCCATCACATAGGAAGCTGAAACTTAGCGACTGAACCCCAGGGCACCTGGATCAGTCAGTGCCCCAGGAGGAACCAGAAGGCCCACTAGGACTGGGGAACTGAGGTAAGCCTAAGGATAATCAAGATAGCGCCAGCGGAGTTGAGGGACATCAACAAAGAATGATGCAGCATGCTGGGCTCAGCTCAGCTGGAAGTGATTGTCATCCCTGCACTTGCAGGGGCAGATGAGTAAGCAATTTCCCGAACCTGGAGAGTTGTATGGAAAGACTGCCCAAGCCAAGCTGTAGCCCTTAGGACAGAGACACAGCCTTCTGGAGCAACCTGGCATGGAGTGCCGGGGAGAAATGACTCCCTTCATACTCTTCCTCCTTCCTGTTTTTTGCTGTCTTCCTCCATTGGCCAAGGTGATAGAAAGCCAAAAGACAAGAGAGTGGCGAATGTGGAATACTCGCTCTCATTCTAGATCAGTTTTCTCCAAATTACTCACAAGCCATCCCAGCATCATTTATTGTGTGATTCTTTTCCCCAAATGGAGTGCTTATTTATTGTCTATTGAATTGTTATATAAAACAGTCTTATTTTTGTTGATTCTGTTATGCTACTCTATATATCTTTTAAAAAATGAGCTCCTCATTATTTCAATTATTTGCTTTGTGACATGGTTTAATATGTAATGGAACTAGCTGGACTAATTTTGCTGCCAAACTACAGTTTACCATTCCCCCTTCCTCCTTCTTTGTTTATTTTCCCATTGTGTGTCTTAAATGACTAACAGCCCAAACCTTTCTGATTGCAGTGGGCAGATTGCCTGAACCTTACTATAAATTTAGTACTCTTTAACACTTACCCAGGTTTTCTTTGATTTGCTTTCCTTTTCATTAAAAACAAAACATTCTTGAAAATTATTCCTCGGCATGTTTGCTAGAATGGTTTATTTCAGCTTGGATGTATGCATTTCTCTCCTTTCCAAATGGAAAATTCTATAAAACTAAAAAACAAGCATACCACACTCTTCCTTTTTTTAGACCAGTATTTCCAACAGTAGCCTCAGCTTTGTTTTGGTCTCCAGTTCTGTCCTAAGTCTCGTTTGAGCAGTGTTGCCTTCTTGAGACCTGATGCTTCACCCGGACACGCACCATTTGTTCAGTGTAAATGTTTTGTTTTTAATGAGAAAAATTTAGTCTCAATATCTGCAAGGAAAAGTAAGATTTTGGTATCCAACATTACTACTAATCCTTTGGGATGTGTAAAATGCACGACATCTGGGTACAATAAACAATAATATGGTCTAATAATGTTTTCATTGCTCAGCATCCTTTTAATAAGCTGTCCACAGGTTTTTTTAAAAAATGTCTTAAACAAATAATAACAAGGAAATTTCAGAACCACAGACATCATTAGCTTGTATTTCCTGAGAGTGATTCCGCAGAGTGAAATAGGGACATACACAGGTGAGATAAAATTTCTGGTTGAGAGAGACATTTATCATAGCACAGGGGGAAATGCCTAATGAGTTACACGAAAGCAAAACATCCAGACTCTTGCAATTTTGACTTCTGCTGCATCTTGAAGCAGGCGCTGTGGACTGAAGGAAGGGTCGTGATGATTAAGCTCCAACTGGAGCCAGTGGAACAATGTAAAAAATTTACCCTTCAATTTGGTTAACTTTCCTTTTTTTTTTTTTTTTAAGTACCTTTTGGTTTCACACAGCTTTAAAATGTACTAAATAACACTAGCAAGAATTCCACCAATGCAGCAATGAGACAAGACCATAATTTATCTGGGAAATTGACCAAAACAAAAATACATTACTGAAAAAGGTGAAGAATGGCTTCCCCTTTCTCTTTCTCTGTTGGCGGAGTGATTTTGTGTACTTGGCTCCAGCAGGGAAAACAAGCGTTGATAAATTAGGTGTTGCAAGCACCCTCCTGCCAGGTTAGCAGGCGGGACCTGTGGCATGCTTTCCCTCACTGGCTGTCACGCTCTCTCTCTCCTTGGGGACATCAGGAAGCTGTCCAGAAAAATAATTGCTTGACATGGTGGGTGGGTCAGGACCCTTTCCAAGCGACCTAGAAGAAAGAATAAAATATTACATTCAAATATCTGTCTAGCAAACATGCCTATATTTTGTATTTTCCATAATTCCACCATGCAAACAAGTCAGTTGATGTATTACCTTCGAACAGTGTAAGTGTTAAGGGGAATAAAAAGTAGAAATGTGTGGTCTCTTCCTTAAAGAGGTACAAGTAACAGAACATTTCTAATTTAAAATTAGCCAGTAATATGAGATATTGTTCGTGTTTATATGTGAATTAAATACTACAAAGAATATGACCTACTGGGGATACATCCCCCAAGCAGATCAGAGGACAGGCTCTGTGGCAACTCTGAAAGGAACCTGGCTCCAGGGGTCAGGAGCCTCTCAAGATCCTCAGCTGAGGGCTCAGGAACTAACACATCTCTCCACTGGAACACCCAGCAAACTGGAAATTGTGAGATATCTGAACAGCATCCATGGTTTTAAAGAAGGGACCAACCTGTACAAATACCTCCCTATGCTGACAGCCTGCCTCAGGAGCACAAGATAACTCTGAAATAACCAATTCACATTCTCAAAGAGATTTGAGGACATTCTTTAGAGAGAAAAGGGAGTAGTATAAACTGGGAAGGATGCTTCGTAAGTTTTGTTTTGTTTCTAATCAAGTAGTCAATAGTAGATTGGCTCCTCCAGAAAACTGAGTATTTATTACTTTTATAATCAGAAAAAAAGTGAAACGATTTGCATTTTGGATTTTAAGAAGAAAAGCATACAATTAGATACATCTCTGTGAAGATTTCAAAATTCCAGAAATACAGGCAACCTGCTGAAACAAAACAAAACAAAACAAAACAAAACAAAACAGGCATTTCACTTCTTTGCAGCAAGATATATCAGTCACAGTGGACCCGCAGCTTCTGAGTGTTGAGGGGACATCTGTGGCCCCAGCATCCAATCTTGCCAAGTATCGTCCCTTCCTGTGGCCACAATCACAACGATCTCAGGAAGGGCCCCTTCCCCCACTGTGAAAGTTGCCAGGAAAGATCTCCTGAGAACTGAGCAATGATCAAAATGTGGAAGGTAATAACAGGGAAGATTTGTATAAAATAAACCACATGAAATGGACATGAAGGAGTAAGTAAACATTGATAACAAGTTTATAAAACTCAATGCCTCAAGGCGGGCAGATCACCTGAGGTCAGGATTTCGAGACCAGCCTGGCCAACATGGCAAATCCCTGTGTCTACTAAAAGTACAAGAATTAGCTGGGTGTGGTGGCACGTGCCTGTAATCCCAGCTACTCAGAAGGCTGAGGCAGGAGAATCGCTTAAAAGTGGGAGGTGGAGGTTGCAGTGAGCCGAGATAGCGCCACTGCACTCCAGCCTGGGCAACAAAGGCGAGGCTCCGTCTCAAAAAATAATAATAATAATACTAAAAAGAAATGATCTGTAATGTAAAAATAGTTTAACGATAATCATCTGCAATTTAAATTCTCACTGACTTTACCAACAGCTTGGAAGGGAGATAGAGCAAAAGAAAAAAAAAACAATATAACATGCTACATGCTTTCATCCTACGTGAGAAAGGTAAAAGACCAATAACAGGCTACATGTTAACATCTCATCCTACATAAGAAAGCTAAAGGATGCAGTTTATACAAATGTTGATTTATATATATATATGTATATATATGCAAATCAAACTTAAGCATTACCGTTGTTAGTGAAGTAAACAGAAAATGCACAAATCATCAAGAAAAAAGAGAACAAGTACTGCCTGGCAATATGGCAAAAGGTAGGGAAGGAAATACATTGGAAGCATGAGGGAAACATAAATAAACATCATAAATTAAGATGACAGAATTAAGACCAAGCAAATCAGTTAATATGGCAAAGTAAATGTTTAAACTCTTCTGTTAAAAGACAACTCTTAGACTGAATAAAAGCAAGTATAAACTTTTATGTTCCTCTGAATGATCCTTTTAAAATGTAAGCATCCCTATAAAGGCAGGTTCTTGGAAAAAGAATTTCCTGGAAGTGCATGTCTTCTGACACCTAAAGGACAGAGAGAAAATGAGCAAAAGCCCATGAATTCACCCATCTGCTTTCACTCAGCCAGCATCTCCTGAATGACCCTGGACACTGCTTGGGTTGTGGAGAATACGAAGGTGAGCAAGACACTACGTCTGCTCTCGGGAGGTGCCATTCTGGAGAGGAGCACAGACGTGGGAAGAGGTGGTGACCCCATGAAGGACACATGCCGTGAGGGGAAGAATGGCAAGCACAGGGCCAGCCTCCCCCACCTCAAGCCAAGAAATCAGTTTGAAGCAGGATAGGGTCATTATATAATTGGTCATTTGTGTCTGTAGCTCTCATAGAAAAACTCAGATTAAATAACTAATCATGCCCACACACTCAAAATGTACCCCATTTTGTGTACATTTCAGTTGTTAATATTTTTTTTCAGCCGGGGTCACTTCCCTGTGTAGACGCACAGAGCCTGATTCTCCTGCACAGCTCTCCCGAGTGGGTGATGCTTGGGAACTGGTTGAACAGAAAAAGGCGCTGAGCTGCACAAGGGAACTTTTCCTACAGCAGCAGAGGAGTCAGAAGATGAAAATAAGGATACAGGAAATCACTGCACAGAGCAGGGAATTGAAGCATTACCCTGTCGGGGGCGGAGGTGGTCGTTGGAAGCGTGCAATTACTTTCAACTATTTTTATAACTGGTTAGCCGTCATGCCAGATCTGAGGCTTTCTTTAGTCAATAGCAGGGTTTTTACTAATTCTGTACATTTTCAGAGGCCTCAGAGACAATGTGAGACGATTGCAGCTTCTAACGTGTCTCACATCTGTGCAAGTGACTTAGCTTATTCCAGTTGGGGACTGGCTTAGGTTGGGCTCCCCCAGAAGCAGACCCCCAAACCAAGATGTGAGTGCAAGTCATGTATTTTAGAGGTGATCCTAGAGAGCCATGGCAAGTGAGTCGGGAAAGGGGTGGGGGAGGGTGGGAAACCAAGGCAGGGAGTTCTTGTAAGCAGGTCCCCACCACCCCCCCGCCCCGAGGGCATTCGGGCTCATCCGCTACATTCTGCTGGGGGAAGAGGAAGCTGGGTATTCACCCACTCGCTGCCTTCCATCATAGTTGAGAGCAGCCCTGGGATATTAACTCCCCAGCTTGGTCAGCCATGCCTGGCCCTGCAGCCATTGAACTCTTTCATGCAGCAGGCACAGGGGTTTGAAGGTCACAAGCCATGGGCATGTGTATGAATGGAGAGTACCTAGGTGATGCTGGTGGGGTGCTGGCAGCATCCATTAAACAGCTGTGCCTCCACTCTTCTCGCTATCCTCTGCTACTGCTTATCATTTCACATCTTTGTTAAATTAATGCTTGTATATATTTTTTAATTTTTAAAGATACTTTTATGTTGCTCAGGCTGGTCTCAAACTCCTGACTTCAAGTGATCCTCCTGTCTCAGCCTCCCAAAATGCTGGAATTACAGGCATGAGCCACTGCACCTGGCCAGTGCCTTGTGTCTTATTTCTGCTAAACTGCTGTGGCTTCACGCTATTACACTTTCCCTCCCTCCTTCCTTCCCCCTACTTTCTCTTTCCTGCCTGCAAACATTTAATGAATGACCACTCATTTCAGGCCCTGGTGATGAAAGATGACTGGACCTTTATGTGCACAGATTCTTCATGACACTGTATTGGCAAGGCTAGGAGACAGGCATGCATGAAATACTGTGGAACATGGAGCTAGTGTCTTCTAGCTTGAAAGTAACTGCCAGGGAACTGGATGAAGTGACTCCTGAAAAGGCAGTGCAAAAATGTGCGTCAAGCTCAGAGCATGCAAGGTGCTGGTTGAAGGTGACGTTTGATTATGACAGCAGGTGACAGGTGGGCTGATGTGTTATGAGGAGTCTCTGCTGCTGCAAGTTCCCATCACTTTCCCAGCAAAGAAGTGAGGAGATGAATGACCTCCGCTGTTGAGGATGGAGGAGGCTACAGTACATGCTCTATTGATGCATTTTCCAGGTGGAATTTGGGTCATAGCGTAAACAGTTTGTGAAAGCTTGAAGGAAGACATATGACAGACGACATGCTCTTCAAACAAAGTAAGGCCACTGTCACCTCTCCTTAAATCCCGTCCTTCCCAGAGAATGTTCCCTGAGTGTCTAATGTGTACATAACATATCATTCAGCCAGATGTTCAAGCCAACCTTTTGTGGACCTCTCTGTCATCCCTTGAACTCAAACTTCACTGTATATGATGAACCCTGGGGAGCCTATTATAATGATATTCCTAGGCCCTGTTCCAAACCTACTGAATCAGAATCTCCGCTGGTGGTCCCAGTACTCTCGAGTTTAGGCACTTCTTATGCAGCCAACTGTGCTTTCTCTGGGTTAGAGGAATGATACACACTCATTCATCCATCTATTTATGTATCTGCCCATCCATCCACCCATCCATTTATCCACCCATCCACCCATCCATCCATTTATCCATCCATCTATCCATCCATCCATCCATTCAACCATTTATCTATCCATTATCCATCCCCATCTGTCCATAAATTCATCCATTCGTCTATCCATTTATTCATTTAAAAATATTCATTGAGGACCTGCTATGTGCAATGCACAGTGCTAGGCAGTGGAGCTACCGAACAAAACAGACAATAACTCCTGCCGTCAGAAATGTCACTTTCTTGGGAGGGAGGCAGAGAAGAAAGTGCCAGATAGGTCAGGTGTGTGGTATGTCAACAGTAGTAAGTGTTATGGGAAACCTAAAGCAGGGGAGAGGGATGTGGAATGTAAAGGGGCAGCTGAAATTTTAACAACAGTGGTTGGAAAAAGTTCCTCTGAGAAGGTGACATTGCATTGAAGACTTAAGGCAAGACAGCCCACCATCAACATGCTCACTGGGGAGAGAATTCCCCACAGAGGGACCAGCTACATCTGGCAAGGCTCTAGAAATAGAGAGAAAGCCAGCACACCTGAGCTGGGTGAGTCAGAGGTGAGGGTTGGGTGTGAGGTCAGAGAGGTAGGGAGAAGCTGAGGCCACTGGGGGACTTTGGGTTTTTCCCTGGTTGAGATGAGAAGCTCTTGGAGGAACTGGAGCCATGGAGTCCCATGATCTGATTCATGCTTTAACAGGATCTCTCGGGCTGCTGTGTTTAGAATAAACAGAAAGGTAGGGAGGTAGATTTAGGTAGCCTGGTTGGGAGGCAACCACAATGAAGTTCTAAGACCAGCAGAGAGTGTTCAATTTTTTTTTTGCTTTAACAAAAGGATTTTCATTCCGAAATGGATGTGACAAATAAGCAATAAAACATACGAAAAATACAAAATATACTCCAGGTAGAAGATGCTGGGTCTATTAGTCCATTCTCATGCTGCTATGAAGAAATACCCAAGACTGGGTAATTTATAAAAGAAAGAGGTTTAATTGACTCACATTTCTGCAGGGCCGGGGAGGCCTCAGGAAGCTTAAAATCATGGTGGAAGGGGAAGCTAACATCCTTCTTCACATGGCGTCAGCAAGAAGGGCAGAGTGAAGTGGGAGAAAATCTCCTTATAAAACCATCAGATCTCTTGAGAACTTACTCACTATCATGAGAAGAGCATGGCAGCTACCACCCCCATGATTCAGTTACCTCCCACCAGGTCCCTACCATGACACATGGGGATTATAGGAACTACAACTCGAGATGAGATTTGGGTAGGGACACAGCCAAACCATACCACTGGGTATCACAAGGCCACCCCAGGCTGACTGTGCACCCTACAATCCTAAGGGCACCGTTGCACACATGTTGGAGCTGTGCATGCAATGGCCCTGCTTGGGCTGGGGAATTAGCAGGAAATGAGGGGAAAGGGCTGGGACTCTGAATATGTTTGGAAGGTAAAGCCAACAGGCTGTCTAGCAAGATCCCTTTCACCGTGGAAACGGAATCATCTTTTGTCATTTACCTCATGTGGGTCCCCTTTGCAGAGCAGGTTCAGGGTAGGACTTTCATTTGGATTCTCAAGAACCAGCAGAAAGTCACCGAGTGCTGCCCTGTTTTTGTCATCAGTCATCAATCTCCCAAAAGCCTAGGGAAGACAATGTGGAGAATGAGCCCAGATGTATCTTTGGAGACAAGGTGCCCATTAATAGAATGTCATATTTAGTCAATGACATTGTAAGAATTTGTAAGTGTTTTCTGAAGGGAAAAACATTTTGTCTTTGATGGATTTTCTGTTTTACAGACATAATTAATCACATGTGTTAAGAAATCAATTTCTTTAATAGCAAAAATAATCTGTTTTGCCAACTGGAAACACCACTTTCATTTAAGAAACACTCTCCACCAGTTGATTGTACTTCTTGGCGCCAGAAGCAAGGATGCTGTCCGTGTGCTCAGATTATAATGATTTACTGAAGAAATATGAAGTTCTCAGACCAGCAGAGAGTGTTCAAATGCTTTTGCTTTAACAAAAGGATTCTCATTCATAAATACATGTCACAAATAAGTAACAAAATACAAATATACAATACACAAAATATACAATTGTATATTTTGTACAAAACAACTGTTTTCTAACTTCTGAGGAATAGACATTTTCTGAAGACTGTTGTGTGATAATCTAGAATCAAAGAATTTGAACTCATAGGCAGATGTTAACCTAGTCCCCTTCCCCTGCCCGCATGTTAGGACCCCTCTTCAATGTCCTCAGGAGATGGGCTTCTATGCCCTCTCCCAGCATGTCAGGGGAGGAAGAGGCTGACACGCTGCCTGCTGCTTCCTATCTGAATACGGGAAAGCTGGCTGCGGGAAAGCTCTGCTTATTGTGGATCTACCCTCTTGCCATTTCCCCATTGGCGCTGGTTAGGTCTTCTGGAATTAGAGTTCTTTTCTCAAAAAGGTGAAGCTGGCTATCAAGTCAGTACTAAAAAATCACTTTTCTGAGCCCCCACTTTCCTAATTCCATCAGCTGCAACAGGAATCCAGTCTTGGTGATTTGTTGTTGTTGTTGTTGTTGTTGAGACGGAGTCTCGCTCTGTCACCCAGGCTGGAGTGCAGTGGTGCGATCTCAGCTCACTGCAACTTCCGCCTCCAGGGTTCAAGCGATTCTCCTGCCTCAGCCTCCCGAGTAGCTGGGATTACAGATGTGTGTCACCACACCCAGCTAATTTTTGTATTTTTTTAGTAGAGATGGGGTTTCACCATGTTGGACAGGCTGGTCTCAAACTCCCGACCTCAGGTGATCCACCCACCTCGGCCTCCCAAAGTGCTGGGATTATAGGTGTGGGGCACCATGCCCGGCCTCAAAAAGGTGAAGGTGGTTATCAAGTCAGTACAAAGAATTCACTTTGCTGAGCCCACACTTTCCCCATTCCGTTAGCTGCAACAGGAATCTAGTTTTGGTGATTTCTTAAAGAAGCCACTTGAACCAAGGCACAGCATCCTAAAGTCGCATGGCCCCCACAGAGCTCACCACGTGCTTTCCACATCTACCCCAGGTTTCCAGAGGGAACGAGGGCTGGCACTTACTAAGAGTCACCTCCTTCTTGCCCTGGGGTTGGAGTGGGGTCACCTTAGGGGAAGAAGTCCTACTTCTCTGAAAACAGCGAAGGAACTAACACTTGGCTCACCCCGACTCAGCTGTGCAGGCTCTGTTGGAAGAGAAAACCCAGCATCCCTAATCCATCAGGGTCTGGAAGAAATCTCGCAAGAGAGAATGACTTGATTTTAAAATTCTGACTGCCTTTGTCATCCTCCTGCCAGGCCTGACCTTTTGCAGATATGCTTTTAATTAAGCAAGGGTTTTGCTTAGCCTCTTCCCACCTTCTTCAGTTTCCAGCGACTGTGCCAGATTGTTCAGTCAACTTCTTAAATTAACACGAGGGCTGCTGGTGCATTGGGGGCTTCGACAGGAGGCACCAGTGCCTGCCTTTCTGTGCTTGTCACAGCTGCTTCTCTGCAGACTGAGGTCCAGGGCGCTGGGGTGACAGACAGCACACAGCCACACCGGCCGGTCACAGGGAGGACCTTGCTGTGTGCTGCACATATTTGTGACCTGACCAATGACTGGCAGGCTGCATCCTGGACTGAACCTAGAAGACACGCCTCTGGGGTGAAGAGGGGTCAACAAAGCAGCTCGTGTTCCCTGCTCCAAAGGACGCAGCTGCAGAGTGTTTTGGTCATGGAGAATTGCTACCGTCCCCAACTCAGAACTTGGAACAGACTGTCTCGTCTCCAAAATACAAAATAAAAAAAAAAAGATCAACAGGAACCCAAAGAGAGGTGAGGAAAAGTGCAGTTGTGCAACAAGCCCGCTGTTCTTGCCATGAGGAAATGCTGAAGTCACTTAGAACTGATGACTGAAATGATTGTGGCAAGTGCTTTCTTGCCACACTGGGTAAGGGGGCATTTCCCTATTAAAGTCCCTTACCATTTTCTAAGGGGTGCAGTTTAAGGACGTCTTTCCGTAAAATACCCAATTGTACTAACTAAGCTTCCTTTTGGAGAGAACTGACCCTGCTTTTCTCCAAAGGTAAATATTGAATGTGACAGTGGGAGAAAATCATTCATTTCAAATTGTTATTGACACGCTCTGATAAACACTCGGCAAGCAAGAATCTGGTTTGAGATCCAGACACCCAAAGTCCTAGGCTGATCACTGTGTTCATCTCTAACATGTGTACCTGCAAACAGCAGTCTGTTACATGGGTTTCCTTGGAACTAGGAAGGCTGGCATCCTTCCAAAGGGCCACTGGCTCTAAGGTCCAGCTGCCCACTTGGTTCCAAAACCTTCTCTTGTGTCTAGAATGTTGGGAGATATCATGGCCTTCTTATGCCCATTGGCCAGCCCATTGGTTTAGAATGCACTTAACAAACAGAAATACAGACATGTTTGCTTCTAAGGTTTTAGGAATGAAATTCCCATTAGAGCTCACCTGAAATGGAGTGTTAAGTGCCTCCTTGCAGAAGGGTTGGTCCTACATTTGTCCTGTTGTGATGCATGCATTTGACACACAGCAAACGCCTAGGATCCTAGAATGTCACACCAGCAAGGCCCTAAGACATCACACTTCTTCTGATGACAAACCTACAGCCCAGGGTGTTATGTGACTGGCTCAAGGACTCACAACAAGTTGACCTCAAAGCTGCGCCCAGGCTCCTGGGCTGATAAGACCACACCCCCCATCCTGCCCTCCCAGGATCCTCCAGACCCTTTAATAGGAGGAGACGCTGACCTGGGCATTTGGAGAGACACAGTCTTCCTGGACTCGGGGTGGGAGGGGTAAGGGCAGTCACCGGGTCACTGACCCTCTTTACAGTCTCAGGAATTGTACCTGTTTAGGGTCCCTCAGTTTTGCAGCCAATGCCAAGGCAGGTGAGGAAAACAGTCCCTGCCTGCCGTGTGTTGCTGGGACACTTTGCCGCAGATGTCACCTTCGCTCTCCTTACTCACCTAATGCTGACAATGGCGCCCGTGGACCAGGCGTTCTTCCCACACCTCCTGAAATGCTCATTTATCAGTGTAAACTCCCTTTGAAGCACCTCAAGGAATTTCCCCCTTCAAGGGCGGATGAATGGCAGCCCGAGCAGCCTATTGTATACGGTATTGTCAGACTGAAATACAAAGAACTATCGCCCAATGAGTGGTATTAGACCTGCATGGGGTAGTGCCAATGGGAATTGGAATTCCAGCCCCTTATCTTCCAGAAGAATTCCTCAGACTCCATGGAAGGCCATCGTGCCACAAAGCAGTTCACTGCTGCTGCTTCCCTTGGAGGGCTGTGTCTCAGTGCAAGATGCAAAGAAGTCAAGTGGACGGGGAAGCATGTTGTCCAGCGTTGGTCACCTCACCTGCCCAGGTGGGTACTCTCTTCTGCAGCTGTCCCCATGGCTTCTCCACATGAGGGTGGACACCCAGGCAGTGTTCCAGTGTTCACAGAGGCCACTGGCTCAGGAACAGTGCCCCAATTCATCTCCACCAAGCAGGAAGGACAAAGATCTACTTGCATCCTAAAATAGCATACTTTCAGATATTAGGAGCACTTTTCTATGGGAAATACTGGAAATGGACTTTTGAACCTCTAGGAGAGGAAGAGAGAGAACAAGTCAGGCTGAGAAACGTGGTTCCCAGCAAGCAGCAGCCCGCCTGAACGCCCGCGCCTACACGTGGGGTGGGCTTCTGGTGGAAGACTGTGGGAACCAAGACTAAATAAATGCTAAGTGCCCTCAATGCTTCTAAAACACAAGGCTGGCAACAATACAAAATACAAGCTGAAAAGAAAAACAAACAGGTAGCCCTGCCAGCTGGGCATTGCCCCAGGTGTCTGAATAATTTTGTGATTGAATCAGGCACCTGGCTGTAGCACTGTAGTTTATTCCTCCTCAGCTAAAGTGACATACTTATGAGAATGTCGCCTTAGTGTCTGGGCTTCTTCAAAAACAAAGGTAAATAGAAGAGTCAAGAATGGAACAGGTCATGTGGGATTTGCTCAGGACTGTTTGCTTTTGCCCATGGAAACTACAGTGGCCTCAAGAAGCAGTTGAGTGTGTTGTACAACCCTCAGTTGCTTCGGTCTCAACAGGGAAAATACTGACCTGGGTAAGCACACCTTGGGTTTTTTTTTTTTTTTTTTTAACTGAATCAATTTCTTAGAAAAATGAAGTCTCCATAGCATTTGTTTTCCATTTTTAAGTTGTTGTAAGAGCAATGGAGTGAAATGGAGATGGAACTGCCTCCCAGTGCCTGCGATCTTCCCCCACCTGCATCCTTCATCTGTCTCCATATCATTCCCCCTTTATCACACTCTGACCCCCTCTCTGATCACAATCTTTAGTTATACTATCATTACTCACCTCCCAGACAGGCTCTGTAGATTTCAAATGTCAAAATCAAGGAATTCCCCACATGATCATTTAATCAGGAAAAGAGAGAAACGTAAATGACGTACAGCTCACATTTTCCACACCCTCTGCACCCTCTGTGGATGCTAGACTTCAGCCAAGTCCCCTTCCTAACCATGTGTGCTGCTTGTTGAACTATAAACTAAAAGGTTTGTTTCCAGGGTTATGTTACTGTTGGCTGATAGCATATCATTTCAAGGGGGTCCATTTTTCTCAGTGCGGCTCAAATCACTTTGGCAAGTTTAATCTTGTCTAACAGCTTTGCTATTTACTGCTGGAATTTCTGTATCTTAAGAGCACCCTGGGAATTTAGCTTAGTGGCTAAAAGATTGACTTATAGCTCCAAACCAGGTGGAAATCGGAATGCACTGAAAATATACACAAGGATATGTTGCAGAATTATCTCCGCTCTGAGAGCATTCCCATGGGCGCGGAATTAATTTCTGGTTTTTAAACTGTGCAAAAGTTACTGTATGAATCTAGAGATTTAGAGCATTCCTCAGGTTGAAAGTGGAGAGCTAGGCTGGGGAAGGAGTGGGGGCTGGGACACACACAGACCTGGAATCTGTGATTTACTAGTCCTGTGATCTTGGGTGTGTTCCTTGATCTCTTTGAGCTTTCTTCTCCTCATTTGCGCAAGGGGTTAATAAATCTCCCATGGAGAGTTGTCCTGGGGATCTAGTGAAGCAATGCTCTGGGGATACATATTTGTAAGTCTCTATCTCTATTTAGAGGACTCGCCATCCCCTCCTCTATCTAAATCACTCTTGACTTCTCTCCATTTACAAAATCTGTTTTAAATGTCAGAGAGCCTGAGACTTATGAGGACCATCAGAGTAATAGTGACCCAGTCTTTGTAGATGGGACCAATGTTGATCAAGCTTTTTCACAAATTTGTTTCATCCCACTCTTCCAAGCATCCTAGGAAGAGATCATTCTTACTTCTGTTATCTAGATGAAGAAGCCATGCTACATAATTGAAGATTAGCAAAGCAGGGACCTAATAATCATAAGATAACAACAATGGCAACGATGACAAGGATGATGATGATGATGACAGCTAACCTTCACTGAGGGCTTCCTTGTACCTGATATTCTATTAAGTGGCCCAGCGTAGAGTTACTCATTTAATACTCACAATACCTTATTTGATAGGACTATTATGATCCCTATTTTATGGATGAGATTATCATGTTTCAGAGATATCCAAGGTCACCAAACAAGTGAGAAGCAGAACAGGATTCAAATCCCATCTTTTTACTCCATCCCCATATCAAACCATGGTCTAATTATCTTTCTACTGTCTCAAGTGATAGATGACATTAGAGAAGAAAGGTTACCTTTGTAGAAAATAAAATCATTAGCAAGATTTTTAAAGGAAGAAACAGTAAGATCACTCAGCAAATACTTTGGGTGTCTATTAAGATTAGGTGCTGGATTGGGCATTGGGAAGCCCTTGAAATCACCCAGGTGAGAGATGGCAGTAGCCAGGTGTATCAGATACTTTCAGTTGTTCCTCTTCTATTTCCCGCTTTCAGCTACTTGGTCTGTATCAGCCACTGCCCTAACCAACTTTCCATGGAGTACAATGAATCACACAGGCACAACAAAAATTTCATCCAGAATATATACAGAATCCATACAAAATAAAGACAAAATAATCAGATTTCAAAATGGGCAAAATATTTGAAAAGTCATTAAGCAAAAGAGGAAATCCAAATGTCCAATAAACTTATATAAAGATGCTCAATTTCATTAGTTATTTTGGAAATTCTCGTTAAAACCAAAATGCAGTGCTCCTACATACCCATCAAAATGGCTACAATGAAAAGAGTGGAAGGGGTTTGGAGCTACAAAAACGTTCATACACTACTAACAGAAGGATAAACTCACACAATCACTTTGGAAAATTGTTTGGCTGTATCCACCAAAAACACATGTGTGCCTTATGATTCAGCAATTCTGCTCCTGGGTGTATACCAACAGTAATACATGGATATGTTCACCAAGAGGAATGTTCATTGTGACACTATTTGTAATAGTCCTAAATTGGAAGCTTGACAAAAGCCCATGAATAGAAGAGTAGATAAATGAAATATGTTAGCATCATGCAATTGATTATCACACAGCAATGAAAATGAACATTATACACAGTAGTATGGAGAAACTCACAAACATAATGTTGGCCAAAAGAAACCATCAATAGAAGCCATTCATTCCAGCACTACAAAGTTTTAAAATATCTTTAAAAATTAATGAATGTTATTAGCAGTCAGGGCAGTGGGTCTTCTGGGTTGGGGAGAAGTAGGGAGTGCCTGAAAAAGGGTCTAGGTGGGGCTTCTGGGGTGTTGGTAATGCTTTGTTTCTTGATCTAAATGCTGAGTACCTGGTTGTATTAGTCCATTTTCATACTGCTGATAAAGACATACCTGAGACTGGGCAATTTACAAAAGAAAGAGACTTAATGGACTCACAGTTCCACGTGGCTGGGGAGGTCTCACAATCATGGTGGAATGTTAACAACACATCTCACATGGTGGCAGACAAGAGAAGAGAGCTTGTGCAGGGAAACTCCCCTTTTGAAAACCATCAGATCTCATGAGATTTATTCACTATCAAGAGAAAAGCATGGGAAAGACCTGCCCCCGTGATTCAATTATCTCCCACTGGGTCCCTCCTACAACACACGGAAATTCAAGATGGGATTTAACAATTTTTTTAATCAATAAAATGCTAATGCAACTGATATTGATTAGTGTGTTGCATTTGGCCACTCTTTGTGATACACTTACTCAAGTAGCCCAAAAGTACAATAGCTCCTGGCATTCTTGATCATATGTAGCCCCCTCCTACACTGTCTCCAGACTTGGCCATGTGACCAGCTTCAACAAATTGGACGCCAGCAAGTGTGGTGTAAGTGGAGGTTTAATAAGCTTTTGCACACTGAGTTTGTTTTCTTGGAATGCCCCTTCTTGGAACCTGGCCACCATGCTGTGAGGAAGCCCAAGCAGCCATCTGGAAATGCCTATGTAAAGTTCCCACTTCTTATGTGCGGATAAGCATGCCAACCTTGTGAACTGTAGAGGTGATTAAGTGAGTTAATATACATAGGTGGACACACAGTGAAAGGCAGGCCCTAGCTGCTGACCTTGACCAAAAAGATTTCATTTCATTTCTACAAACTCATACATTTCCTTCTTCCACACTGCTCAAAGTTTGCCTTTTCTAGGAAGCTATTTGGTACTTCTTAATCCTGCTCTATCAGTCTGCACAGGCTGCACAATTCAACACAGGAGTATTTGGTCTGTGCTCTGGGGCTGGGCAATACTTTAACTAGTGAGTCATTGCATTATATGGCACTGAGAAGCAGTTGTACCCTTATCTCATCTGGGCTTCACCACAGTGCTATATGAATTGGGCAGAGTAGACACTATCATGTCCATTTCAAAGATGACAGAACTGATGCATGGAGGGCTGCCGTTCCCTGGCTGGCCCTATGAGAGGAGTGGTGGGATCTGGAGCTGGGCCTTCCCCTTCTCCAGCTGTCTTGTACCCCAAGGAAGGATCTGGTGCTTCATCTCCTTGGAATCTCCTCTCAGGCATCTGCTCTTCCTGGACCCACCAAGACACTCCAGTGCTCTCACCAAAGCTGAACAGGACTTTGCTCAATAAAGCTTCTCGATTATGATACTAATAATGCAGCATTGATAATGGATAGATAGGACACTCTGCTGTGAATCAGAGGGATGGGTTGTCTCCACATTCACTGAAGAAGGTGCTTCATCATCTGCGCAGGTGTCAATCTTTAAGCACAGCCTGAATGCCACCTGCTGTTGCTGCTTCTGCTGACTGCTGCCTACTGGCCACTGGTTCTGTGGGCTCTGTGGTACAGAGATGGAAACATCCTTTCTCCACTGGGGCGTCTCATTGTGACCAGGACTAAGACAGGGAAACAACCAGAGGATAGTGGGATCAGAGCTGTTGACGGCACACACAGGATGCTGTGCAAATCCACAGATGAGAAGCTGGGTGAACTATGTGATGATGTTCATCTTCATTTTGCCTTCCAAGATCCCCCAGGAGAAGGAAGCAAGGATACACCTAGCAAGATCCATAGATGCTCTCCAAAACATGTTTATCTCACCTACTTTTCCATTCCCATTGAGGTGGTCCAGGCCCAAGGCCTGTAACCCCCAGCCAGAGTGCGGTGCCCTCCCCAGCCTGGCTGCCTCCTCCAGCCCTGCACTTCCCCTGCACTGGCACATGGCTGCCAGCCTGGCCTCCAGCACAGTCTACTCTTCCCACAGCCTCCTCCACAGGCTGTCACAGCTCCTGCAGCCTTCAGCAGCATTTCCCTACTTTTTTCTCACTGCAAAGCTACATTTGGCCCCAAAGTGTCTTGGCAACATGACCTCACAGGGAACAGAGGCAGCTGATACAGATTTGTTTCTTTGATCAGGCTTTAGCCTAAGCTTGATGTAGTCAGGAAAACCCTCTCTGGGCTGGTGGCCTGGGGCCACATGGGCACTGCACTGTCTTCCTTCAAACTATGGGTGCTCACATGGGGGAACATTCCAGGCATTTGCTTCCCGTGTTAAACAGGACCGTCTACAAAGGCAATGGTGGTGTCTATCCTGTTCACCATGACAGGCTGCATTGAGCAGAGGATGGGGCCCGTGGCTGGTGTTTCCTAGGGGGCAGCTATCCAGCTACTGGTTCCAAGATGATTCTCTGCATTTGGAGGTCTCTGTCCAGGACATTCAGGCTCCCCTGTGTCAGATTTTATGCTAGAAGCAAAAGGAAATTCAAACAGGTTTGAAATGACAGGTTGGTGGCTTATAGGTTGGTGGAGGAGACAGACTTTATTAACAAGAGCTTCAAGTCTGGGCTCCTGTGTGCCCCTGCAGAGCACGAGGCCATCTCTCATGCTGGGGTGCCTCTCTACCACCATTGCCCCATGCAGCAACTCCTTCACTGGCATTTTCTGTGACTATTCTGAGTAAGTTTGTTGAAGCTAGTATTTGTTGAACACTCATCTGAGTCAGACACTGTACAGGCAGTTTCATGCCCGATCCATACAAGAGCTCCAGGTCAGAGGAAAGAAGGTGAGAGTTGGAGATGTGAAGTCACTTGTCTAACTAATGTCCAGCAGAGAGAAAATGGGAGAGGCTGCAATGGAGAAAGGTCTGTGTGATGCTGCGACCAAATATGCTTCAGTTACAGAGAACAGAGTCATGCTTGCCAGTTTAGATAGGGATTTACCTCTGTTACAAAATTGATAACAGAATCATTGAGGAGCTGAAGAATGATCCTAGGTGAGCCTCCAGGACCAACTATGACGCCACAGAAGTAGGCTGTTAAGGAAACTGCCTGTCGAGTGGGGCCCCCAAGATGTCATTGCTGCCTCCAGAATGCTGCCCTCCACCCACTGAACTCAGTTCTGAATGCAAGTCTTAAACAGTGTTTCTAATTGGCATGAGATCAATTGCAACCAGAATCTTGGCTATAAGGATATCTGGGAAGTAGTGTTTTTAGCTCTCTAGCCTCTGTAGAGCAAAAAGGCACATTCAATAGAGTCGGAGAAAAGAAATCTTGGGCAAGGTAAGTCAGAGGTAGCCTCAAATATCAGTCCAACATTAAATGGTGATTGTGTGTGTGTATGTATGTGTCTGGTGTGGTGTGAGTTTGGGTGGGGTGGGGGTGATCGTGTGTGTGCACTCTCTCTACCCTCCTTCCATGCATATGCATCCAGGAGAAAGGGGTCCACCTTCCCTCCTTCTGGCGCATGCCCCCGTATTTCATCTTATCTAAAGATCTTTGTATCCTGCCAACCTTCTGACTGTGGGGGCCACTGCTCACTGCCTATCCCGAAGGCATTCTCTACTTCCTTACTTCAAACACCCAATATACACTCTCCCTTTTTCCTGGTGACAGAAGGCCAGTGTATCTCAGAATGTGTCCAGGACCTCTTGCAGCTCAGGATAGACTTACAAAATAGTTCTGGCCAAGAAGATTTAAGTAGAAGTTTAAAAGGTGAAGCTTATAGAAAAGCTATTGCTTTCCTAATTAAAAGGGACCGTTAGCTTGCATTTCCTTTTGATTTTTGTCCTTTCCTATTCGTTCTTACTACCTGGAAATGTAACATGTTGCCTAGAGGTGGAGCACCTATCCAGTGAGGCTGTGAGGAAGGCCTTATACCAAGAATAGGAGAAAGCTAGAAGGAGCCCATACCTCTGACTGCCCTTGACTGCCCACGCAAGAACTCATGCTGGAAAAACAAAGCCCTGTTTAGGTAAGCTCGTGTGTGTTTAATTTTCTGTTTTTCTGATACTGATGAACCCCAAAGAGTCTTCCCTGAACTCAATGTTTGTATACTTAGTTCCATGGCCTAATGGAATTTCAGGGTCAAAACAGGGTTTAGAGATCACTTAGCTATAGTCATATACTGCCTTGTAGATTATTAGCATTCGATGTATATGTGTCTAGTCTACATGGTTAGTATTAAGCTCTCTGAGGATGGAAATTACATGCACATTTAAATGTTTGTGTTAAAAATGTTTCTCAAAACCTTGCTAAGTGAATGAATCCACAGAACCCTTGGCAATGTTTCTGGAGAACTTATTTTTGAAAGTACACGGATTATATGAAAAATTTGGGGAGGATAGAAAGAAAAAGAAAAATCTTATGGAAAGGTTAAATTTTGAAACTCTTTCTTGAATTGTTAAAATAAAATCCTTAGCCAAATTAAATTTAACAGAGTTTATTTTATTTTATTTTATTTTTGAGATGGAGTTTTGCTCTTGTCACCCAGGCTGGAGTGCAGTGGTGTGATCTCGGCTCACCGCAACCTCTGCCTCCCAAGTTCGAGGATTCTCCTGGCCCAGCCTCCCAATTAGCTGGGATTACAAGCATGCACCACCACCTCTGGCTAATACTTTGTCTTTTTAGTACAGACTGGGTTTCACCACGTGGGCGAGGCTGGTCTCGATCTCCTGGCCTCAAGTGATCCTCCCACCTCAGCCTCCCAAAGTGCGGCGGTTACAGGCACGAGCTACAGCGCCCGGCCTAAATTTAACAGAGTTTAATTGAGCAAAGAATGATTCATAAATCAGGTAGCCTCCAGAGCCAGAGTAGGCTCAGAGAGTCCAGCACAGCTAGGTGGTGGAAGATGATTTATAGACAGAACAAAGGAAAGTGATGTACAGAAGATGGAAGTGAGGTACAGAACTGGCCAGATTGGTTACAGCTCAGCATTTGCCTTATTTGAACACAGTCCAAAGAGTTGACCACCATAGATTGGGCAAAACTCAGTGATTGGCACAAGAGTAGGTTACAGTCTGTTTGCACTTCCATTTAGGTTATAGCTCACGATGTACAGAGAAACCTTAGGCCAAACTTAAAATATTGGCTGGTGACATTACTTTTAATGGCAAAAACTGCAATTACTTTTGCACCAACTTTTGCACCAATAGGTAAGGAGGCAGTTTTAGGCTAAAGTCAATTTAACAGATTTATTCTGAAAACTTGCTTTATCTGTTGCCACATAAAAAACAACCTCCAGGCTGGGCGTGGTGGCTCACGCCTGTAATCCCAGCACTTTGGGAGGCCGAGGCGGGCAGATCACTTGGGGTGGGGAGTTCGAGACCAGCCTGACCAACATGCAGAAACCCCATTGCTACTAAAAAATACAAAATTAGCCAGGTGCAGTGGCGCCTGCCTGTAATCCCAGCTACTCAGGCTGAGGCAGGAGAATCACTTGAACCCGGGGGGGCAGAGGTTGTGGTGAGCCAAGATCACGCCATTGCACTCCAGCCCAGGTAACAAGAGCGAAACTCCATCTGAAAAACAAAACAAAACAAAAAATCAATCTCAAAATGTAGCAGATTCAAACAACCATGGTTTTATTTGTTCTTGATTTTCTGGGGCTAGAATTTGGGATGATGTTTCTTCTGCTTCACGCAGGTTGGCTGGGATAATTCACTCGGCTGCATTCAGCTGGTGCCTGGGCTTGGCTGGGAGGCCAAGAAGGCTTCACTCACAAGCCCGCCCGTGTGTGCTCCTGCTTCTGCCAACTTCTATTGGTCAAAAAGGTTGCAGGACCTGCCTGAATTCAAGGGAAGGGGAAATAGACTCTTCTTAAGGAGAGACAGCAAAGCCACAATACAAAAGAACATGTGTGATGGCAGAGAGTGCTGTCACCATCTCTGGAGACAAATCTACCACTCTAACTTTCACTTCTTTACAAGCTGAGATTACCCTGCAAATTGGAATTTTTATATGTGAGGAAAAATTAATATTTATAGGATCCCTACCATATGCTGAGTGCTGTGCTAACTACTTTCACGTAGAATTTCTCCTTTGCTGCGACCTATATTTTCTGTAGACCTAATCTCTGGGTTCATTTGAACCATCTGCTGATGGAAAGGCAGTAGCTCATAGCTGGTCCGTCCATAAAGGAGGATGCATGACAATTCCGACAGGTGGAACCTCTCTAGCTTCCTTCCACACGCAAGAACAACCCTAAACTTGTTCTCTTTGTCCCTGGGGATCACGGGATACCGACTTGCATTCCTAAAACAGCTCATATCACACTGTTGTTCATTTGGCCTCCCAGGGGATGGAGGCTTATCTCTTTAGAGATTCTGTTATTATTGAAAAGAAATCATTTCTATGACTCTGGGTATCCAACTAAAACTTGTACAAACAGAAGATATTGGATGGGCAGCTCCCTGGCAACTCCCTCCTATTCAACTGTAATACGCCCTCCTCCAGCTATTCAGAAACTACAAACTAAGGCGGTAGCCCCATGATGTCTGTATAAGAACTGATGACAGGCACACCCAGAGGCTTACAGGGTGTTTGTACGGAACATCAGCCCTGCGGGACCTTCCTGATTTATCCCTTTTGAAACTCTTGACTGTGCTTCAAAAGTAAAGAATAAAACAATAACCTGCCTGTGTACCACAGGGCAACTCTACTGCAGTAAAAACAGCAGAGGCAGGGAAATTGCATCCACCAGAAATTAACCTGCAGTCAGAGGAGAGTTGTGACATCAGCAGAGTTGGTGTCTCTGGAGTCAAAAGGGAAAGTTCTGGGACCTTCTAGCAGGGAGGTCGTGGAAAAGGCAGGAGCGGCCCCAGATTTCTAATAGGGGCAATTTGCTTTTAAATGTTGTAGACACTTTAAGAGTAGTGTAGGGATTTCAAACGTTTATTAGGCAAATGAGGAAAGAGAGGCCCAAGTGGGTGAGGCAACTTGACCAGGGTCAGTGAGCTGGAGTGTGGCAGAGCAGCTTCTGGACCCCAAGTTTCCTCATCTCCAGCCCAGCCCTCTTTCCAAATACACCCTTCCTCCAACCCTGACTTTTCTGCCCAACTAATCTTTACCAAGTGACCCTGAAGTGGTGAAGGGGAAAATTCCACTTGGTCAGAGCGTGGAGAACAAGGAGGAGGGGGAAGGGAAGGGACAAGGTCAGGGGTTTCTGAGGGATCTTTAGGCAGCCTCAAGCTGGAAGGTGTGTGTGGTGGGCAGGGGAGGTCTCTCTAACACCTCCTACCTCTCCTGATAGCAATAGAGGAGGAAAGGAGTCATTCCTGGCCAGATCGAGGGAGGCCTGCAGCAGCCGGGCCTTCAGGGACGCAGCCGTGTCTAGTGGTTGGAATCTGGTCTCCCATCAAACTGACACAGAAAGACAGAAAAGTCTCTTTGACTGTGAGGTCCTGGTGAGGACACATCTGTGTGAACTTGAGCAACCCAGGGAAGAGGAAGACAGTGGAAAATAGTGCCTGGAAGACAAAGAGAAGAGAATAGAGGCCAGTCGTTAGTCACAATTATTGCAAAAGATCATTGTTCATCTGAAATCACCTCCCTCTTAAATGCAGGTTGGGGCATTTATGAGTGAATTTGTACGTGTGAATATTGCAGAAATAGACAGCTAAGGGCAGAATTCCCCTTGGCCTTGTCTTTGGGACTGTGCTTTAGCAGAAAAGAAAAGAAACAAAAGAGAGCCACGATTGGTTTGTAACTCAAAGGATAAAGGCTAGAGGGGATGGATACCTCATTCTCCACGGTGTGCTTGTTTCACACTGCATAGCTGTATCAAAACATTCACATAATCCATAAATATATATACGCACTATGTACCCACAAAAATTAAAAACTAAAAATGAAAAGGAGAACAACAACAAAACCCCAAAGAGAGCTACTTCCTCTGCATTAGAAATACATAGGAAACTCAGTGTCGAGAGAGAGTGAGGAGAGGGAAAGCGGAGGAGGAAAGAACAGGAAGGAGATCCTGAGACGCACACTCAAGCTTTGGGGTTAACTGAAGGGCTTTTTAACTAAAGGAAGATCTGACATTAAGATGCCAGGAATGCTGGCCCAGACCCCTTTCTGGCTCCTAAATATTCAGTAGGATCTGTGCTGCCCCTACCAGCCTTGAGGATTTTTTTAAAGGGTAGGTTAGGTGGGGTGGACAGAAGGGAAAGAGGTAGAGTCTCACTCTGGCTAAACTTGGTGAGAGGGAGAGAGGGTCTGCTGGACAGTAAGATGCTTCTTCAACTGGATTGATTCAATGGACTCAGGGCTTGGCTTGGGAGCTCCTAGGAATGACCCATCGTTTGAGGAGCTCACTCGTAGGGGAGGGAAGGTCAAGTCAATGTCATCTCCAGCCTAAGAGCCGAGGAACCCCAAATGATGTATTGTTTTGTAGATTGATATGGTTCATTTAGTAATGATAGTTCTAGAACTTTCTACCCATCTTTTGGTGGTCCTGAGGTCCAGGGCTGTGCTTACAGAGACCTTAGCCTGGACAAGTCTTGGCTGGATAGACACTCCTTGCACCAAGAGGCAGGAATTCTATATTAATTCTGTTCTAAACAGCCTTGTGCCTGGAGTGCCTTTGTAACCACCCAGCAGGTTCTTCCTGCCTGCTGTACAAAGAAAATCTACTCACTGAGATTGGTACAGATCCCATGAGTGGAGGAACACCAGGGTTCTTCATCTCACGTTGAATTAGATAAAATGACATGGACACACATGGAGTGGTTTTAAGGAGCAGAGAGTTTAATAGGCAAGAATGAAGGAAGAAGCTCCCCCATACAGAGACAGAGGGAGGGGTGCTCCAAAGCCGAGAGAGGAAACCCTGTGTGCAGCGGAAATGTGTCTGCTTACGTGAGGAAGCTGGAGAAGGTGGTGCCTGATTTGCGTAGGGCTCAGGGGATTGGTTTGACCAGGTAGGTCACTCACGTAGCCCGTGAAAAAACTGGTCCTCCTGCTCTAGCCTTTTAATATGCAAATGCAGGGTGCCATGATGTTCTACACGTGTGGGCATAAAAGGGGGCGGCCATGCTGTCAGGCACATGTGGGGGCAAGGGCAAGAAGAAGAGAGGGGGAATCTCCATGTTTGGGGGTACCCAGTTTCTAATGGCCTGCATTTGCATATCAAAGGTTGCCAGCCCAGCTCTAAGACCAGGGGCTTTCCTGCCAGACAAGAAAACTTTTCTGGAACTGCTTTAAAAGAAACAAAAACTTTCCAAGGACCCCTTTTCCTCTCTATCTGCCTAAAATAATTTCTTAATAACTCCTATAATAAGATCACAGCATTGCAGTAAAGAAAGAGTTTAATTGATGTGAGGCCAGCCCGGCCACCCCACATGGGAGATGGAGTTATTACTCAAATCAGTCTCCATGAAGGCTTGGAGGCTAGGGATTTTTCAAAGATAGTTTGGTGGGCAGGGGGCTGGAGTAGGGGGCAGGCTGATTAGTTGGGTTGGAGATGCAGTCATAGGGAATAGAAGCTGTCCTTTTGTGCTGAGTCAGTTCCTGGGTGAGGGCCATAGGATTGGTTGGCAGGTCCAGGTGGGGGTCATCAGTGTGTCAGAAATGCAAAAACCTAAAAAGACATCTCAAAAGGCCAATCATAGGTTCTGCAATAGTGATGTTATCTGCAAGAGTAATTGGGGAAGTTGCAAGTCTTATGACCTTTGGAATAATGGCTGGTAATTATTTAGAATTCAAGCCCTTCTCATCCTCCTAACTTGGTGGTCTTTCAT
The DNA here is from genome assembly GCF_000001405.40 of Homo sapiens. Classification (NCBI taxonomy): domain Eukaryota; kingdom Metazoa; phylum Chordata; class Mammalia; order Primates; family Hominidae; genus Homo; species Homo sapiens. The sequence continues at coordinate 236,974,168 of NC_000002.12, read as the reverse complement.
TAGTTTTACAAGAACTGATGAGACCTAGAACTAATGAAACCAAGAACCCTAACCCTAAGTTGAGTTTAGGGGAAGGGCTATCATTATTTAAACTGGAAACCAAATTTCTCCCAAATTAGTTTGGCCCACGCCCAAGAATGAGCAAAGACATCCAGCCAGTGAGGCTAGAGGCAAGATGGAGTCAGGCATGTCATATTTCTCTCACTGGCATAATTTTGCAAAGGTGGTTTCACCTTCCCCACTCCCAGCATTCTCTCTGTCGCTCCCCTCCCTCCCCGCAGACACTTATGTAATTCTGTTGTGAAGTTTCCGAAATCCTACCGTCAGCTGAAGAATGACAAGGTTCATGCATTTGGAAAGGAGAGCTTTATTTCTCCTAAAGGGTTGTATCCTGCAGGGTGGCCATTCTGATAGGCTGGGAAGCAGAGCCTCCGGCCAGAAGCTGGAAACAGGCACTTTGAGGGTGGAGAAAATAAGACAGGAATTTATGCTGAAGCAGGTGGCCAAATATACATATTCAATAAGTATAAGAGGAGTCATGAATATTTATGAAATATTTATCCCCTGGCTGCCCCTTGCTGAAAAGACTGGGAGAGTGAGCATTTAGCTCTTTCAGTCTCCTCTTGGAGTCAGGAAAAAGAGAAGTGATTTGGGAATGGACGTTAGGTTTGCCAAACCAGAGTCCACTATCCCTTCCCAGATTGATCCCAAGGCACTGTGGCCATATGGCCAAGATCAGAAGGAAACAGACAGAGATTCAAATGCATACGTGCACAAGCTCACACACATGTGACAACACAACCTCTCAACCATGAAGCAAGTTTAAAAGAAAAAGGGTTCTTTTCCTTTACCACCCTCAGCTTGCTTTCTGATTTGGGAAAAAGCCACAGCCTCTCAACTTGGAGGTTTTCCAGCCCGTTACCCAAATAGAAAAGAATAATGCTATGAAAATAAAGCCAGGTGGACGTGGCAAGGTGAGCACCAGGGGCCAAACCTATGATCTTCTATTGATTCGGAAACAAACCTCAGAGTGTGGCATGAAGAATAATCATGATAATGAAATAATAGCTGTGTTGTAAGAATGCAAAGTTGGATGCTAACATTTGTCTGAGATCATGAAGAAGAGGAATGGGAAGTTCATGACATCTGTGAAGTTAGTGACTAAGGCTGTATGGTAAGGAAAGACCTTGGGGATTTCAGTGAAATTCTGAATTCAAAGAGCATGATGAATGTGGGGTGGGGCTGTGAGGCAGACAGCAGAGAAACCTGAGAGCAGATGAGGCTGGGAGGAGGAGCTGCCCCCGGTCAGGAGGAGGGAGGGCCCGGCTCGGGGAATTCTGTGGGCAGAGTCCAGGGATCTGCTGGTTACAGTCGTGATGGATATGCCATGACCTTCGTACCAGGAGGGGCTGAGCTGGGGCAGTGCACAGGCAGCGGCTTCCTCAGTGACCCCAGAACTTGGAAGAAAGGCAGCGGTCTCCAGGGGAGGTTGGTGGTGAAGCCAAACTAGAAGTGCTAGGAGAGTGAGAAAAGCCAGGTCGGTCTCCAAACATACAGCACCCTCAATGCACAGAGATGTTGCCCTCAAAGACCCTTGTCCTGCTGTGAAATGCCTTGCACCCTCCAGGGCTGCTGGCTGAGTGCTGAGGGAAGTGTCCCAAAGAAGGGAAATGTCAAGAAAACAGGGTCCCGGGGAAGCCTCCATTGTTGTTTGGCAAATGGCCCATCCTTTGGGGGACAAAAGGATGAAATAAGGGAAGCAGCAACAGGTCAGGCCCACAGCCTCCTGCTCGGCTCACCCTGAGCCAGCCTTGGTGATAAGAAGGCAGAGGTGGCGATGGTATCTGATGCATCTGACCCCATAGACATGCGGTCGAGGTGGTCCCGAGGCCCCTGGAGGCCCCACCATGTGGAGTTGGGAAAGAAAACGGGCAGGAGGCAGATGTTTTTGACTCAGGACTGGGTTTCGTCAGCCTCGGCGTGAGCCCATCCTGGGCTGGTGGGCTGGCAAAAAAGAAACCGGGTTTTGAGGCAAGAGCTAACTCCAGGACCTCAATGTTGGAACACAAAAAACCCCTTCCTAGCTGGTAACGCTCAGCCCTCATTTCCTGCCACCACACACATTCTGCCCCGGGAAACGCACGTTATAGGAAAGAATGCTTTCGGGCAGTATCGGGGAGAGGAGGGGGGCGGATCGGCTGAAACGCGAGCATGAGTTGGAATCACAGGTGCAGAGTTTGTGCCCCTTCCTCCTGGGAACGCCTCTGTCCCTGGACTCAGCCCCCTGCCCTGGCTCCTGGTTGCTCAGGGCTCCGTCCATAATCTAACACATAATAATGGGCTCTTTTAAATGGCCTTACCCATATGTTTATTTTACAAGGTACTTTCTGAGCAAAACTTAGCTGTACAGCTTTTATATCAAGTTGACCTCCTCCACTTCTCACTCGAGGGCACCGAAGTGAAGTAACTGCGTGGTGACTGATGCAAGACGCTGCTCAGACGTGGGCTACTTCCTCAAGGAGTAGTCCATGCAGGGAGCGAGGAGATTTTGTTACATCTGCCCAGATGAAAACATTCATTGTCACCCAATTCTGGGCCTCTTCTGCCAGATGTGCTGATCTGTCTCCCACATTATCCATCTGCTTAGCTGATGGCAGCCCACGCTCGCTCCAGAGCACAGAGTTTTGTGTCCTAAATGATCGGGAGCAGGCATGGAGGTGAGCTTATCCATCATCAAACACACCGCCACACTTCCAGTCCTGTGATAGTCAGCCCGGGGGCTTGGCAGATAAAAGGTTTGTAAGTGTAGGAACTTTCAGCAGCAACAACAACAAAATGAGGAAAAAGCTGTAAATAGAAAATGGAGTTCCCAGTCGGAGCCCAGGCAGCCAGGAGCTGCAGCCTGCCGGATTAGGTCCTATGAGCAGCTGCCCCGGGGTTTGGAAGTCAGTCTCCCCTTCCAGAAAGAGAGTGTAAGAACATACATGTGGAAACTCTCCTTTTGCTAACTCGGGTTTGACTTTTAAGTCACCAGGTGTAAAGGTGATGGTATGCTTTTGTGAGATTTCAGAACCTAGTGGGTAGTGGGTCATTGGAGATGCTGATTGCTCTTTCTTCTAAGTGCCAAATGACCTGCTGGGAGTGTGTGCTGGTCAGTCTGATGTGCACCAACGTGGGCAGACCTGTCCAGGGTGGGTTTGCTCTCAGGCTAGAATGACTGCTCCAGCCCCAGCCTTTGCATCCTACTCAGTCCTGTGCCAGGTACTGGGAATACACAGAAAAGTAAGAAAAAGTTTCTGTCTTCCAGAAGCTCAGTTTGGAGGAGTGTTTTGCAATCTTTTATGTGCACTGGAATCCCCTGGGGATCTTGTTCAAATGCAGAATCTGATTCATTAGGCCTATTAGGTCTGAGATTGTGAATTGTGAACAAGCTCCCAGGTGATGCTGATGATGCTGGTCCGTGGACCACGATTTGAGTAGCCAAGGTTAGAGCAATGGTTCTGAAGGGTGGTCCCCAAGAAGCAGCTGCAGCCAAGAGCTCCATATTAGAAATACGAATTCTCAGGTATCTCCCAAGACCTACAAAATCAGAATCTCTGGGAGTGTGGCCCACCAATCTGTGCTTTAATCAGCCCTTTGGTGATTCAGATGTGCCAGCTCACCACCTGGTTACAGTAGTGATTAGCTTAGCTGGACTAAAAAGGGAGGTGGCCTGAACTAGTATCAGAGCTGGCTCTTAAGGACACATAGGAGAAACCAGGCAGACAGAGAAGGCTGTGCAAAGGCCCGGAGAGGAAGTTGGAGGTGTCTGGAGAGAGACAGCCCAGGAAAGAGGCTGAGAATCACCCAGAAAACCCTTGAAGGCCACTGTTTGCAGACGCAGAGCTTTGCTCAGCCATTGGCCCTTCGAGGTTGAGCCTCGCAGGGAGTCTGCCTCCCACCTCCCCACGCTCAGCTGTGGTTAAGCTGGTTCACCTTCCTGAAGAGAAAGGCTGCTGATACTGAAAACGATTTCCAGTCTGATAAAATCGAGATGGCGCCCAGAACTCACTTTTCACTCCAGGAGAGTCAAGGCTGTGGAGACCTAGTAATTATTGGTTCCTATAGGAGCCAAGGCAGGAAAGAACTAAATTGGAGAGAGTGACGGGGAGAAAGGTGAGGGGTCGGGGGGAGAGCGCCTGAGGACCTCGTCTGTGGTTAGCATTCTAAGTGTAGTTGTAAAGAACGGAGGATGGTTCCTGTTGACATTTGTGGTTTCTGTCGGCCTGAATCTTTTAGACATTTTTCACCAAATTATCCCCAACGGTGGTGCATGTGTGTGTGTGATCCCAGGAGCTGGAGGAGTGGCTGGGGGGCAGCCAGCGAGAAGCTGAAGTTGTCTCAATTTTGTCTTTAAAAATGTGTGTGTCTGTATTTTTGTTTTAATATAATCAATGGCTCAATGCTTAGTGAAATAAATAATTCTGTGATCCTAGGGTTTCATCCCAGGCAGTGTGCATCTCGTCCTCTGAAAAGCAGAGGGGCAGGCTTTAGAAAGGCATTGTCTTCTAGGGAGGTGGAATTTCCATGGAGGGGACATTTTAGAGGAAGAACTATTAATAAATCAACCATCTGTGTGGTGAGCACACAGGGGTTGGGGTGAAGGGAGGGTGCTTGGGGTGTCCTTTGACATGAGGCTGTGGCAAGCAGCTCTTTTTAGTTAGTGTCCCAACAAGTCCCAACTCATAGTCCCACCCAGGAAGGGTGGGCGGGAGGCCCAAGGCAGGTGGAAAGCAGGTAAGGCAGGCACAGCTACGGGAGCCACAGCTGGTGCTCAGACACACACTCAAACCCACGCTAGCCTAAGAGCATGCTCAGGGCCTCTGGAGGGGCTGCGGTGCTGGAAGGGGGCTCTGTTACTTGAGAATTGAGCAGTAAGATGAACTCTTTGAATTCAGTCCTCAGGGCATGTCTCCTCTGCCCGAGCCTGGAGCCAAATCGGGGAGGGTGGGCTCTTGGGGAATGTACTAGGTTAACTCATTAGAAGGCCCCAGAAGACACATCGGACTCAAGCCCAGTATTTTGCAAATGTGCACATTTGGTCAGAAGGATCAGGCACAATCTGTAAGAAAACGGCATTCATCCAGGGGTTTCCACTGGCAGAGCCACCTCGTGTTTGTACTCTGGTGTCAGCATCTCCTCCTTCCTAAACCCTTCCCCCAATCAGTTTCTGCAGTAACACTGCAGCGCCAGATGCACCTTATTTCTAAAGCCCCATAAATGTCTAAAAGGTGGGGCATAGAAACTGATTTTCAAAACGTTCTTCTTTGCAAGCAGAATTGTAGGTAAGCACCAATACCTGGGAGAGATAAGAGGAACTTTCTGATGCTGCAGGGCAGTGGGCCCCTTCCACCACGCAGAGTCAGACACAGTGGCAGCCCTAGTCTGTCTTTACCAGGACAAATGGGCACCGTGGGATGGGAAGGCCCATAGGAGTGGGGAGGTGGTTCAGGACATGCAGTTGACATGGGTGAGGCTGACTCACCCGGAGGGGTCCCAGTTCCAGGAAGGGTGCCCAGCCCAGGAATGAAGGCACTGGAGCCCTCCGGAACCAGGTCTGGATCCCTGACCCCCAGGCCAGCCTTGCTTCGGGTGGACAGATGCCCTTCAGGAGCTGCCCAAATGCTGACAGCCAGGCTTTGGAAGGACACAGATTTCCAGAGCAAACCTTCCTCCTTCTGACCCTCTCAACCCTGGGCTCAAGGAGAGGTCTTCTGTCACTAAAAACGTATGTTCATTTAAAACAGATGGGGACTTTGGACTTTCTGGAAATGGATTTATAGGTTTCCGTTTGGCCCCACCTCTCTGAAAGCCAGGCTCCAGTGGGGTCACCCATCTTCCTTCCTGGGAGGGGCCTGAGGCCCTGGGGGTTACATTTTAACAGACACAGGGTGAGCATTTAACAACGCACTTCCTGACCTTGGTGACGTTCAGCAGAGCACAGGGAGCAGAAAAGTGTTTGATCAAAACTTGTCCTATTGCTGCATTGTTACTGAAACTGATGGAACACAGGTTCTGAACCTAAAAAAAAAAAAAAAAATCAGAGGCAAAGTCCCTCACCACAAGTTCCTATGTTCCCAGGTCGTTACTGCTGAAGAAGGCTGATTGCCTTTGTGGTTCCCACACTTTAGCCTGCGTTAGAATCGTCTGTGGGACTTGTTAACTCAAGGCCCCCCCCGCCGCCTTAGAGTTTCTGATTCAGAGGGTCTGGGGTGGGCCTGAGAATCTGCATTACTAACAAATTCCCAGATGAGGTGGAGTGATGCTCCAGCGACCACAGTGAGAACCACAACTCTACAGCCAGCGCTCCAGCACTCCGTGCCCCATGCTGCCATTTTCTTACTGGATCATGTTTACATCACTCTTTCCCAAGACAACCTTTCTCTTATGCAGCGCAGGCAGACTGGGAGGCTGGGGCTGGTTCTGCAGGCCAGTGTCATTCCTGAGCCCACGTCCTAAAATGGGAATCGGCATCTCAGACAGGCTCCAGCTCTGTCCAAATGCTCCAAGATGCCTCATGAGAGCACTGTCCAACACTGGTCAACCAGGCTGTGCCATTCACACCTCCTATGCCAGTTGGAAATGCCATTGAGATGAGCATCAGCCAGGAGGAGAGAGGCCATCGTCCAGCCGTCAGAAGTGTGTGAACCAGAGGAACTCCATCTTGAATAGGAGCTGGTACAATGAGGCTGAAACCTACTGGGCTGCATTCCCAGATGGTTACGGCATTCTAAGTCACAGGATGAGACAGGAGGTCAGCACAAAATACAGGTCATAAAGACCTTGATGATAAAACAGGTTGCAGTAAAGAAGCTGGCCCAAACCCATCAAAACTAAGATAGTGATAAGAGTGACCTCTAGTTGGCTCACTGCTACACTCTCAGCAGCACATGACAGTTTACAAATGTCGTGGCAATGACAGGAAGTTACCCTATATGGTCTAAAAAGGGGAGGCATGAATAATCCACCCCTTGTTTGGCATATCATCAAGAAATAACCATAAAAATGGGCAACCAGCAGCCTTCGGGGCTGCTCTGTCTATGAAGTAGCCATTCTTTTATTCCTTAACTTTCTTAATAAACTTGCTTTCACTTTACTGTATGGACTTGCCCTGAATTCTTTCTTGCTGGAGATCCAAGAACCCTCTCTTGGGGTCTGGATCGAGACCGCCTTTCCTGCAACACAGCCACCAAAAATTCCAAGCTCAGGGACCATCAGCCCCACCCCTCCAAGCACAGGTCCACACAAGCAACATCACTCCTCTTACACGTGGGAGGAGCATCTTGGAACAAACTCCAGGCAGAGAGGGCGTGCATCTCAGAAATAGTGTTTTGATTTTCTCCAGTAAAGAGGCAAAACATTTTTTTGAAATTATCAGATGGAATTGATTATTAAAATAGAATGAACATTGAATTATTTTTCCCCAAAACCAGTGAATGGTGACTTGAAGGGTAGGTTAGTAATAATTCACCCTACTTACAGGTCATAATATGAGTTGAATTTCTTTATGTCACTGCTTTTGCTTTAATTGGTGGCCATCTCTCTAGGGGCCTGACCAACCATTAACCAATATTCCTGATGTCCTGTGATAGCAAATGTTGATGGGAATTTGAAGGATGGTCAATCATCATCTGCTGTCTAGTTTTTTGTTTTTTGTTTTTTTTAACAGTTTGTTAACTGTTTTTTTAACAGTCTCAGACAGAGCATTTTATCCTAAAAAAATGGGGAGCAGGTACCACATGTGACCAGCCTCAGCTCTGGAGGAACCCCAGAGAAAGAGACGGATGCCTATCTGTTCCTGACCCCCAAGGTCCCTCAGGATCTGCTGGGAGGGGTTAGTTGTGAGATGTAGCCCCAAGACTGCACAACTTAACCTGTGAAAGCATTTATTTAGAATTGAGCATTTGCATTTTGGGAGATGACTGCAAACACAGCTGTTTTCTTTTTTATGCAATTAAGATTGAGGCATCCTTAGTGACAATGGGTACCAGACTGGATGCCTATTGAAGCCACCCCTCCAATTGTAAAAAGGTATCCTCAGTGAGGAGGTGGTACTCACCTTCCTCTTGACTGCAAGCATTGACCTAAAAGTTCTGTCGGATCACAAAGGCCCAAGTTATGGGGAAACAGTAAGATACAATGGCCTCTGAACTGTGAAAGACTTTTCTTTCTAGCCTCTTTTTAGAGATGCATTTAAAGACAGCTTTGTGGGATCCAGCATTCATTCATTCATTCATTCATTCATTCATTCAAATGCAATGTTTATTGAGTTGCTACTGTATGCAGATCCTCACTGGGATCTGTGCTGAGCTTGAACAATGGGCTGCTTTCACATTCCAAGATCTCCCTTCACAATCCCCACAGGAAATACGAATATTCCACATTTGGGGTCTTTTCTTTTCTCTGGGAGTGCTGGGATCATGCTGTCAGTGTGTCTCCCATCTAGGTGGCTGCGTCTCAAACTTCTGTGATCCTTTTTTAAGATGTGAGAACAGGTGTTGTTTGTACAGCATTCGTGCCCGCTGGCAATGAGTCCTCATCAGCAGGTTACCTTGGGAAGGGGAGGATGCCAGGTCAAAAACACGGCCTCAGGTGCAGCCATCCCTGCAAGACAGTTCTCTCCAACCAGCATGGCTAACCGATGAGCCAGAGACACAGGGGTTGAAGGGGTCCAGCCTCTCCTACACTCCTAACAACGCTCTCTTTTTCCTAAGAACTTGAAGATGGAGCAAGAGATGCACAGGTGGCAGGGAAGGGACTGGGATGAACCGTACACCCACTGCCTGTGCAGTTTTTCTTAAATTAAACCTTTTACTTTGAGATAATGGAAGATTCCCATGCAATTGTAAGAAGTACTGTAGAGAGAGCCGAGGTACTCTTCGCCCAGTTTCCCCGCGTGGTATCATCTTGCATACCTATCCTACAGTGTCACAGCCAGGTAATTCCCCCATGCAGTTTTGTCTAGCAGACGTGATGAGCTTTCCTGAAGGCCTTTGTCCTGCCATACTTCTGGTTCCTATGGGCCTAACCCCTTCCTGTTCCTGGGTTTTCCTGCCAAGCTCAGATCTTTAATTCTTTTCTATTTCCCTACTTTTCCACTATGGATTCATTTTGGAAATTATAATGCTTAGTGACCACAAAAAAAGTTAAGCCAATGAGCCAGACAACCCTCGGTTGCCTTATACTTTTAATAAAAGACATAGTTCTGAAATTTTACTGGTCTTTTGCAGGTCATACTATCTTGCATTTGATAGGAACAATTTTATGGATAATTTCAGAGCTTATAGTCCAATAAAGATAGGGCAAAACATTTTAAGTTGCTTTTCAAATCCGTGATAAAGTGACAGTCAAGAAGAGCTGTACTGATGGTGTTGTATTGAACTTCTTGGGGTGGCCCTAGAGGAAGTCAAATAACATTACCCTGAGCCATCTGCTCAGTTTGATTCTCAGAGGATCTTCTTCAGTCTTGCTCAGACTGTGCTAAGAACAAACAGGGTGACTTTATTTTCTATCATACATATGCTGTCCAGAAGGATGGATGCCTTGTCCTGCCCCGTGATACCAACAGGCAGAGAGAGCCGTGCTGCTTGCCACATGTTTTGGAATCTCTTCCCCCAGCTGCAAGTGTTTCATAACATCTATTGACCTCTTCTGAGAATAAACACCCACTAGAGTTGGCTACGTCTCCTCTGAAAGAGGTATCCACCCCACGGTGTAATCCCACTTCGACAATAGGCTGTGCACAAACTCTGCAGTGTGCTTGAGGCATTTGTTGCCTGAGCCACATTAAGCCCAATGGGTTTTAATAGATCAATGTACACTGATGTGTCCCAAATAGAGGTGTGCCAGCCTCACACCCTGAAGGGGAGGAAGGTGCTGGACATCAAAAGAACCTACACGTGGCTGTCAAAGTGCACAATTCCTTCTATTTGTTCCAGAGATAGCTGAACAGATTTTTCCTACCATACCTTGCATTTCAAACCAGCTCTTGACATGGCTGAAAGATAAAGTGCATGAAAGAAAAGACAATGAATCTGAACTCTCACTCTGCTGTCATGAATGATGTCACACTAGCCTAAGAGCACGCTCAGGGCCCCTGGAAGTGGGAGAGCTCAGGAAGGCGAGCGCAGAGGGGAGCAGCCTGGGTCCATCCCACATGTCCCAGAGGCACAGGAGGACACCAACTGTGCAGGGATCAGAGGCCAGGGAGCCCATCAGGGTGAGGTGATGTGCTGGGGTGGGCCTCGCCTTAGCTGAGAATGCAGATGGGAATTAAGATGCATTGTGGCAATACAAAGAAAACATAAATGTGGCCCTGGACCCAGGGAAGATGACACTCACAGCCCCCTATGCAGGTCGAATACAGGTGGCATTGGGCCTCCAGACCTGGCCCCAAGGAAGGCAGAGAGAAAAGTCATCACCCAGCGTCCCTGGGGGTGCTGAAACAAGGAGACTTCACCCTGGCCCTCGTGGGGCAAAGGCCCTTGAGATGGAGATGTGCTTGTGGGCACTGAGCCGGGCTAACATCAGAGGCCTGTGTGTGCTGGGGTTTCCCTTCCCAAGGGGCACTCTCAGGTTTGAACCGAAAATCTCAGGAATCCTACGATAAAATGGTGCTGCTCTCAGACTACCCAGACAGTTTAGTCAGGATCTTCTAGCACATTTGTCTTGAGGGTTCGTGTAAGGTTTGATGACTCTCTTGCTTACAGGACAAGTTAGGATCCTGTAAATAAATAAATATATATATATATATGCCTATGCAGCTTTGCAGCCAATAACGGGGAAGTTCTCTTCTGACCTCAGGAATTGTTATGGGCTGAACTGTGTCCCCTCCAAAATTCACATGTTGAAGTCCTAACCCCTCAATACTTTGGAATGTGGCTGTGTTTGGGGATAGGGTCTTTACAGGAATAACTAAGCTAAAACGAGGCTGTTAGGATGGGCCCTAATCCAATGTGACTGGTGTGCTTATAAGAGGAGATGAGGACACGAACACACAAAGGAAAGGCCATATGAAGCCACAGGAAGAAGGTGGCATCTACAAGCCAAGAAGAGAGGCCTCAGGAGAAACCAGCCCTGCTAATGCCTTGCTCTCAGACTTCCAGCCTCCAGAATTGTGACAAAATCAGTGTCTGTTGTGTAAGCCACCCAGTCTGCGGAATCTGGTGATGACAGCCTAGCAAACTGATACAGGAGTGGTCTCTTGTTCCCAAGTTTGGGCTGGGAGAAGCTTTGTGAGCCTCAGAAAATCCAACCCAACGGTTTTTGATATTGACCTCAATTCTTCATATTTAAAACCCCTCTCTCCCAGCAGTCATAGCATCCACTGGACTGACCCGTGATGAAGTGTCCTTCTCCTGTGATCTGTGCTGTCTGTTCTAGAACCAGAACCCAGACACTTCAGGGGCAACTGAGCAGACCATCTCCTGCTCCTCCTAGGTGCTGGAAAATGGTATAGTGACAGCAAAGAGTTATTACCCCCGATCATGCAAAGGCTGTTACCACAATAGTTTATTCAGGTTTTGGCTTTCGGTTAGTAGACGACAATGTGAAGAGTGAGTGCAAGACATTAATATACCCGGTTAAAAAAACTATAAAATAAAAATCACTATATTGGCTGGGCATGGTGGCTCACACCTGTAATCCCAGCACTTTGGGAGGCTGAGGCAGGCGGATCACGAGGTCAGGAGTTTGAGACCAGCCTGACCAACATGGTGAAACCTCGTCTCTACTAAAACTACAAAAATTAGCTGGGCATGGTGGCACATGCCTGTAATCCCAGCTACTCAGGGGCTGAGGCAGGTTCTCACTTGAACCTGGGAGGCTGATGTTGCAGTGAGCTGAGATCGCATCACTGCACTCCAGCCTGGGCAAGAGAGCGAGGCTCCATCTCAAAAAAAAAAAAAAAAAAATTACTGTCTCATCGAATGGAAATATCCTGTAGTGCATTGAACCTTTGGCCAGAGAAAGTCTTTAGGGCTTTTGAGTACCTGTTTAAAAGGCCTGGATAGCCAGCAAAGCTTTGGACCTACAGACTCTGATGTCAAGTAGAAAAGAAGGCTCAGGGAATTATTCCCTGAGCTGGTCTAAGAGTTTCTGATGGCCAACCCTCCCACCATCCCCAGGTCACGAGCCAGGTGGAATTCTGACGGCACACCTTAGTCTTTGTGAGAAAAAAAGAAACTGCTTTTTTACTTTAATGTTTGGTAATTCTAAAAGAAAAATATGCTAATGACCCAAGGGAACCTTAAAGAGAAGAATATATTCACATCGAATGCTTTTTTGTGTGTGTATTTCTTTCCAGTTATTGTTCAAGTGTATTCATAATTGTATAGTCAGCGTAATGGAATAATACACTATTTCTTATCCTTTTTCCTGTCTTTATTTTAAATCATTACTCTTCGGACAAAACCCAGGAATTATTTTATTGGGTCAACAAGTATAAGCATATTGCTAAATTTCCACTAAGAAATTCCACTTAGCACATTGCTAAGTTTCCACCACCAGAAGGGTCATCTTATCAGTGGAACCACATTCTCATTCTCACTAAGTAATTAAATTTTTAAGTCCTATTTTTTAGAAGTGAAAGTTTATTCTTAATTTTTTAAGAATTTTCATGTAAAAATTCTTAAAAGGACAAAAATACTCTTCCAAATTTGTTTGGTAATTGTAGGTCCTTCTGTACAAATTATTTATCACATCCTTTCCCTATTTGCCTACTGAGATTTTGATATTTTTCTTACCAGTTGAAATGAGTATTCTATATTCATACCGGCTTTTTCAGATTGGTGAAATGGTTCTCCCAGTCTGTTATTTTTTCTTTTTTCTTTTAATGTTAGTTATAAAATGTTGATGTTGTTAAATCTGTTGAACATTTCATTGACTTTTGTCTTTTACTTCTGTCTTCAGAAAGTCCTCTCCCTTGGGTGGTTCTGGTGAACACCCCCGCCACCGCCCGGGTCAGGGCTCCCCCACTATCTTCCTCTTCACTTCCTTGCTACACCTGCTGGGCTGGGCCCCTTTCCTTATCCTTTGGCCAAGGTTGTCCAATTTAGCGAATAAAATGGTAAGATAGTCAGTTATATTTGGATGTCAGATAAATAGCAAATAACTTTTAGAACAAGCATGCCCCCTGCAATATTTGAGACATACACTAAAAAAATAATAATAATAACGTTGCTTATTGGCATTCAAATGTAACTGGGTGTCCTGTATTTTATCTGGCAACTCTATCATTGGGTCCCATCTTCCACCGAGTCGAGTGGAGTCTTTCCAGGCACGGATTCAACATGACTTCCCAATCCCCCAGTGGGCAAGCGGTTTGCACAGGACACAGTGGGTGAGGCTCCTGAGTGGTTCGCCCGCCCCAGCCGCATGGGCGGGTCCGCACACCAGGCCTGAGTCTACCGTGGCGCTGTGGGGACGAGGGCCTCACTGGTGCAATCTGCAGTTTCAGCATCTGTAGAGTCAGCTCAGGCTGCCGTAATGAAGCACTGTAGACTGTGTGGCTCCAACAACAGACATTTATTCTCTCCAGGATTCTGCAGGCTGCAAGTCTGAGATCAAGAATGTGACAGGGTGGGTTTCTCTCGAGGCCTCTCTCCTGGGTTTGTAGATGGCCGACCTCCCTGTGTCTTCACATGATCATCCCTCTCCACCTGTGTCCAAATTTCCTCTTAGTGGGTCCAGCCCAATGGCCTGATTTAACTTCAGTTCCCTCTTTGAACGCCTTGTCTACAAATACAGTCGCGTGGGAGGTATTGAGCTTAGGCCTTCAACACGTGAATTTTGAGGGGGACACTCTTCAGCCCATGGCAGCGTCTTCCACTCCTGCAGTTATTGGTCCCCTTGTTCTCCCACTTGACAGCACTGTGTGTCTGCGGCCTCTGAGATCTCACTTTCCCGCTGCGATTGGAGCTGCACACACGACCCTGATGGTTCTTTGGACATCCCGACTTCACCAAGACCTTCTCCCCCAGGCTCGACTCCAGCTGTCCTTGGTGGAGCTTCCATGGGTGGGGACCTGTCTACTGTGGATAGATTACCCAACAGTGGCCAACACCCTGTTGCACTTCCAAATTGGACTAGTGCCTGGAAACTTCTGCTCCACTGCCTCAGCCTACCAGGCCTGCCTGATCCCACCCGCTGTCTGAATCACTCTAGAATTGGCCTCTGGGCCTTTGGTTCCCGGGTCTTGGACCCCTGGCCGTCTTTCCCAGGCTCTGCCCACACACAGGCCACTCACCTCCACAGTGTCTGATGCCCCCACCTTCTCCTCCTTCTCCGCAGGCCTGTTTTTCCTGGAACCAGCAGGACTCCCATCCAGGTCCACTCAAGTTGTGACACTGCTTGGCTTACTGTAAGCTTTTCTGCTTTTTAGTTTTTAAAATAGTTTGATTTACTCCATCTAGATCTTACTTTGTCAGATGACCTATGGTGTGGGTTTAACTCATCGAGATACATTTCTGCATTTTACAAGTCATTATAAGGACATATGTCATTTATTAAATATCTATTTCCTTCTCCATGGCTTTCCTGATACCTGTTCAATAACATATAGCATTCCCTACCTGTAATCTATGCTGTAAGGAGGTCATAGCCTCTAGCCACATGTGGCTATTAAATATGTGGATAGTACAAATTTCAAAACTTGGTACAAAAAAAGAATGTAAAGTATTGTGTGAATATTAAATAATTTTTTTCAAGGCCTGGCGCCATGGCTTTACAACTATAAATCCCAGCACTTTGGGAGGCCAAGGTGGAAAGATTGCTTGAGCTCAGGAGTTTGAGACCAGCCTGGGCCTGGCAAAACCTTGTCTCTGCCAAAAATACAAAAATTACCTGGGTGTGATGGTGTGTGCCTGTGGACCTATACTCGGGAGGCTGAAGTGGGAGGATCACTTGAGCTCAAGAAGTCAAGGCTGCAGTGAGCCGTGATCGCGCCACTGCACTCCAGCATGGGTGACAGAGTAAGACCTTGTCTCAAAAAATAAAATAAATAATTTTTTCAATTGATCACATGTTAAAATGATGTCATTTTGATATATTAGGTTAAATCAAATATATTATTAAAATTATTTATTTTTACTGTTGTTAAATGCAGCTACTAGAAAATGTCAAGTTCCACATGTGACTGTCTGTATTTCTGTATATGATTGTCTTTAGCTCAAGGTTTCTTCATTGCATTCCTTTAGTCTCTCTCTGTCATATTTTAAGCCAATATTCTAAGGTTTTAATGAATGTTCTTCTTAAAATATATTTTAATATTTGCTGGGACTGCAAACTTCTTCCCTCTTAACTCTTACTTTTCAAGCAATCTTTTTGGAAGTCTATGTCAATTGTTCTTTCAGGTGAATTTCAAAATTATTTTTGCCAAATTCATAAAAAGTCTATTTGGACTATTCATCTGTACATCTAGAAATAGTTTTCCTTTCTCAAATGGATGTCTTTTATGACTTCCTATAGACCTTGGAGGTTTTATTTACATTCTGCACATTTTCTCAAAATCACTTCTATGTTTATAATATTTTTGATACTATTGTGAATAAGATCAATACTCAGGTGCTATTGGTTTTTCCATATTTGTCTTTTAAAGTCACTTAAGCTGCTTTGAAATAATTGTATATTTTCAATTATTGTTATCTGTGAAGAGTATTTTTCTCCTTTTACCGTATGCATTCATTTTATTTGGTTTCCTCTATAGTTACAATGTTACAATGACCAAGGCCCCCAAACCTTAATAAATAATTATGGTGGTAGTGGGCTTTGTTCCTGAAAATAATTTGCTAATATTACTTTTTGGAATATTTACTCTTAAACTTGGCAATGCTTTTTCTTGGCTTTGACTGCCTTCAAGGACAGCCATTAGAGAGGCATTTTCCCTTTCCAAGTAAAATAAGCAGTCTAGAAAACAGAATTTCCTTCTGGCCTTTTGCAACCCACCCACTATAAAAATAAAACAAAACCATTATGTTTTTGGTTTTGAAGCATATTTTCGTAGGGTGACATGCCAGATTACAAACAATCCATAACGCTTTGCAAAAATGTCAGTGGATAGAAGAGCAGTTAGGTCTTCTTTTCTCTGGAATCAAGCTCAAGAAATGTGAGTTAGGGTCAAGCTTTGTGTTAGGGTTAGATTCAGAGGTAGGGTTAAGCCTAGAAAAACCTGGTTTCAAAGTATTCTTGTATTGCATGTCAGTTTTAAAACTCTCTTGAAAACAAAACCACAAACACACTTTTAAATAACTTGAATTAAAGATGAAGTTAAATTGACATTACAAATGCCTTAGAAATGAAGGATGATGAGAGACGTATACATCCAAGTCCGTTAGATGGAGATTCAGAGAAAAACATGGCCTTAAATTCATGTATTAGAAATTACTAACAAATGGAAAATAAATGAACTAAGCTACCAAAAAAATTAAATAAAATCCCTGTAACAAATGTTTTACATTACTAAGTCCTCAAAACATCATTTAGAGGTGTCTTATGTTTTGCATTAACAGATAAAGAAGCTACTAGGATACTTTTTAGAGAAAATGACAGGCTTAGAATTTTCATAGGATAAGCTACAGGAGCAAGCAGGTATCTCTAGCTCTTACACAAAGACAAAAGATGGAAATACTGTTGAGTTTGCCGTTAGCCAGGACTAACGTGACTCCTGGCTCCTCTAGACAGAGGGACTGCTGACCCTGCACATGCAGGGCTGGGGGTAGCTGGATACTGTCCCATTCCTGAGCCTTGGGGAAGTGCATCCTGGTTATGTCTGGAGCTGAAGCAGACAAAACTGGGTGATGAGAAGCATCTTCCTTGTTCTTCAAGGCTTTGTCTGATGAAGATCCAGTGTGGAATCTTTGGCTTAGTCTGGGATTTCTGGGCTGTGAAAGTTCTGGATATGTCTCCGTCCTGAGAAGCATGCTCAGCGTGGCTTGTCATAGACACCGTACACTCTGAAACTGACAAGACATTTTCAGATGCAGCCTCCCTTAAGGGAGTGTCCCTGGGACGGCATTCTGTTCCATAAAATAGTGACCCTATTCCTTGGCTAACGGTCTCTAGGAATTGATATAGTGGAAGGGACATCTTGGTAGGGACCGATTCCAGGAAGATTCTTCTTCTCCCAGCACTCTGCATCATTCTTGCCATTCCTTAAACTGCCCTCCAAGATCCAGCCCCCACCCCAAGTGGATCTCTGTTTTTTACATAGTAGCTCCAGCAGGGCCAAGATGCAGCCCCTCAGGGACTGGTGGATGGATGCATGGGAGCTCTGTGAATGGGGATCTGGGCATGTGAAATGCTGAAATTGAGTTAGGAGAGATTGGTTTGCTGGAGATAATGGCTGTGAAAGGAAAAGGGAGGAGGAAGGATGGAATGGGAGGGGCCATCACACAGTGGTGGACCTGACAGAGCCTCCACCTCCCCAACAGTAAGCTTGGAGTGAAGCTTCCTTGTTCAAAGACTCCCGTGTCAGGTGGAGGTGGCCAGGAAGTCTTGCTCAGTCACCAACTGAAGCCACCCCAAGAATAATATGATCTTAGCTTCAAAGCTGAGGGTGATTTATGAGCTGTCATCTTCATTTGGAGGCTGTTGGCTAACCACACTCCTCACAGCGTGAAGGGGAATCTGAGCTCCCCACACATCTCTGTGCCTGCCACACCCAGTGTGGACTATTGATTACCTCTCTGTAGTCTTGTCAGACACAGATAATATCTTGCTTCTACTGTCGTCAAGCCAAGCTAATCCACAGTTCTAGTAGGAAGATTCCTAACCTCTTAGCACGTTATCTATACTGGGATCCGGTTCCATTTTGAAACAAGAAACCCTATCACTTGCCCCTTTTTGACTCACCACTTAGTGGGGTGATGCTGTGGGAAGACCCCTCTTTCTGACCTCTGGGGCATCCCAGCTGTGTGGGGCCCTCAAGCAGGGTAGAAGCTGTTTCACGGAAGTCTGGGTTTCCTCACCCATTGGGAGTTAAGATTTAATTATCTTTAGAGTAAACCTCCTTCCACCACACTAGGCTGAGAAGAAGTGATAATGTGTTATCTCTTCTGCTAAGCCCTTTTTAAACACGGGCATCATTCAGCTGATCCGAGACAAGATAAAAGAGGGACACTTTGAAAATGGTAATGAATCCAAACAAGAATTCTTGGATGAATCATTTCTGCTCTGGTTTGTATTAGCTACGCAATTAAAGGGTTTACACAAGGGGACCCTCAAAGGGGAATTCTTTAACCACATGAAAGGCGGAAAGGTCGACTCCTAAGAGAAGGCATTCCTGAGCTTTTCTTGACTATTTTTCCCAGACCTTGGAAAAGGCCTGTGCTTTTCAAAGGAGAGGTCACTTGGAGGGAAGACAATCAGAGGCAGGCTGCAGGGGACAGTCCTTCCCAAAGCAAACGGCTTCCTCCTTTTCCCAGTCCTTGAAGCTCAAATCTGCCTTTTGCAGAGCAGAGGGAACGGGGAGCCAGATGGTCGTTCTGAGAGGACTACAGTGAGAAAGGATGACCCAGGGTGTTACTGGTGGTGAATCCACATGGTCTGGAGCAACATCAATTCTTGCCTCCTCAGAATAAAGAATTTGACTAAAGGGGCATAAGGCAGAAGGAGAGACTGAGGCAAGTTTTAGAGCAGGAGTGAAAGTTTATTAGAAAGCTTTAGAGCAGGAAGGAAAGGGAGGAAAGTACTCTTGGAAGAGGGCCAAGCAGGTGACTTGAGAGATCAAGTGCACTGTTGATCTTTGACGGGGTTTTATACGTTGGCATGCTTCTGGGGTCTTGCATCCCTTCTCCCCTGATTCTTCCCTTGGGGTGGGCTGTCTGCATGCACAGTGGCCTGCCAGCACTTGGGAGGGAGCATGCACAGTGTGTTCACTGGAGTTGTGCGCATGCTCACTTGAGACGCTCTTCCCTTACCAGTCAAATGTCCCCGGAAGGTCATAGACCAGTTAACTCCACCATTTTGCCTCTTAAGGCGCATGGTTGAGCCCACTCGCCCAACTCTTGAGATATTATCAAGAAGCTGCTGATCACCAGTTTCCGGTGTTTTCATCTGTTAGGAGACTGTCTTTCTCTGGCATTGGCTGTGATAAATTATTATTTTAGAGAGACAGCATAACAACTGCCTGTCCATCACCTGAAGGTTGCCTGACATTCCTGGTGTGTGTGTGGAGGGCAGCCGTCTCCCGCCCTGCTCATGCCTAACTCCCCACTGGAACAGGGAAACTCCCCAGGTCTCCCTGTCCTCTGGGACCAGGTAAGACTGCCAATTCCGAACATGGTGGCAGGAGCTTGCTTACTCCATCCAGGTTCTAGGCACAGCCTCAGAAGAAGGAGGGAAAGATGTCCCCCACCACCCAAGCTGGGGGCACTCCAAGACAGTCCTTCTGCACCCCAGCCCTGCAGCTAAGCTCCTGTACCTGCTGCTTCCACCTCTAAGATGTTCTCATCTCACATGGACCCTGAGGGGTTGGGGTAGGACCAAGGAGAGGAGAAAGCTCCAGAGCCCCTCAAGGTCAAGTCTACCCTTTTCATGTTTCTCCTCCAGGATTTCATACAGTGCCCAGCACAAAGTAGATGTCCAGTGTGTATATCTTAAAAGGACCCTTAGAAGGTTCTCGGAGAAAAAAAAGGTCCTTTTGTGATCTTCCTTTTCTTAAGGTGACAAACTCCAAATTCATGCTGTAAAAAGCCTGAAATCAAACAACCATGTCTCCTTTTTCCTTTGCATACTTAAGAGGTGAAATGAACTGCAGGGTGGCCTCCCAGGACCTGCCATCCCAACCTCCTTGTGTCAATTCAGCAGCTGTGGAGTTTTGGGAAGAGCAACTCCATCCCCAATTCCTTGACTGGACAAGCCTATTCCCAGTACAGTGGATAGGGCAGGTCAATTAGGCCTTGGCTAATCAGAGCCTGCCTTTCTCTGGGATATGGGGTTGGTTCAGGAGTGTTCCAATTGACTCAAATCTTATGGAGGTGAATGAGGACACGTGTAGACTTGGTGACTGCTGCCATCTTCCAATCGTGGATGTCGGAGGTGGCAAGTACAGAGAGATGGGCAGGGCTGAGAAAATGGCAAAGAAATAGAGACAGAGTTAAGATCAAATATTGCCTAAATGTCACACCCATCTCTGTTTTCTTTTTTTTAGGTGCCATGATAAATAAGCCAGTTTGAGTCACTTGGTCTAATATCGAGACCACGAACATATTGATCACAGAATGTGTTAGGTAAGCATGTTGTTGACTGAAGTGTAAGTAAGGTGCTCACCTTAAATGCATGTGCCAACATCAGCATCTTCAGAAGAGTCTCTTTCCCTTTGGGACATCGAGGTGACTGACAGTTAAACAAGCCGTATTTGGAGTAGGTGTACAATCAGCCTCCTTCCAGTTCTCCTTGGCACTTTCCAGTTCACAAAGGACACTTCACTCCTTTTTGGTTTTTTTGAGACAGGGTCTCACTCTGTCACCCAGGCTAGAGTACGGTGGTGAGATCACCCCTCACTGCAACCTCCGTCTCCTGGGCTCAAGTGATCCTCCCACCTCAGCCTCCCAAGTAGCTGGTACCACAGGTGCATGCCACCACACCTGGCTGATTTTTGTATTTTGTGTAGAAGGGGGTATTGCCCTATCGCCTAGGCTGGAAGGCTGTTAAGAGGAGAACTGAGCAATGAGGATCCCATCCTGGACTTCGCAGACTTGCTGTGCTTTTGAATGCTTCTCTCACGGTCAGAGCCTGCACTGGAAAAGATGGCATTTGGGACAACACACCTGGCTGCTGCCCCAGGAAGAAAGTAGTGAACACTGGAGGACTGTCAGCCCTGTCAGTTTCTGGAAATGTGCCCTGAGTTTAAGTTCTGGTTTCAGATTATGAGGAGCAAAATTACTGAGTAGGCCTCCTCCTAGAACAGGAAGCTCTTCCCGCTGTGGGCCAGTGGCTCTGACATATCACAGAGCCTGCTCTGATGAAGGCAGCAGGAATGATTTCAAAACAAGCAAAACCAAAGAAAACTGTTTGACAATGGAAGTAATAGAGGCTCATTTTAGAAAACATAGACATAAAGAAAAAAAGAAGAATCTTCCATAACCCACAGATTATAACTACTTACATACCTTCCAGGCTTTATTTCTCTTTTTTAAAAAACAAATGTTAAAGTGGAATTTACCTATAAAAAAGATACAGGTCCTAAGAGCACAGCTTGGCTTGATCAATTTTCTCAAGTTGAATGCACCTGTGCAATCAGTGCCAGGCTGAACACACAGCCTCAGCAGCGCCTGGAAGCTTTTCCAAGCCTCCTTATTGTCATCCCTCCCTCCCCAGGGGTAGCTGCGATCACTGTAGCTTTGGTCTGAACTATATATAAATGCAATCATGCCACGTTATGTTTCTGAGACTCACCCACACCCTGGCAAGCCATTGCAGTTTGTTTATTCTCAATGTTCTACAAGCAGCAGTCCCCAAGCTTTTTGGCACCGGGGACCAGTCTCATGGAGGACGATTTTTCCGCAGACCAGGTGGGGATGGTTTTGGAATGATTCAAGCACATTCCATTTATTGTGCACTTTATTTCTATTACTGTTGCATTGTAATATATAATGAAATAATTATATAACTCACCATAATGTAGAATCAGTGGGAACCCTGAGCTTGTTTTCCCCCATCTAGATGGTTTCATCTAGGGGTGGGGGGATGAAAGACAGTGACAGATTATCAGGTATTAGATTCTCATAAGAAGCTTGCAACCTGGATTCTTCGCATGCTTAGTTCACAGTAGGGTTCACGCTCCTATGAGAATCTAATGCTGCCACAGAACTGACAGGAGGCAGAGCTCAGATGGTAATGCTCACTTGCCCACTGCTCACCTCCTGCTGTGCAGCCCTGTTCCTTACAGGCCATGGACTGGTACCACACAACTATTTGGCCATAGCTACAAAAGCTGATTACAGGTGTAATTACAGATTACATCACTATTACATAGCCTACAAAGAGGTTTAATTGGACTTATAAGTCCACATGACTAGGGAAGCTTCACAATCATGGCGGAAGGCAAGGAGGAGCAAGTCACATCTTACATGGAGGGCAGCAGGCAAAGAGAGAGCTTGTGCAGGGAGACTCATTTTTCAAAACCATCAGATCTTGTGAGACTTATTCACTATCATAAGAACAGTGTGGGAATTACAAATTACATAGCTATGTAGTTACAAATTACATAGCTAATTACACCTGTAATCAACTTTTGTAGCTATGGCCAAATAGTTTTCCCAAGTGGTTGCACCAATTTACACTCCCACCAACAGTACATGATCCTGCTGGCAGCTCAATCTACATTCTTATTAACTGCATTAGTCCATTTTCACGTTGCTGATAAAGACATACCTGAGACTGGGCAATTTACAAAAGAAAGAGGTTTAATTGGACTCACAGTGTGTGACTGGGGAAGCCTCACAATCATGGTGGAAGGCAAGGAGGAGCAAGTCACGTCTTATGTGGATGGCAGCAGGCAAAGAGAGAGCTTGTGCAGGGAGACTACCATTTTTCAAAACCATCAGATCTTGTGAGACTTATTCACTCTCATGGAACAGCATGGGAAAGACCTGCCCCCACAATTCAATTACCTCGCACCAGGTACCTCCCACAACACATGGGAATTCAAGATGAGATTTGGGTGGGGACACAGCCAAACCATATCATCGACCCTTTGTTTTTCCCCATCTTTTTCATTTTAGCCATTCTTTTCATGTGTATTAGACATTTGGATAGCCTCATTTGTGAAATGTCTCATTTTTTCTACTAGGCTTTTCATCTCTTTATTGATCTAAAACATTTTTAATATATTAGACATATGTATTGCAAATCTCTTCTTCTACTGTGGAAGTGGCTTTCATTTCTATTCATTTCAGACTGTTTTAATGCTATCTTATTTCTTTCTTTATGATTCAGCACTCTTTGTGTCCTGCTTAAGAACTCTTTGTCTATTTCATGTTCATTAAAATGTGATTTTTTTCTACAGTCTTCATTATTTTTCCTTTAACATTTAAATTTATAATAAATCTGGGTGTGATTTTTATACAGTGCATTTTTCTTCCCAAGATATCCAGTTGTCTCAGCATCTTTCCAGTCTTTTGCTAAAAATATTTATACAATGTTATAATATGTTATGAATATATATGCATGTTTACTTATTAAGAAATATTAAATTCATATAGAATATTTTAATATTTCATTTAAAATTAATATTGACTAATTGTCAGTGAAATCTACCAAAACATTATTTTTAGTATCTGTATTATATCCCATTTTATGGAATTTAGCCATCCAAATGCTATTAGACATTAAAATTGTTGCCAGATTTTCACACGTAAGAAACCATCCCAACTACTCAGAAGGCTGAGGTAGGAGAATTGTGTGAACCCAGGAGGTGGAGGTTGCAGTGAGCTGAGATCACACCATCGCACTCCAGCCTGGGCAATAAGAGTGAAACTCCATTACAAAAAAAAAAAAAAAAAGAAAGAAAGAGAAAAAAGAAAAAAAAAACACCATTGTAAAAAGCTAGGTATAAATATTTCAATGAGTGTACTCAGGATAGATTCCTAGAAGAATTGATCCAAACGAACATCATAAGGCCTCTGATCATAATTGCCAAATTGCTTTCTGGGAGGTTTCTTAAAACTTAGAATTCTATAAAAACTGAGACTACTTTTCTTTCCCCATGTCACCACAGATTTGCTAACATTAATGATTATCATTAAAATCTTTAGACAATTATACAGAAAGTAAATTACATGTTGATGTGGAATTTGGTTTTCTTTCAAAATTAAATTGAAATGCTTTATGTTAACCATTTTTATTTCATCTGCAGAGAACAGTCTGTTTAATCATCACCTTTTACATTAAACACATTACCGTTCTTTTTATTGCTTTGTCTGAGCTTTATATAAAAGGTAGAAACCAGTCATGTTTAATATAGATTATTCCCAAATACACTGATTGTCTTTAAAAGTTGCCCACTTATATAGGAGTTTCATATTTTTATGTAGCTGAGCCTCTCAACCTTCATTTTATTATTTCTTCCATTACTTTTAATCTTAAATAGCTTGGATCAAGTATTGACTTCTATGGAACATTTTTGCATTTCATTCCTTTTTCTATCTGAACTTATTCTGCTACTTTGATGTAAGATATGGATGAATCTAAATTACATCTTCTCCCCATCCCCAGATACCTAGCTAGTTTTCCCAGCAGCTATTAGTATCTCCCAGTAGCCCAGGAATGCTGTGAATAACGCTGTGTCTTCTTAGCTGCTGCTGCTGCTAAGAATTCCTCTTAGGTGCAGAACCAACATTGGGAGAGTCCCCTGAGAATTGTCGTGTAAAAGATGAGCCACTGGAACGCAGCTCAACCCTGCAACAGAGGCCCCAGAGGAGGCAAGAGCTGCTCCGCCATTCCAATGAAGGAATCTACCGCTTTTGGGGAAAGTTAGGGAGAATGAGGAAGACGTGGTGGTGGTGGTGGGGGTGGGGCGGGGAGGCGGTGGTAAAGAGGAAGAATGGAAGAGTCAGAGACATGAAAAGACGCTGGACAAGCAGAAGCGTCAGTGAAGCTTGCTGGTCTTGGGGCAGTTACGTGGACAGCGCGGGTCAATGTTCGCAGGTGTTACTCAGTTCTTACTGCAATTCCTTACATTTTGGCTATGAAAACCCCTTCTGTCACACTTCTGTTTCCCCAGACTCCAGACTGTGCTCAAAAGGACTTTGCCTGAGTTTGCATGTGTTTTGTGAGGCTCCGAGAGGTGCAGCATTCACATGTGTGCTGTGTGCACACAGAGCAGAAGCCGGGCTGCGGGGGCTGCGGAGTTGTCCCTTGGGCTTGTAGGGGCCTTGGGCAGGGCTCAGGCTGTCGCAGGCCAGGGACTTCAGCATGAGGTGGAGCTAAGCCTGGCCCACATCCGGATTCATTTTGCTGGCCTTGTTGCTTTGCCATTCATTTTGGTTTCTTCTTTTATCACCAGGGCTGATATTTTGAGTTCTATTGGAAGTCTAAATATTGAGGCTTCTTGTATTAAAAATGCAGTCAGTTCTCTGTCTCTCTCTCTCCTTTTACTGTCTTCATCGTTTTTAGGTGCACATTTTAGTGTCATTAAGAACATTTACATTTTTGTGCAACCACACCACCGGATATCCAGAAATTTTTCATCTTCTCAAACTGAGACTCTGCACCCATTAAACACTAACTCCCGATTTACCCCTCTCCCCAACCCCTTGAAACCACCATTCTACTTAATAGCTCTATGAATTTGACTACTCTAGGGACCTCATATAAGTGGAATCATACAATATTCATATATTTGTGACTGGATTATTTCATTTGGCGTAATGTCCTCAAGGTTTATCCATGTTGCAGCATGTGTCAGAATTTCACTTATGTATTTATTTATTTATTTATTTATTTACTTACTTACTTACTGAGACGGAGTCTTGCTCCATCTCCCAGGCTGGAGTGCAGTGGCACAATCTCGGCTCACTGCAACCTCTGCCTCCCAGGTTCAAGCAATTCTCCTGCCTCAGCCTCCCAAGTAGCTGGGACTACAGGCGTGCATCACCATGCCCAGCTAATTTTTGTACTTTTAGTAAAGATGGGATTTCACCATATTGGCCAGGCTGGTCTCGAACTCCTGACCTCAGGTGATCTTCCCGACTTGGCCTCCCAGAGTACTGGGATTACAGGCATGAACCAATGCACCCGGCTTCATTCCTTTCCATTTTAATACTTAATAATGTTCCACTGTGTGGAGAGACCCCATGTCGTCCATCCATTCATCCATCCAGGGACACGTGGGTTGCTTCCAGCTTTTCTCTATTATAAATAACGCTGCTATCAGACCGCTCTTTGTATCCTTAAAATCAAAACAGCAGCCCACACTGGGGGGCTCATGGGGAGAAAACCACATGGCACTCCATACTGTGGGGTCTGTCCCGTGACTCTCAAGCCCTTGGGTCTCCTTCGAAAAGATGGACCTAGTCCCAGCGTGGGGGTCATTATGGAAGAGCACGATGACACAAAGGAATGCCGTGACTTGATACAGCCCCTCATCCCACCAGCATAGGAGGAGGCGAGAGGAGCCTGACCTGCCCTGCCCTCCTGCCTGAAAGCCGCACCCTGGCCTGGGTGAGCCCTAACCTAATCCTTTCACTCAGTTATTTCCAGAAATGTGAGGGCCCAGCTGACCCAGTCCCTCTCTTTGTATCTAGATTTTCTTTTTTCAGTGGGCTCCAAAGAGAGATAACTTTCCTAAAACACAGTACAGTGATGGTAGGAGAGACCGCCTACCCGAGCCAGGTGGCTTCCTTTCTCTCGGGTGCTTTCAGTGGAAAGGGGCCCACCTTGTGTTTTGTGAACATAGAATCCTCTAAGATTGTGGAAGTTAGCCTCTGAGATACAGAGCTTATTATACATGAGTCCTTCATTATTCTGGGTATATCAGACACAAATATAAATGAGAATCCCTGCCCTGGAGGAGATCACTGTGCACCACTGGGGAAACACACACAGTGAAATGATCAGTGTACATTGTGATAAAACCCCAGATGGAGTCACAAATAGCTTTGCACATGGTACAGCTTGGGCCTTTTGGCTGTAGTTTCAGAAAAGGGTATGACAAGGAACGTTACCTTAACAACTAGCCTCGTTTTCAAGATGAGCACATGAGGCCCAAGGAGATGAATTGATGATCTAAAAACATAAGCTGAGTCGTGGCAGACCCAGGGCCAGAATGCAGGCATCACTCCAGGTCTAGTCTCACCTGAACTAGGTGGCCCACTTCTGGGCTCCAGCTTAAAGGTGGTCTTGGGCTTGCTGGGTTTTGAAAAGAGAGGCTGAGCTGTGGAATTTCAGTTAGAAATCCCATTCTTCCTCTATCTCATTCCCTGCTGAAATGACACACTGTTTAACACTCACCCTTCCTGAAGCATGTGAATTCTATCTCATATCCTGCGGGACAATAGCTGGAGTGTGGCTGCAAGATTACCACGTGGTCAGTTTCCATAAACAACATCCATCAGCCTTGCTCCATCCTGCCATGTGGGGTTAGCACCAGCTGACCCCAGGGAAATTTGCTTATCAATCTGGGCTTGTAACATTCAACAGACAGGACTGTAGTTACATTCAGAAGTGTTCTTGCTCCGTGGGAATGTTCTCTGGTTTCTCACTGTGCCTGTGTCCTGTCTGAGGCCTTCCGATGGACATATGTGCTTCTACCTGCCTGGCATCCCTTCCCACTTCTCCTAGTAATAGGACCTTGATGTTCCTTTAGGGACCCACCGTCTCCCATTTCCACCACCACTCTGAATGCATCCAACATCCAAAACTGGGAACAGGGCCCAGACCAGACCAATTAGATTCTCTTGAACATTTGAACATCAAACTGAGGGGTTCAAGGTCAGAAATTGGCTGGGGCTTGTTTGCTGTGAGAACTGAGCCCTGAAGAGACCACCTGGCTACACAGTAGTTCTTGCACCCAGAGCCCCCTCCAGCTGCTTGGTTCTTAGCTGTCTTTCTATTTTGTGACAGATTCTATATTTTTTTCTATATAATACTATTTTGCTTCAATTAGCCAGAGTCTACGTCTGTTGTTTGCAACTGCAGAACCCTGACTGACCAGGGTTGAAACTGAGTAGGCAGATGAAGGGCTCCAGATGAGCGTCAACCAGGAAGGAGTGAAGGGAGAAGTTAAAGGGAGAGGAGTCGGCAATGGTGATGAAACCTCGGTCCAATGCCAGTGAGGAGCCCTAGACAGAATAGATCTCAAAGAAATAAAGAAGAGGTAGACAGGAGGGAATGGTTGTATGGCTTGTAAATGGAGCTCTGTCAAGGGATGGAGAGATTGAGTTATCGGTGGAAAGGTTCCTGGAGATGAGGGGTCGTGGAAATATGAGGCCCAGGAATTAAGGGCTCTGCCATCCTGCAGCTCAAAATCCCTAAGGAAGATGCTGGGAGAAGAAAACGATGACCCAGAAAGTGGAACTGTGGGAATTTGCCCAAAGTGGACCCTTGGCAGTCCTCATACAGTTACCACATGTGGACTAGATTAGGACATCTTTGAACTCACTTTCTCCAAGGGGTTTACTCTCCTGCACTTCGGTCCACATGGATAAGACTGCCCAGGGTACATGTCCAACTGGGAATTTACATGGCCGCAAGTACTGAGGGCAGATGTGTGCTCTGACTATGAGGGTACTTTTCGGAACAGAGTTCCTTGTGACCTCTCTCCTCCTCCCAGGATGAGGTAGGCCAGGCAGGCACATGCAAAGTCCTCACAGACTCATTTCCTCCCCTATATCCCCAGGGCTGAGCTATAGCTGGCTACAACGCAATTTGGCTTTATAATGAATGAAGTTCATATCCCAAGTGACAAGGCCTTTCCTAGCCCTGCTCTCTGGTGAAGTGTCCAGGGTTCTAAACGCTGACATCCATCCTTTCTTTCCTGCTTCCTGCCGTGGGCCCTTTTCCCACAGCTGGGTTGGAAACTATCCTGGCTCCCCAGGCACCCTGGGCAGGCTGGAGCTCCCCTTGCTTTGATTAATCCCCTGCCAAGGAATGACCCTAGCCCAGACCTTCAACCTCAGGCTCTGTTCCTCAATGGGCAATAGTACCTCTTTACTCTGGACTGCTGCCACCTACAGTATGTGAAATGGGGTTTTCCAACAATTATTTTAAAAGCAGTCCAGGAGAAATGCCAGTGAACCAGAAGTGTGGTTAAACTTACAGGAGAAATAGGTTTCTAACCATTTCTGGGTCATTGACCCCTTTGAAAATACTATGGAAGCTGTGAACACTTAAAAAATCACACAAATTGTTCCCCACAATTTCAGGGGGTTCCTGGAATCTCCTAATTGCACACGTTGACTGTATCCAAGGTTCAGAGCCACCTTCAGACCCATGAAGTCCCCCACCCTGTCCCCAGGGTTTCAAATGTGTCCCAACTCTCCTGCAGGAGGTGGCCAGAGTGTGCACCCACCTGCTGGACTCCAGAGTGTGCACCCACGTGCTGGGCCCCAGAGTGTGCACCTGTGTGCTGGACTCCAGAGTGTGCACCCATGTGCTGGGCTCCGGAGGCTGCCCCCAGATCCCTGAGTCTGTAATGTTTCAATGAAAGAGATTGAAGATCCCAAAGAGCTGTGAATGTCACGTGGGAATCATAGCAGATGGCGAGGGGGCCACTCTCCTATGTCACTTATCACCTCTAAGTGGGACCTCATATCCAGCCCCTGGCCCTGAGAAGAGCCCTCTACAGGCCTGTGGTGGCCGCCGTAGCCCGGGTGTGGGCTGGGACTGGGGCAGACCTGAATTTGAGCAAGAAGCTCCTCACAACTCTGACAAGTCCCCATCCTCTCATGTAAAGGAAAATGATCCTGAGCTGGAGGAGCCCTGGGACTCCAGCCTAGCACCATCATGCCCCAGAATCAATGACAGAGAAGAAGCATCCTTGGGCAGGGGCTCCAGGAATGCCTGGTCTCCCAAGAGGGTGGGCACTGGAGCATGGGGCGGGTTTGTTAGGAGCCCACCTGCCAGCATCACGTCTCTGCTGGCTCCTAATGTGGCTGCCAGTCACTCCTACAACCAGGAGATGGCTTGGGGTCAAGTCTGGGCTCTTCCAGGGACACAAGCCAGTGACCCATCTTCCACTCATCTCTCTGTTGCAGAACACCATATTTCCCACTGGAGCCAGGGCCCTGTAGTCCCCACTGAGCCAACCAGCCCCTACCTGCTCACTCCCAGCCCTCACAAACCCAGCACATCCTACGCTCACACCTCTGTCCCTTTCTCTTCATAACCCAGCACAACAATCAGCACGTGGAATTCTTACCTGCAGGACTTCTGTTCATACCTGTTCAGCTTCCATACCATCCCCTCCCCCAGCCCACACCAAGCAGGCAGGGGGCAGAGCCAGTTAGAGGAACCTGGGAGTGACTTCTGGCTCTTTCCTCTCTGCCTCACTCCCCTTTCCAACTTATCCTGCACACCACTGCCTCATGATATTGTACAGTGCAAATCAAGACCTGCCACTCTGGCTCAAAACCTTCCCCTGGCCAGACCCCTCTCTCCCACCACTACCCAGTTAATGTCTGAATGCCTTGAGCCAGCTTACAAGGCATCCATGAAATTGACCTTGTCCCACTGTCAGCACATCTGTCCTGCCCTCCTGTGACTCCCGGAGTCTTTGCTGCAGCCACCTCAAACCAGCTGTGTGTCCTGAGCATATTATTCTGGAATCCCATCCTCTTATCCTCTGTTCCTCCCCACCGTTCGGTAATCCTCCATCCATCCTCAGTCTACCCTGGAGGGTGGCCACTGATTGGGCCCCTTCTCTGACTCACCCACATAAGAGCAGGTGCTTCTGACTCTTGGCTGTCTGAGTGTCATCCCCAGGGGAGCCCTTTCATCCTGATGCTTGGCACTGGGAACCATCTGCTTTAAACTACAATATCATCTCATCTTTGAGATTGAATCTTTTCATTTTAGTGTCAAGAGGCACATTGTCCATGCCTAAAGTGCTCAACAAATGTTGGACAACTAGCTAATTAATTAATGGAAGTCATAGGAGTCTCTGGAGCAGGAAGGTGTGTAGGAAGGCACACAAGCTTGTAAGTCATGCCTCCATCTGGGTTGAGACTACTCTAACTCAAGTGTGACTTGGGGCTCGTTGTTTAACTTATCTGAGCCTCCATCTCTTCACGTGCTCAATGAATGAAGAACCTGCCTTACTTTGAGGTTCAAATGTGACAATGAGGTGCCCAGAACACTATTACATAGTGAATCAGTGTATGCACACGTGTCCTACTTGTGCACACACACATGTACACACACAGGCACACACAATCATGCATACGCACATATGTGCACATGCATGCACACACGTGTCATGCACACAGATGCACATAGAGACTTGAACAGAACATGCACAGACACAGATGCACACATGTACATACATACATGCACAGAGACACACATATGTGCATGTACGCACACAGACACACTAAAGGTACATTGAATACACTTATTGGCTACTGAATAAATGGTAAAATCAATAGTTGACTAAAACTGAGGTTGAAGCATCCAGGGTTTAATAATAAAAAGAGTAAAATGGAAATATTTTTAAGCTTCTGTTTATGTTTACTTATCATTATTATGTTCTTAAATTTTGGAGATCAAAACTTTAAAGTTTGACAGTAAAGTGCAGGAACAGTGATTTCTCAGTACTATCGGCTCTCCTGCTATGCATTTGCAATACAAAATAGAGAAATATGAGGCCCCCTAAAATACTTTGTTTCCTTAACCAACCTCAGCTGAAAGTGGGTGGGTGAGTAAGACCTGTTTTCTTCATCTTCTCGATGCTGTTGACGCATATGTTAAGATCATGATTTGGGGGTTTTCCCTTCTTTTCATTATTTGAGATGGCAAACTGTTGATATTTTGCTTTTAAGATGTGACAAATTATCAACAGGATTTTCCCTTGAAAGACGTATAGCCTAAATGGAGTTAAACAAGAAAAAGTTAAATACAGGTATTTAGATTATGTTTACTTTGATGAATACCAATACCCAAATAGTTCTACAAAGATTAGAACTATGATATAATAATCTCTGGTATCCTGCCTGTATTCCTATCTAAGATTTTTATGAATACTTTTGCCAGGTCTCACTCTGTCACCCAGACTGGAGTGCAGTGGCACGATCTCGGTTCACCACAACCTCCACTTACCAGGCTCAAGCGATTCTTCTGCCTCTGCCTCCCGAGTAGCTGGGATTACAGGCACACACCACTACCATCCAGCTAATTTTTGTACTTTAAGTAGAGACGAGGGTTTCACCATGTTGGCCAGGCTGGTCTCGAACTCCTGATCTCAAATGATCCACCCGCCTTGGCCTTCCAATCAAAAGGCTTTAAAACAAAGTTATTATTAACATTTTCTAACACATATGATCTTTTTATGCATTACTTGCCAGTCTATTTCCTTATTTAACTATAGGAAACATTTTAGTAATAAGTTTTATGTATAAAATTAATAGATTTCAAATGGTCATTTATTCTAGAATTTTACTCATGCAATATGAATAAATATGCATTTATATTTCCGTGGCCTGAAAGAATTTTGAAATATAAAGTACTCAAGGTGACTTTTATTCCAGGTTACATGTAGAATGGTTATCTGTGTTTAGAAGGGAATGAACATATATTAGCAAAAGTCCTATGATACGCCTTGTCAATTTTATTACTGTTGTTACACTGATCAGATAGGAAAGTAACCTGCAGGGTCACCCGATCCTTGATCTGCAGGCTGCCAGGAAAGCCAAAAAGGATGTTGAAATGGGCTTCCAGCTGACTGCCCTTCTGAAGAGCAAGGCTGAAGCCAAAGCTGAGTGCGGAGTCTGTCCCTGAGATGAATTCCAGTGCATCCTGTATGCATGTGTGTGTAATCATGTAGCAGAAACAAAAGCTCTGTGGAACAATTCTTATTCTTTATGTATAAAGTATATGTATATACACAACACATACATAAACACATATGTACGTACACATGCATACACACACATACATGCACACTGTTTATCTGTCCATTGCACTGTATTCTATCCAACGTTTTATTCCACTAAACTAATGCTGGCCACCACCTTCTAAGTTGTTTCACAACCCACAGTTTGACAAGCATTGAAGGATACTTCTTAAATTCCACTTCCCTTGTGCCTTAACGCACCCCATAAAGGAGAAGGAAAAGGCCCCACCGCTATCGCAAGCCCCACAAGAGGGTAGGGCTCCTCCATCATTTTCATTGACAGCTTCCTCCCAGGCACTTTGCTGAGTGTGTATTTTGTGGGAGGCTCCAGGAATGTGAAGACTTAAGTCCTGACTTCATGAATCCCATACTCTAAGGACTGGGGGAATCACTAACAGCTACTCCCATTGCAGCATGGTAACGCCATTTTTAGCATAAACGTGACACATTAGAGGGGCACAGAGAAGGCTATCTCTTCTGCCTTAGGGGCTAATGATGTTATCCCTGAGAAGGCGAAATCTGAGCTGAGCCTTAATGGGTAGAGGAGTCCCAGGCAGCCAGGAGGGAAGAGCCAGGGGGAGTTGGAATGGAAATGGGAGCAGAAGGTGGGGCTGGATAAAGTAGGCTCTCAGTGCAGAGATTTCTAAGCTGCTTGAGTCTCTGGAACCCTGGAATCATTTCTCTCCTTTCATCAGGAAGGGGGTACAATAGGGATGGGGTGCACCTCTCCCAGGCCTGGGAGCCTGCATTCGAAGCAGGCTTGTGAGGTGCTCCTTGAGGCTCTGCAGAGTCCAAGTTAAGAGACTGAGCTGGTGGGAGCTCCACCCTGACTCTCTTACCTCCCTTCTCAGTGGAGTAAGCCCCAGTGAGCCATGAGCCCCCCATGAGCAGAGGCCTCTTTGGGGACTGTCCCAGCAGGGACTCTGAGAATGCTCACCTTCACCAATAACCACATGAGGGAGTCCCTTCTGCTTGCTGGGTGACACTGAGTCCAGGGACAAGCCACCACATGAGGGGTCCCTTCTGGTTGCTGGGTGACACTGAGCCCAGGGACAAACCTCTTTAGGGCTGTCAGTTCTCTGTCTCTTTGTCCCTAATCGTAAGACAGAGTCCCCAGGTGCTACCCAGGGCCCGTGACAGTGCCAGTAAAACCAACGAGAAGTTCCCCGAGAAGCAAAACATATGATCATGAGTTGAAGAAAAGCCCGCCCATCCTTAAAGAAGGAGCACGTGCCTGCAGGGCCATCAGCAGGAATATTATTGGGAGTAATGGGAGTGAAGGGCTGGGTCCGGCAGCCTGGACCCCCACCCTGGTCCTTCTGTGGGCTCCCTGCAGCCCCCACCAGACCCACCTCCTCAGCCAGAACACAAAGGAAGGCTGTTTTCCCTGGGCCTTGACCTCATCCCAGACACCAGCCCCTCCCGCCTGCCCTGCCAGCCGCATCCTGAGATGACACAGGAGGGACTTTGCCAAGGCTGCACTGGAATCATTTGTTAATGGCTACACGTGCAGCGTATCAGCAAGGAAATGGCCCATTAATCACTAGAACATTTTCCCCAAACAAATCTATCAAAGGAGCAGAATGTGTATATATTGTCCCGTTTGCCAGGCCTAGCTCAGCTGCTCCTGGTTCTGAGCAGATGGCTTAGGTGAGTGACAGTGTTTCCCACATCACGTGACTGTTGAAAACAGCCCAGACAGCAGTATTTATGACCGGCGCCCGTGATGATTAGACAACCCAATCCACCCGCACTGAAAGATGAGATCCACATAAGTAATGATGTGCTTGCTAGTAGGCGTGGTTCTTTGGGGTATGGTGATGTCACAATTAAGGATTCCTCCTACCCAGTGTCATGGGGGCTGGGAAGAGGAGGGTGAAGACTTCTGGTTTCAGGACATTTAATGGAGAGAGATGCTCCCTCTGGGACATCTTTGTACTTACTTCAAAAATGTAATTCAAATCCATAGCTCTGTGTCTAAAATTTATCTCATCTACATATTCTCCTCTCCATGGCCACCTCCCAGGTCTAAACCTCTCGCCAGGTGCAGTGTTGGTGCCTGTCTTCTGTCTTGACTCACTGAAGTCTCTCCACATCACAGTAGCCAGAGAGTGCATGAGCAAGGCACCCAATGCAACAAGCCTTCAGTGAGGCCAGGGGATGCCAGGATGCAATGCAGACTGTGACCCAAGAATCTAACTTGCAAATGTATGGCACGGCCTTGCTGAAGGGTGCAGGGTGCTGACCCTAGTGACTTTGCAAAGGAGTGGAGTCTGTAAGACCACAGTCAAAGAGAGCTGCTCACAAGCACTCTGCTTTAGATGGTAGCGATGTTTCTTATGGGGTTAGGGGTTAGCAACTCTGCACCACCATACATGGATATAGAATGGGACACTTAAGTAAATGGGTGCAGAATGTCAGGAGCCAGGTTTCTTCCCGTTGCAGTGGGAGATTAGAGATAAGCAAGGGGAGGAAGCTGGAATGATTTGTGTGATACGGAATTAGAGCTGGAAACATCAAACTCATGTTTAGCCTCATATAGATACAGATGGATCAATGGAGAAATAAGTATAGGTATGCATATATGTACACATACATTTCTAAGCGCTTTTGGCTGCAAGGGCCTAGAAGCAATGACATCCCAGTGGTATCAAGCATGCCTAGCACCCACATCTTGGTTTCTAATATCACTTTCCAGTAAAAGGAATCAGGGCTCCCTGGGAGAATTGACCGATTCTAGGGCTGGGGCAAGAAATAAACCTGTTGAGCCTGGAGTATCCTGTAGTCAGAAAGTAAGGAAAGGCTCAAAAAAGACAACTTGTGAATACTGAATAATAGTGTGTCCTTGTTGGTTAGTTGGTTGTGACAAATGCATGATTCCAATGTAAGATATTAACAGTAGAGGAAAATGGGTTCAGGGTAGATGGGAACCCTTGGTACTATCTTTGCAATGTTTCTGTAAATCTAAAACTATTCTAAAATAAAACGCTTGATTTTTAAGAAGTCTCAAATGACACTCCTTGCCCTTCTCTAAAACCGCATCCACTCTCTCACCCTTGATCACTTTGCTCCCACCACAGTGGTCACCTTTCCTTTGCACCTGCCTTTATCATCCCATGTCTCCTGTGCTTCCAGGACTTTCTGTGTGCTGCTCCCTCTGGCCAAAATGTGCTTCCTTCTGTGCCTGGCTCCTCCCACATCAGGGCTTAGCTGAAATTTCTCTCTCTCTCTGGGGATGGGTTCCCAGCCAGCCTTGCCAAAGTGGTTTCCTCCCACTGTCCAATGCCGCCACCACACCCACACCACACACATGCACACACACCCACACATGCACACTCTCTCCTGGTCCTCTTTCACACAACCTTGTTTATATTTTTCACTGCGTTTCCATTGTGTTTCATAATCCAGCTCATGTGTCTCCCCAGGAAGAGTTTCTGATCCGTGAAGAAGATGTGTTCCAACCATCACTGACTGCCCAACATCTAGTTCAGTGCCTGGCACACAGTAGGTGCTTAGTATATATTTGCTGGAATAAATAGATGAGGGTACTAGTTAATTAACTTTAAGCCAGGCACGATCGCTCATGTCTGTAATCCTAGCACTTTGGGAGGCCAAAGTGGGCAGATCACTTAAGGCCAGGAGTTTGGGACCAGCCTGACCAACATGGTGAAACCCCATCTCTACTAAAAATACAAAAATTAGCCGGGCATGATGGCGCATGGCCTATAATCCCAGCTACTCAGGAGGCTGAGGCAGGAGAATTGCTTGAACCCAGGAGGCAAATGTTGCAGTGAGCCAAGATCCCACCACTGTACTCCATCCTGGGTGACAGAGTGAGACTCTGTCTCAAAAAAAAAAAATTAATTAACTTTATGCTATGACAGTCAGTTCCACATGAAACTGTGTATCACAGGCTCTCTTCATAGGCAGGTGATAAAGGCAGGTGCAATGGAAAGGTGGCCACTGTGGTGGGACCAAAGTGATCAAGGGTGAGAGAGTGGATGCGGTTATAGAGAAAGGCAAGTGAGGACAATACCCACACCCCGCTGGCATCATGAAGCTTTGGGGCAGCATGTTTGGCACCTGTCTGACTCCAGGCAGGACATGATCTCTGCTATCAGGGATTAGCAAACCTGAAATTGTCATGTGATCAAAATGCACACTGACAGCACACAGAGAAACAGAACTTTTCACACTTCACTGAAATAAGTCCCATATTTTTTCCCAGAAGCTTAAAATCAAATAAAAACCTCCAGTACACTAAGCGTATGGCAACGTGATATAGCCCAACCGCCATGTCACTATTGTGTCATGGTCAAAATGAAAGAGATGTGGGATATGAAGGGTGTAAATTAAAGGCAACAAATGAAAACAATAGTTTGAAGGGCATCATATGATCAAATAATATAAAAACGGGCTTTTATTAAGCAATAGATTAGTAAATGGCAGTAAAATATGTCAATTTGAGTCTGCTCTGCTTCCACATGAAAATCCATTGAAAAAAAGAACGAAGCTCATGTAGCATTGGGATTCAAAGTGGATTCTCTATTGCTGCATTGCAGAGTCTATGATGTTGCTTGAAAAATAATGACATCAACAAGGACACCAAGCCCTCCACCTGGGTAGACAGCCCAGGACTTTACATGGGCAAAATTTCACCTTTAAGTTTATATTCTATGCAAATGTTGAAACATAGGGACTTTTCATATGTCCTGGCTTTAGGATTGGCTTGGATTCTGGTTAGGTTCGCCTTCAGGAGAGTGCAGGAAGGAGCCCTCCTGGAAAAGTGTCGTCTCCCACCGGACAATAAAGCTGCCTGGCTCCCGTCCTGGGAGAAGGACAAGCTCCGAGTTTTGGGAGGAAACCCTGGGGGTGGCCAGCAGCTCTGCCCCTCTCTGGTTGGTCCTTTGGAGGAGTAGATGCTTCAGTGGCTCAGAGGGAAGTGTCTGTTTCTTCCCCGTGCACCCTCGGGAGGAGGCCAAGTGGATCAGGCAGGGGCACATCTTGGCTCCAACCTTTCCAGAATCATTTCCACAAAACTCCTGGGGGAGGGGAACCAGGCTAGGGGCCTGCATGGGCTCTCCATACCCTAGCCCTGCCTCTTGTCATTCCCAGATGAGGAAGATGGGCAAAGTCTTCTGGAATGGATCAGTCTCCCATCCTGGGTGTTTGATTCTGCCCACCAGGTAACAGAGGCACCCGGAGGTGGTGCCGAAGTGGGCCAGGCACCCCAGGTCCTGCAGGGGCCCCTTATTCCTCACCAGACCCTGTGCTCCCTGCTGTCAGGGACAGACACTCCCTACTTCCTGTGGAATGAAATGGGAGTGCTCACAAGTTAGCTACCTTGGGGAGGTCCCAGCGTCACTGTGTCAGTGGTGCTTTGCTGCCTGTCAGGTGTATTGGAAAGTCAGATTACACTGCTTTCAAAAAATGCTTCAACAGAAACTGCACCTGGAATGTGAGTGGATATATGTCAGTCAGCAGCAGGTTGAACCATGTTTGCTGTGAGGATGTCCTTACTGCTGCCAGCGTTCGGTTCTCCCTTCCCCAGCACCACTGCACTCAGCGGACGACGTCTTGTCCAGTAGGGCATCCTCCTCAGGCCTTTGCAGGTGTCTGTGCCAATGGGGACTCCTGGGCACTGAAGACCCACTTGTGAGCCCTGCAGCCACCTGCCAAGTGCAGAAACTCTGGCCCTCTCAAACACTCACCCAAGGATGCCTGGGAGCCCAGTGTTGTCCAAGCCTGGTTGCTAAGAGTTCCTGCAGGTACTTCTGCTCTGGTGTGCAGCGCTGAGATCCACTGCCAGGAAGACCTAAAGCCCAGAACCTTGTGGCTGCTGTGGGGAAGACGCTGCCACCTCCAGTGCTGCTGGCTGCAGGAGCTCCTCAAAGAGCCCTGCTGTCCTCAAGTCCCCAAAGCTGCACTGTGTTCTCAGAGGAAATGGGGAGGATGCCCTCTCCACTCAGCCACTCTTATCTATGGGCTGTACTGCCTGTCTGACAGGGACCCTCCTCCTTCCCACAGCCTCTCTCCATGGGACTCCCAGAGCAGGGTACATTTCTGTACCCCTTCCCCCCACCAGCATGCATGCAAGAGACGCTTTCCTCTTCATCCTTAGCCAGCCCCCCAAACCTCCTCCATGACATTCTGCATCCATACTGTGTGGTGTGAGACTCACTCTGCTCCATACTACATTAGTTGAGGGCAGGGACAGTCTCTGCTGCTCTCAAGCCTAGCACAGTGCTGGCTCAGAGAAGGGTCTTCGTCAATCTCCTCTTAAGGCACAACTAACTGGACATGTCCTGGGCTGGACCCACCATCTTCCCCTGCAGCCTCCTTTTCTTCTGGTCTCCAGCTAAGACAAATGCACCGCCATCCCTGAGTTACCCAAACCAGAAATCCGGGAGTGATTCCAGATCCCTACCTCATTGCACTGGAGCTCTCTGTTCACACGTCTGTCTGCCCTCTCGGGCTCTGGGATTCTCAAGTGCAGAGACTGAGCTGTATATCTCTGTATTTCTATTATTTCACACACATCTGGCACTTGATAGGGGATGAACCAAGGTTTTGCACTGAGTGACTGGGGAGTTGAATGAAGACTTCATGTGTGAAGTCACACTCTGCACTCCTGGAGGGCACGTCTCTGCACCATTCATCTGATTCTCAGAAGAGTCTCTCTAGGCATATTTTAAGTCATTTCAAGACAAGAACCCCTGCTCCATGGAATCTCTTGTCACCACTTTCACACACACAGCCCCTTATGTGTTGAGAAGAAGGGATGGCGGACCACTCACCACACTGAGTAGTCTACAGCTGGGGAGGAGAGAGCTGCATGTGTACTGTGTAACCGTTCATGGATTCTGCACAGATCTGGAGTGCAGGAGGCCACACAGTGAACCTTCCACAATTGAAGACCAAACCATGAGCCACCAAAACATGTATCATGTGAGTCATTTTATGCATTTCTCTAAAATATATTTGACAAGTTTTATTTATTTATACCAAAAAATAACCAAAATGGGCCACATCAGGAGACTGTCCGGGACTTCTCTATGTGCACACATGACTCTGAGTAGAAGCCTATTCTTAGATCTACTGACTGGCCAGCTTAGAGGTATCTTTGGAACTGTGGGCTGAAGAAAGGGTCCTAAAGGAGGGGCCGGTGGGTGAGAAGAGGGAAGGGACATCTAGGGGAATATATGTGTGTGTGGGTTCCCCGGGAGCCCCCAGCCTTATCCCAGGAGTCTACTTATGCTTGGACTAAGAATCTGTTCCCCCATCCCGAGTGTCTAAAGCATCTGATAGACATAAAACATCGTGATTTCCAGGGGATAGCTGAGACAGCTGGTTCAGAAAGGGGCCAGGAAAGCTGGGCTGATGCCCGAGCTAATTTCTAAACAGATCATTAATTTACCCAAGAAATATTTATTGACTAGAAAATGACTACTTGGAGAACGTCTAGGTCTTTGAAATTTCCTCATATATCTATTTTGTCACCCTCTCTGTTTTCTTTTTCTTTCTTTTTTTTTTTTTCTGGCCCCAAATCCTCATAAAACCCTTGAAGAGAAAAGGTCCTTGAGTTTGCAGCTAGTCTGAGGGCTAAAAAGATGGCAAGGTGGCAGCTGTGTTTGGATGGCCTATTCCTGGCTTCTGTGGGAGAGAAACCTTTTCCCAAAACTCTGATTTCATCTCCTTTCGCCCCTCCACCTTGGAAAGGCCATGCTGGTATTAACCAGAAGGGACCCTTGGAGCCTCAGAACTCTCTCAACTTTCTTCCTGCCTCTACACATACCTGCATGAGCACACAAGGGCACCCCAGGAAGTTGGATGGCCAAGGAGGGAAAAGTGGGCTCGGGGACTCCCGGGATCAGACCTCGGGGGTCCCCAATTCAGATGAAATGAACTGTTTTATTATGACAGAATTCCACAGAGTTCTACAAGGTTAGAGCAGAGTAATGGCCGCAAACCATATGTCGTTTCATTTCCTAACTTTTCTGTGTCTGCCCTCAGCTGTTTCTGATGATCCTATAAAGTGGCAGCCTCTCGTGTTTCTCTTCCCTGGCCCCTTTGTGACTTGATCCTTTTGATTTATTATTCCCTTTCTTCCTTTTAGTGTTTAACAGCAGAACCTGCAATTTTGCTCTGGGTTAGGAAACCAAACAACTGAACTTTGTTACAATTTGCCTTAAAATAAAATAGGCTGTGGCTGATATCCAGCAAGTAAAGCCTGTGGGCTTTGTGACATTGATTCTGGCTGTCTGGGGTCCTGATGTGTTCCCTCTACTTTCATTCCTAGGATCCAGATAAGTGAGGCCATAGGAGCGCAGACTCTGGATAATGGAGGCCAGGCAAGGTATTTCTAGACTGTCAGGAAAATGGAGACACTGTCGCTTCCAGGAAATACAGGCGCGTAAGGCAATGTACAGCTGGAACATCTGGCCTTATAAAACTAAAAATAACACCCCATAAAATACATTTTACTCATTTATTTTGACAACTGGAACACACTTTCCATTACTTATGACTCTAAGTCTCCCTGGTGCAAGAGTCCTGCCATTATGTGCTGTGGGATCAACATCGCCTTGGTCACATAGATTCGCCGCTGTCCCTTCCTCCTGGTTTCCCGATGGTCAGGAACTCTGACTCTGCTCAACGTACAGCTTCAGCTTAAAAGGCCCTTCCCCCTCCTGTGTTTATTGCAATCCTATTTCTTCCTTGAGACTCCCTCCCAGAGGCTACTCTCTCTTCTTTGAGACTCACTCCCCGAGGCTACTCTCTCTTCCTTGAGGCTCCCCCTACCCGAGGCTACTCTCTCTTCTTTGAGACTCCCCCCTCTACCCCGAGGCTACTCTGTCTTCTTTGAGACTCCCCCCACCCCCAGGCTACTCTCTCTTCTTTGAGACTCCCCCCCTCCCTCAGGCTACTATCTCTTCTTTGAGACTCCTCCTGCCCCCAGGCTACTCTCTTCTTTAAGACTCCTCCCACCCGAGGCTACTCTCTCTTCTTTGAGACTCCCTCCCCGAGGCTACTCTCAGGCTACTTCATGAGCTCTTATATAGGAAGATGCTGCCATCTTGTTTGCCACTTTCCACCCTTTTTCCTTGGTCATTTATTCAGTTGAGTCAATGCCCCATATTCACAGAAAACATTCACACTGGGTGTTTGTCTCCCACTTCGCTCCAAGACTCACCCTTATTCTGGATGATTTGGATGTCCCTTGTCCTTGACCAGATGGCCATTGTTCTTTAAGCTTCTGAACCCATTGGCACGTTCTTTCACTTCACTTTGGACATTTGGTATCAAGGCCCTATTTTGGACATGTCCCTGTAATTTATCTACTTCTAAAATCTTAAATTCCTCTGCCCTAGGAGTTCTCTGACTACAATCTCCCATCATCCCAGCTCTTTCTTTCTCTGGTCCCTTTCCTTCTGTTCGAGACTCAGAAAAATCTCCAAGAAGTTGTTCCTTTGGTCATCTCACAATAGACCTGCTCCCCTCTCTCTCACTTTCACTATTCTGATAATATTCAGCCCAGATTTGGGCTGCCACAACATTCATATTCTTGCACAGATCCTCAAGTCATTCTCTTCTTTGTCTTTGTCCCTCTATTTCTCCCTTCCAGGAAAGCCCAATGATGATTCTCCCTGCTCTACATAGCACTGTGGAGCTTCCAGATTCAACCCATACTTCAGAGCTGCCTGGCCATCCCTCTGTGTGGTCCTTGGTGGCAGCCTCTTCTCATATTCTGCAGAAATCTAGGACAGCTCTCTCAAACTTTTACCCTTTTCCCCAAACTCTGATTTCGTCTCCTTTTGCCCCTCAGTTTGGAAAGGCCATGCTGATATTAACAAAAAGGGACCCTTGGAGTCTCAGAACTCTCTCAACTTTCTTCCTGCTTCTACACATACCTGCATGAACACACAACCTTGCATCCTTGCTTCCTTCTCTCCAGTCACGAAATAATAGTTGACTCCTGAAGGAATTACCCTCTGCACCTGTTCTGGATCTCATTCCTTTCCTGTCTCTAGGGATCTGCACTCATCAGTCATACTCACTCCATCCTCAGTCCACAATCATAACTACTGAGTCTTTTTATTCAGTATTTGAATATTCTCAAGACTCTTTTATCTTTAAAATAATCTGAATTCTTACTTCACCTGTCAATGGATAGACTTGGGCCTTTATATCTTCTTCAAACCTTTACATTCCAATGCTTAACAGTCACACATTCACCCATTTTTCTGTTTATCCATTTAGCCACCTCTCCATTCAAACAAGTAAGTTTTTAATATCTCTACTATGCCTGGAAACAACTGGAAACATGTTTATACAGTAATGTTCATCACAGCATTATTAATTATAATAAAATTAAGCAAACTGCCAGAATGTCTGAAAATGGAATGGTTAAATACAATAGGGTAAAAATCAGATTTTTAAAGGCATTTAATGATACAGGGGAGAATTCAAGCTACAGCAAATAGCAAATGACAAAGCAGGACAGAACAATTTATGCAGTGAAATCCATACTTGTGCTAAAGAGAACATAAACATATAATTAGAAGAAAAGATTCCAAAAAGGTCTTATCTACGATTATGAAAATCTTAATTTTTTTATATACTTTAAGTTCTGGGGTACATGTGCATAACGTGCAGGTTTGTTATATAAGTATACATGTGCCATGGTGGTTTACTGCACCCATCAATCCATCATCTACATTAGGTATTTCTCCTAATGCTATCCCTCCCCTAGCCCCCCACCCCCTGACAGGCCCCAGTGTGTGACATTCCCCTCCCTGTGTCCATGTGATCTCATTGTTCAACTCCCACTTACGAGTGAGAACATGCAGTGTTTGGTCTTCTGTTCTTGTGTTAGTTTGCTGAGAATGGTGGTTTCCAGCTTCATCCATGTCCCTGCAAACAACATGAACTCATCCTTTTTATGGCTGCACAGTATTCCATGGTGTATATATGCCACATTTTCTTTATCCAGTCTATCACTGATGGGCATTTGGGTTGGTTCCAAGTCTTTGCTATTGTGAACAGTGCC
Organism: Homo sapiens; assembly: GCF_000001405.40. NCBI lineage: Eukaryota > Metazoa > Chordata > Mammalia > Primates > Hominidae > Homo > Homo sapiens. The sequence continues at coordinate 236,930,534 of NC_000002.12, read as the reverse complement.
ACAATAAACATACGTGTGCATGTGTCTTTATAGCAGCATGACTTATAATCCTTTGGGTATATACCCAGTAATGGGATTGCTAGGTTAAATGGTATTTCTAGTTCTAGATCCTTGAGGAATCACCACACTGTCTTACACAATGGTTGAACTAATATACACCCCTACCAACAGTGTAAAAGTGTTCCTGTTTCTCCACATCGTCTCCAGCATCTGTTGCTTACTGACTTTTTAATGATTGCCATTCTAACTGGCATGAGATGGTATCTCATTGTGGTTTTGATTTGCATTTCTCTAATGACCAGTGATGATGAGCAGAAAATCTTAATTGTTTTTAGAAGTTTTAGTTTGAAAACTTCAGTGATCATATATTTATAATGAACAATAAATATTAACTAGTTCTAAATATTGACTGAAAGAAGGTACAGCTTCAGTTGGAAACAACAGTAGTAGTAGCAAACACATATTTACTACACAATGTTTACTATGAGGCAATGCATAGTAAGATTAACTCCTTTAAACCTTATAGCAATCCTGTGGTGTGAGAATCATCAATAGCTCCATCTTAGAGATGAGGAAACTGAAGCTTATAGAGACTACGCACCTGGCTTTTGGTCATGCTGGAGGTGTGACTGTCAGGATCCAGGTCACTGCTCTGTATGTATAATTTTTTGGTATTATATTTGTTCAAAAATATTATATGTAAATATATTTTTTCATGTTGTTAATTATGTTTTTTGGGGTTTTTTGTTTTTGTTTTTTGGCTTTTCTGTTGAGACAGAGTTTTATCCTGTCACCCAGGCTGGAGTGCAGTGGCACGATCTCCACTCACTGCAACCTCCACCTTCAAGGTTCAAGCAATTCTCGTGCCTCAGCCTCCCAAGTAGCTGGGACCACAGGTGCATGCCACCATGCCTGGCTAATTTTTTTTTTTTTTTTTTTTTTTTAGTAGAGATGGGGTTTCACCATGTTGGCTGGGTTGGTCTTGATTTCCTGACCTCAGGTGATCCACCTACCTTGCCCTCCCAAAGTGCTGGGATTACAGGCATGAGCCACTGCACCTGGCCAGGTTTTTTGTTAGAAAGATATTTTAAATTTTTGTGTGCTCACATTTATTGATTTGCTCCTTTGTGATTTGTTCAGGAACTTAGGCACTTACGTCTTTGACTATCCAAAGATTAGCTGTCAAAATTATCATCTATTTGTGTGCATGTAAATCTTCAAGATCATTAATTTGTTTTTAATCTATTAGAAATAAGATACCAAATAAAGAATGGTAAATAAGTTCCAGTTAGATGCTAACTCCAGTTGATTGGTAGTGGCCATCCTGAATGTGGTGTTGAGAAAGATTCTGAAGGGGTCGCATATTTTTTTAAATCTAGATTTTTCCCTCCCAGATAACTAGCCAATGGTCCAACCACCATTTAATTAATTAATTAATATTCAATGAAATTTGTTTTGCTTTTCAAGTTCTATTGGCATTGTTACTGACAAAGCTGGTTTCCCAAAACTAGAGTCTTTTCCTGTTCAGTGTAGTGAAGCTGACACATGAAACTGAAAGTGAGTATCAAGCAGGGCAGGCTTTTTATTCCACGGCCATGGAATGGAGAAGCAGGAGCATGGCTCACAAAGCAACTTCTCCACTAGTGAGGGTGAGGAGGTTAAAATACAGAGTTCCTCTAACGAATGGGTTGGATATTAAAAGCCAGGAGAGGAATATTCATGCCTTTTCTGGAAACGGGCAATGAACTTCCTGGAACTGGAGTGCTGCCTTCATTTTTCCCTTTTATGCCTCTTGCAGTCATTGTCATGGTGACTGGCAACTGTCATGGCACTGGTGAGAGTGTCATTTAGCATGGAAATGAGATTATAATGAAGCCCGAGGTCTTTTTGAAGTCCTATGGTCAGCTATCTTGGTTCTAACCAGTCTCCGCTGGTCTGTTTACAAAGGAAAACTTTTTGTCACAGGCATCCTGCTTCTTAAAGATCAGCAGAGTTAGGGCAGGGTAGAGCTTTAGCTCTGTCACACAGGCATTACACTGGGTGACCGCGTGTCTATTTAAACGGGGGTCTAATTTCAACTATAGTTTTGTTTTTGTTTTTAGTGCTAGAGGACTTTCCTATATGTCTACTCCAGATTGTATTTTCCCTGAAATTCATTCTGTGGCTTGATTTGTTGATTTTTGCTCTTGTAGCTTAGAGAGTTTGGGAGACCACTTTAAAAACCCTCCCTAGCAGCCTGACCCAGGAGAAGCTCACTTGTTCATTCATTCAGAAAATAATAAATACAAAGAGATAAGACAGGCATGGCTATTTTATTTTCAGAGTTGAATAAAAAATGGAACAGTGGGACAAACTACTTTTAATTCTTATTATCCAAGCTATTTGAGTGTGGTGGGACTTCTATATGTAGCCAGACTGGTTGAGCTACTCATTACCGTTGTGGACTCATGGCAACCCCAGACTTACGTGTGTGTTAAAATCCCCTCTGGACATGTAGAATCAATTATCATTGCCTTACTCTTATTGATATGGTTTATAAATGGTTATTGGAATAGAAATGGTATTTAGAGTTCTAGCCACAATGTCCAGCTTTAATAAAAAAAAGTTAGGAAGCCCCCCACCACCAAAGACACACAGACTGCAAGAAAAAACAACCCATTTAGGGGACACAAAGCAACTAATAGTCTGGACTCAAATAATACAGTTTTTAGGACTGTGATATAGAGACTTAAAAATAGTTGATTAATATGTTTGATAATCTAATAAAAAAGCAGATCATGTGTGTGCACAGATAGAAAATTTTATTGGAAAGATGAAAACTACAAGAAAAGGTTTAATAGAAATATCATAAATTAAAAACAAAACCAAAACCGTGTTAGTGGAAATGAAATAAATGATGTCTTTGACAGGCTCATTAGTAGATTTGACATAGCTGAGAAAAGAATCAGTGAAGCTGAAGATAGGGCCATATAAATTACCCAAGTTGAAACACAAAGAGAAAAATAAAAGAAGGGGGAAAGAAAGACATAGACAGAGAAAGAAAACCAGAGAGAGAAACAGAGAGAAAGAACATCTGAGACCGAGACCGATGGAACAATCACATTTTTTTAAACATGATTACAACTGGATTCCCAGAAAGAGAAGAAAGACGGAGAGAAGAAATACTTGGAAAGATAATAGCCACAAATTTTCCAAAAATAATAAAATACATCTAAGCACAGACCAAAGAAACTCAGAGAATCCCAAGCAGGGTAATTTTCAAAAAAACACATCTAGATATATTATAATCACACTTCTCAAAAACAAGTAGAAATAGAAAGTCAGAGGCAGTCAGACAAAAAAAAGACATAAAACATACAGAAAAATAAAGATAAGAATTACAACCAACCTCTCAACAAAAACTATGCAAACTGTAAGTCAATGGAGCAGTATTTTTAAAGTACTGAAAAAAACACAACTGTTAACCCAGAGCTCTATATCCAGTGAAATTTTTTTTTGTCAACAATAAAGGTGAAATGGAGACTTCTTCAGAAAAGACAAATAGAGAGAATGTATTACCCAAAGACCTGGAATAACACATGGAATGTTAGAGTTCTTCAAGCAGAAGGAATATGATACCCAACAGAAACCAGTATCTATAGAAAGAAAAGCTAAGCTCCATAAATAGTAAAAATGAGGAAAAGAGCCAATAATGCCTAAATAACAAGCCCTTAAGCTTCAAGTTTGTGTATGTTCTACTGTATAGATCTTGTCAGATATCCAGCCAAGACAAGTAATATAAAAGAAGGATGCATGGCCCCAGGAACATATTAAGCATTCAAAGCTTCCAATTATTTAAGCCTTTCCCTAGATTACAGAAGATCACAGAAAATCTAGACCATGCACATCAAACTGAATCTCTTTGGAAAAGCCTTTTCTATCAAAATTGTTTTATCTCACCCCCAAAAGTGTTTATTTTTGCTTGAAAAATTACTATCAGTATTCAGACTCAGGGCCATAATGATTGTCTCTTATTTTCAGTAATAAATTATTATAATCAAAGGGGCTTTTAAAATTTTCCACCTGAGAAAATTGAAGCCCATGGATGTAAAGAATTGTGGAGAAGCTGAAACAGCACAGGTTTGGAGCCAGCCGAACTTGATTTCCAACACTGACTTTAAGATCTTTGGCCTTCCATAGGTTATTTAACCACTGTGACTTGTTAGCTGCCTTATCTGTAAAAAGAGCAATACGTAGAATACATTCCTAATAGAACAGCTTGGATAATTATAAAAGGTGCTCAATAAAAGATATGATGATAAAACTGATAACAATGAAAATATTTTTATGGGTCTGTGATCTATCTTTTTTAGCAATGTAACCTGGGAATTTCACTTAATCACTCTGTGCTTCTGAAAATAACAACTCTTTATGAGGTTATTGCGAGGTTGAGTGAGTTAATGATTATGTTTAAAACCGTATTTTACAAAATAGTAAGTGCCTTTTGTTATTATTACTACTTCGGGAATACAAATTTTAGTGGCAATCTGAATTACAGATTTTGTGGATTGAAAATTTGCAAACTGGAAATATGCTGTGACAACATGTCAACAGCTTAAGGACCTTAGATGCTCTTTTGATAACTTCTTTAGTAGCCCTACTACCTTTTATGCTGATCTTAGGAAGGTTCATTTTACTGATAAACCTTACAACCCATATTTTAAACTATGACAAAAGGATTGTGAACAGAGAATTGTCTGCCTCTAAGTACAAAAGAAGAAAGAAAGAACTTGAATGTTAGAATGATGTAAGCATGAGAAAACAGTCCCTTGAAAATGAAAATACTAACAAATGAATAGACAATATAATGTTTGGCTAAATGAAAGCAAACAAAGTAATTAAACACACTCACACCACACACAAAAAATATGAGAAAAGAAAGGGAAAGGAAATGTCATTTAGAGGAAAATGATACCTTGACCTCTCACTCATTTTTAAATGCTCTTATCCTAACATAAACAAAACACAAAAGAAAGAGAGGGGAAAAAAATACTTTTGAAAACCTTGTGGCCAAACCAATTTTAGTCTCTATTTTCAGCAGGCTTAATTTAAAACTCAACCACACTGTAGAGAATGGTTAAAACCTAAAGGAAACCCTGTAATTTAAAAACTTAAATGGAAACAAACACCCCCCAATGAGTGAGTGTCTCATTTGGCAGAAAACGTTTAGTGCAGATTACCAAAATACCCATTCGACATTTCAGGGCAATATTACATTTTTCCTTTTTTGAAACTGAAATGTCTCTATACATGAGCTATCACGTTATCTTTCATAGGAAGTAACATACTCAAGGTGATTCGTAGTAGACATGCCCATGTGCTAGACAGTCATCACCATCATTCTCCCAGTGCTGTGAGAGGTGCGCCAGCACTAGAGTGACACCCGAAACCGTCACTCGCACCCATGGGCTGTACCTGGGAAAAGTCAAGGGGGCTAGTCCTCAAGAGCCCAGGCTAGGGACAGGCACAGTGGTGGGTCACGCCTGTAATCCCAGCACTTTGGGAGGCCGAGGTGGAAGGATCCTTTGAGGCCAGGAGTTTGAGATCAGCCTGGGCAACATCGCAGGACCCTGTTTCTACAAAAAATATATAAATTAGCCAAGCATGGTGGTGTCCTATAGTCCCAGCTAGTCGGGAGGCTGAGGTGGGAGAATACGTTGAGCCCAGGAGTTCAAGACTGCAGTGAACTATGTTTGCACCACTGCACTCCAGCCTGGGCAACAGAGCAAGACTCTATCTCTAAAACAAACAAAAAGAAAGAGCCTAGGTTAGGAAGCTGTAGTACCTGGCTTTGCATTTAGCTCCTTCATGCATGCTGGCTAATCTTGGGCAAGTTATTTAAACTCTGTGTGCCTAGGTTTCCCTACCTTTAAAATAGTGATGATGAAGGCAATGACGCCCGGACGTGGTGGCTCATGCCTGTAATCCCAGCACTTCGGGAGGCCAAGGTGGTTGGATCACCTGAGGTCAGGAGCTTGAGACCAGCCTGGCCAACATGGCGAAACCCCATCTCTGCTGAAAATAGAAAAATTTGCCGGGCATAGTGGCAGGCTCCTGTAATTCCAGCTCTGAGGCAGGAGAATCGCTTGAACCCGGGAGGCAGAGGTTGCAGTGAGCCGAGATCATGCCACTCCACTCCAGCCTAGGCAATGAGAATGAAATGATAGAAAGAAAGAAAGAGAGAGAGAGAAAGAGAGAGAAAGAAAGAAAGAAAGAAAGAAAGAAAGAAAGAAAGAAAGAAAGAAAGAAAAAAGAAAGAAAGAAAGAAGGAAAGAAGGAAGGAAGGAAGGAAGGAAAGAAGACGATGATGGTGTTGGTGATATGTACTTCGAGAGCTGAGGTGAAGATTACATGAGTTGATGTGTGTACATACTTAGAACGATGCTTATGCATTCTGTATAAGTATTAGTTCTTATTGTTATCAAAACATGTCTAAATATTAATGTGAATTTGTTGTTTTAAGTGAGAATTTTCTGTCAGCTCAGTAGCAGTGGGTGAGAGTCAAGAATTACTCTCTCTTGGATTAATCAGAAATTGGCTTTGGCTGGTCCTGCCTTCATATCTAATTTACAAATCTAATTCACACAAACATCATTAAAATGAAAACCCAAATCCTAACTCCACATAAAAATACACACTTCATACTTCAAAACCAAGTATAACAAAAGGAGTGTGTTCTCCTTCTGACTAAAAAATACTTTTATACATAGTCTACTCTTTCTTACCATATGAACAAAATTGTGATGCAAATTAGGCCTTTTAATTCCAAATCTAAATTTATGAGGCAAACCTGGTGAATGTTTTACGAGACAAATGGTTACTATTGGAATAATTGATCTAGTCTTTCAGCTTAAGAGCTTAATATGCATTATAAAATTTTTAGAAACTACAGCAACCCGTGTACTTACTAATCTTATTTATTAACTATGAAAATGTCTCCAAGCAATATAGTCATGTATTCCAAATTAACAACAGGTGATTGTTAAATATATTACTTTCCCATTTTAATGTTTCCCCTAATTGTCTAACACTTCTCTTAATTAAATATGCATTTGGTTAAATAGTGTATCAATAATATATTTAACTTGTTCATCATGAAATGCCATACATTCATTTTTCTTAAAGTATTTTATGGTACCCCTTGCATGTACAACAGTTCCTTCCAAAAGGTGAAGGTTAGGTTTCTTAAGACATTTCTCATTAGAGAATTGTTGATTGTGGAATTACAGATTCCATGTAGAACATTGTGTTGGAAGAACTTTATTACTGCTGAACCAATGGAAGTCCTACAGATAGGGTTTTTTTTTTAAAATTATGATCACTAAAATAGGACCAAAAATACAGCATACTCAATAAATAAATTAATAATAGTGGAGATGTATTAAATTGTAGCCATTGATACAGTTACATTAATTTCCTTTTAACTCTGATACCAAGTTGTCCACCCAACATCATGACAATGATAGAAGAGAGGAAGGAGGAAGGGAGGGAGGGAGGTGGTCACTGTTGAAAAGAGAAAGCCACCCTTGGACTTTTCCCCAGAAATCCACACACCTGTCCTTAATTTTATTCCAAATGCTCAATTTGTACTTAAATCTGTAGTGACCTCAGGGCCGTCTGGTAAGTTTGAAGGAAGTAAGCTTTCCTGAAGCTCTTTCGCCACACATCCGAAGGAAGTGGAAAGTAAGCAATCTTTCTTTGAAGGGATTTTGTCCTCACAGGGATGCGGCAAACAACTACAGTTTTGTCTGAAGTTCAAGCTTTATTCATGAAAAACATGGATTTTACTGCCTTCTCAGTAAGGTTTTAATAGTGACGTTTTCTCCAAGTTTGGATGTAAATGAAAATGATTTGATGATTCATTGAACTTTCCAGGGTCCTCCTCAGGTAACCCCAGGCCTAGGTAGATTTTGTAAATGGGGGGAGAGTAACTAGCAAGATCAAAGCTAATTTTGACTGATTTTTGGTCAGGCTGAATAAATAGTTTCAATGCACTACAGCTTTCACATATTCTCTGACCAAGTTTCTTCATTTAGGGACTCTCTCAGGCACAAAGGTTTGACCGATAGGTCATGCCAACAGAGGAGAAATCTCTCCAACCTTCCTCTCCATCCACTGGCAAACAGCGCAATTAACAGCTGCTTTGAAAGCCATGGCATGCCAGGATCACCCTTGGTGACCACCAGCAGGGCCAGGTTGAAAGCAGTGCTTGTGGCAACAGCTTGGAAACTTCAGTGGTTGCAGGGGAAAGAGTGAGGACCTGCCAAGGCCTGGCCAGGAGGAGGAAGCCTTGGTTGCGATGGCTCTTCAAGAGAGACAGGTGATGCCACATGGGAGGTTATCAGCGAGGCACCTTCCAGACCTGAGTCAGCCTCCTGAGCCGGCAAGAACCCCGTTTTCAGTGCCCCTGCGAAAATTCTTCTTTATTATTATTTATTTATTTATTTATTTTTGAGACGGAGTCTTGCTCAGTTGCCCAGGCTGGAGTGTACTCGCATGATCTCAGCTCACTGCAACCTCTGTCTCCCAGGTTCAAGTGATTCGCCTGCCTCAGCTGCTGGAGTAGCTGGGATTACAGGTGTGCGCTGCCATGCCTGGCTAAGTTTAGTATTTTTAGTAGAGATGGGTTTCTGCCGTGTTGGCCAGGCTGGCCTCGAACTCCTGAATGCAAGTGATCCACCCGCCTCAGCCTCCCAAAGTGCTGGGATTACAGGCCTGAGCCACCGCGCCCTGCCGAAAAATCATCTACTCAGGGCTCTACTTATACCCTTCGTGCTCAAAGCAGGTAGTGCCTACAGAAGCGAAGGCTGTACCAGCAATTTACATGAAATATACATATGTTGCTACTCTCATCCACTTTATAAAAATCTTAAACAAAAGCCAAATAGGTGAGGATTTAAATAGGTACATTTCACAAGATTTGTGATTTCATAAATGCTCATTTTTATATACATTTGTAGGAGTTTAATGTCATCTAGAGCATTTTTTTTGTTTTAAGCAATAGCTTAGAGATCATTAAAGCCAGAAGAAAAAGGCAATCTAAGTCATCAGAGGAAAATTTATTTTCAACTAGCATTAGAGAAAGATTTCCCCCTTTGCTGTACTCTGTTTATTAAATCAGATGCCTACCTCCCTTGATTTCCCCTAATCCACTGCCTAGAGCCCTCAGCTTTACGGGGCATCTCATAGATTCCTGTCGGCACTTCATGTAATTGGTATTTTCTGAGGGTTGTTGACTATCCACAGCTGGCGTTCTGGCTGAAGATACGAAACATGCTGTCAAAGGTGGAGCGAACATCTATGGAGCTTCTGCTCTATGCCATGCACTGTGCTTGAAGTTTGCTTTTGGGTGGAATCTACCATTGTCACTGCCAATAATAACCATATACCCTTTCCAGTGGAAGCATTAGTAGTAGACAAGGATTCTTTATTTACAAGCTCTAATAATACAAAGATTGAGCCTATCTGAAATGTCAGGTTGCATCTCTCAATAAACATCTGGATGCTTTTTTTAGTAGGTCGATGCAACTAAACGCCACTTCCCAGCACTCACTGAGCACTCACATGCCAGGTACATGCAATTCTCACCAAACCCCATGGACAAAGCTCTCTTGCCTCCACTTGACAGATGAAGAAACAGACTGGAGAGGTTCAGTGAATTAGCTGCTGTTTCACAGCTAGGAAGAGGCAAAACTGGCATTTGAACCTTTTTAACTTCAAAGCCCCTCCCATGATGACTGAAGCTATAAGGGCTCCTTGAAAGAGAGAGAGAGAGAGAGACAGAGAGAGAGAGACAGAGATTTAATCATCAGAGATTGTAAAAATAAGAAAATTTTTTTGTGAAACTGAAAGCGTTTTGATAAAATTGGAAAATAAGATTTTCTTCCCTGTCTTCCCATGGCCATCCTGCCAGCCATCGCCTAGCGCTGTCTCTATCCCCAGTTGATATGAAAGGAAGTGCTGGGAAGGGAGGTGCGTGGTCCCTTTAAATGATACAGAAGGGCTGGGCAGGCGCAGTGGCTCACGCCTGTAATCCCAGCACTTTGGAAGACCAAGGTGGGCGTATCACTTGAGTTCAGGAGTTGGCCAGCCTGGCCAACATGGTGAAACCCCGTCTCTACTAAAAATACAAAAATTAGCTGGATGTGGTGGCTCGTGCCTGTGATCCCAGCTACCCAGGAGGCTGAGGCAGGAGAATGGGTTGAACCTGGGAGGCGGAGGTTGCAGTGAGCTGAGATTGTGCCACTGCACTCCAGCCTGGGCAACAGAGTGAGACTCCGTCTCAAAAAAATAAATAAATAAATAAATAAATAAATAAATAAATAAAAATAAAAATAAATGAATAAATAAATAAATGATATGGAAGGGGGAAGGGAAGTGCTGGGTAGAGGAGGGAGTGGTCCTTGGCTAGGGCTCCATCCCCAGGCCTGTGCCCCCGGGCTTAGATGAGGACTGGCAATTTTGTTTTCCTGTCCAAATGTTGCATTTCCCAAGACCCCCCTGGCTGCCACACCCCCATCTTGTGCCTATAAAAACCCTGAGACCCTAGCAGGCAGACACGCAAGCAGCTGCACGTCGAGAGGAACACATCAGCAGAACACACGAGTGGCTGGACATCAACAGCACACCGACAGGCACCGGCAGAACGACACAGAGTTTGGCTGGAGCAGTCAGAGAAGGGGTGGGCCACCAAGTGTCCCTATTCCGGGGGAAAACCATCTCCCTTCTGGCTCCCCCATCTGCTGAGAACTACTGCCACTCCATAAAACCTTGCACCCATTCTCCAAGCCCACGTGTGATCCAATTCTTCCAGTACACCAAGGCAAGAACCCCAGGATACAGAAAGCCCACTGTCCTTGCGATAAGGCATGGGTCTAATTGAGCTGACTAACACGAGATCCCTATGGATGGCTAAACTAAAAGAGCACCCTGTAACACACGCCCACTGGGGCTTCAGCTGTAAACATTCACCCCTAGTCACTGCCGTCGGGTTGGAGCCCCACAGCCTGCCCTGTCTCTATGCTCCCCTAGAGGTCTGAGCAGCGAGGCACTGAAGCAGCGAGTCACACCGCCATCACACACCCTGCGAGCTGGACGGGGAAACCTTTCCTGTTTCACAATCATAGCAACAGAAAGAAAGCCCTTGCTTGGGCTGCTCTCCACCACTTAGAGGTCTCTTGAACACTCTTCCCACTTTGACTTCTTTCCTCTGTGCCCTTTTCTCTAATTCATAAGCACTGATCAGCTAATAAGCTGTCCCTCTCAAACAACATATTCTATTTCCAGTAGGCTTTTCTGGAGCCATTATTCCTTAATCCAAAGACATAACTGGAACATCAGATATCTCCTGAAGTGTGTTGTTTCAGTATGATGTGCATTTTGGTTAGCCTGGCCATTCAGTCTCTGCAATTCATTGCAATGCATTGCTTGTCTCAGTCACCTAAGCTGGCCGGAATAATTGTATGTCTCTAGGGAGATGGTAGCTCCCTATCTTTTCCCACCATCTTCTAGAAGAGTTCAGAGGAGAAGATATATCTTACTTATCACAAGGCTACTAAACTTGTAAGTAGCCAACACTTTGTACAGAAAACACCCCAGATGTTTCCAAGTGAATCTTGGGAAGTGAGCATTTAGGAGGCTCTGTTTGATCTACGAACACTCATAATACTTTGACTTTCTCTGACCCTATAAATAATACAGCTCTGGTAGATAAGCCGAACAACCCTGGGAAAAGCTCTCGAGGTCTTCGTGGGAGCTTTGAAAGGACGCGGGGCAGCACGGCTTCCTTTCCTACAGCCACTGTGCTCCCGGGGCTCTCCCGTTGATATCTGCCACTACAAACAAGCTGAGTTTCCTGGAAAAAATGTCAAGCTCCCTGTAGAAGAGGTCTGAAGCAGGGTTCTTCATTGTGCTATCTTTCTATGTACTGTTTGGTTTGTCTTCTAGGATAACAGAAGTTCAAGAGGAAAGGACAGTGAGAGACCATGACTAAAGAATTACTCCGTGAACAACTCAGGAGGACCAGCTATGATTTCACTCTCATTCAAAAAAGAGAAATAATATTTCTTTCAGCTGCTACCCATAAAATATTTTTGAATGTGTGTACAATGTTCATGCTGTAATGGCTGCTCTATCATGAAGGATGTGTTGACACCTCGTGGGTGGCTTTTCACAATCCCCTTGGACACAGATTGGGGGATTGACGGCCCCATCCCCTCATTTTCCACACCGAGGGGCAGTTGGGATATGCATAAAATCTTGTTCTCTAGTTAGGACCTGTTGCTATAAATCTAGCATCAAGAGTATCACTATTTTCTAAACACTTTGCCAGACAGCCTTCGGAGTATAATTTTCTGAAGTTTATAAAGCATAACTCATACACACACCTAGTGACCATGTTCTGAAGGTATATTTAACTCCTGCATGAGGGAACAGGCAGGATGAAAGTGGGTTCTAAGGAAGAGACTAGCATATATGATCAACGGGGAAAAATGAAGAGTAAGCTTGAAACCGCCTTTGCAAAAATTATAACCGAGGAGATTATGACAGTGAAGGAGATCAGACCTAACCGACCCCATCTTGCTTCTAACCTTTAAGCTGTCCTTGTTCATTCCTGGGTGTAGGCCGAACTAACTTTGGGAAGGAATTTGTTCGTGGTTTGACTCTGAAACAAAAAAATTGATAATAGCCCTTTCCCGAAAAGACCGCCTTCTTGCCTGGGGACCAGTCTGCCTTTGCAGGACCAACAAATTAACTACGAGATTAGAAATTACAGTTTAGGGGTCCTGCAGCCTCTGACTCCAAGAGTCTGACCCTCCCCACATTGCTTCTGGGGATAACATCACTATTATAAAACCTAAGATCAGTGCTTGAGATATTTTGCAGACCCTGCACTGGATGGATCAGCTGACACCACCCAGACCCGTAATCTGGATCAACCAGTTCTGCCATCCCACCCAGGAACAGAAGATGCAAGAAAAACTCACTTTGACCCTCTATGATTCCATCTCCAACCTGACCAATCAGTACTCCCCACTTCCCAAGCCCCTGCCTGCCAAATTATCTTTAAAAACTCTGATCCCCGAATGCTTGGAGAGGCTGATTTGAGTAACAACACAACTCTGGTCTCCTGCACAGCCAGTTCTGTGTGAACTACCCTTCGCCCATTGCAATTCCCCTGTCTTGATAAATTGGCTCTGTCGAGGCAGTGGGCAAGGTGAACCCACTGGGCAGTTACAAGACTGCAAAGTTAGAAACAAAACTGGCAATGCCCCATGGGTCAAAAATAATCAATTAATTCATAACATTTGACTTGATTAAGTTTTCTACTGGACAGAAACAATTTGCAACTTATCCTTCCTCTACATTGTTTGACTGCCATGTCAATTGTAAGTATTAGATCAAATTTTAAAATAATTATTTTAGAGCTTCAGATGCACCTTACATGGGCTTGTTAGATTGTTAGACACTGCTTAGTGACATTGAAAGAGGGCACAATACTTTTTTTGCCTTATTTCTAAGTTGTGGGTATCCTTTTCTTAACACTTCTTTTCTGTGATTCTATGCAAGACAATCGTTGATGAAATGGGATTTTCTGGATGGAAAGTCCGTGTACTTTACTGAAACCTCTTTCTACAGTTCTGTCTTTCAAGTGGGATTCTGTGAGCTGACTCATGACAGCTGAGCATCATCGGAGATTGGCTTCAATGGTCCTCAATGTGCAGAACATAAATAGCAATTTCTACCATCATTCAATAGCATTTGTGGGTCCTTTTATATGGAGTATATAAAAGTATTTGCAGGTCTTGGTTTATCTGTCCCCACGTGACATACCTATAGAACAGGTATTTTCATCCCAGCTACTTATTATAAATATTTAATAAGTAGGCTAATGGTTTGGAATTCTATTTCTCTATTTGCATGAGTCAAATAATAGACCAAATTCTTTCAAAAAGAGGAGATGTTAACATACCAAAAGAAACTGAAACAAGAGCATTGAACCCACGGTGCCCTTCAGAAACACCTGCCAACAATGGGGCAGAGTGTCCAGCTGCCTGGACAGTGTGTGCAGGGGCGGGGCCCTTCCTGTTCACAATGGCTTTGCCTGGCAGTTAAAATGCAAATGGAGGGCAGACTGAGAGTGCATCACCCTCTCACATCTCAGAGTCTAAAAGGCGGCCTTTCAGTGCCTTCTGTTCAAATTGCAAATGCTCTTCCTTTATCCCCCAAGGCCTGGGAGACAGTTCTGAATAATTCTTCCCCAACAAATTGGCTTTCCTCTTCCCAGCAACAAAAGCCCTTATTGGTTTTAAAAGTGCAAAGAACAAATTTTATTCAAGGGTCTTAAGGCAGATGAAGGTTCACAGAAACTACAAGGGCAGTTCCAGGGCCTCCACGTACGACCGTGTCCCTATAACGACTGGTCCTTATAAGAGGCCAGCAACAGTATCTTATTTTCCTGTACAGGCCTGGGATTCCCAGTAATTTCTTTGCATTGGCTTTGTAAGCACAATTACCCAGAGTTTCCGAGAATTGGGACATTTCCAAGAAATTGCCCAATGGGTCAGTGGAGTGCTGTCAAATGAGATGGACCATCTTAAAATCAAAACGTGGGTGGTTTCTGCTCATTGCTGAGCATTTCACTTCCATTCTGAAAAGTCTAAGAACGTCACTCCAGGAGATACAATGTCAAGGGCTCCCGCCACTCTTCATCATTGCCCAAGTCATAAGAATCATCCCCCAAATTCCTTCTATTTCTCCAAGGTAGGGTAACCCAGGGCTGGGTAAGCCTGTTAGGGCAGGTCAGGTTGGCACATACCGAGGAGGAACTCAGACAGACAGACAGCGCCAGGGGACCAGCGGCACTGTGTGCTCATCACCACCCTCAGGGATTCAAGGGCCTTGTCCTGGTACCTGGGTCACCTTCTGAAATAAGTGCTACTGAGGTTCATGGCCAAGACCCTTCCAGGAAATTCAGAAGGAGGTTGGCTTCAGTGGGAAAGTAGTCTGTGACCCAGAAGGTGTTTATTCAACAAGGTGCAAGCTGACAACATGTTTCTTTGCTCTGGACACTGGAATTAAACTCCTAAGAGACCCTATTCTTTTCTGATGACTGCTTCTTTGGAAATGGTACAGCTTGGATTTTCAGGGCAAGAAACTCATGTTTTCTTGGCTCGCTGAACTGAATAACAAAAGAAACAGACATGGGGACCTGCCTGCAGCCTAAAGTTGGTTGTCAAAAGAAATAATTAGAAGAGAAAAGTGCTTCTTCAATTTTTAACCATCCAACTGATCCCACGTGTCCAGCTCTTCCCTAGGCAGGGGAGATCACAAGGACTTTATTACCTGTGCTCTCAGGGTAATGAGGCTTTTGTCCTGCTCACCCACAGCCTCCCATGGTCAGGTCAAGGCCCCACCTCTTCAGCTTCTCACTTACCACTCCCTCGGCTGCAGTCCTGCCCTGGGTAGGAGGAGTTGTATAGGATGAGCCAACTGTCTTGTTTTGCTTTGTGCACACACCTGGCCAAGGTGGTGGTCTGCTTTCTGCTCAGGGTCTCATGAGTGTTCCATGAACTCACACCCATCAATCTCTGGCCATCAAGACTCAAACAAGCCCCTCAGGTTGGCAGAGATTGGGGAACTGACCTCATGTCATCCCCCCCATTTTCCACATTACCTCCAGTTGAGAATTTTAGCCCCCATGATCAGATGGGTGAGAAATAGCCCGTCTTCATTTTCTTCAAATTAGCCTGACTCTGACTCCACAGGTCCCACCCACCAGGCAGGAGAGGACTGAGCCTCATGGCTACTGGCCCTTCCCCATCTTTCGAGGCTTCCTCTTGCCCCCTCCGGAGAAGGGCCTTAGACATTCCACCATTATGTGTGTGGTCTGGCAGCTTTCTGCCCTATGCTCCTGTGGAGCTGGGAGCCTTGGACAAGACAGAGTGTCTGATGCCGAGACCTCAGCCTTTTAAATGTACTCACGGGTGCTGAGGAGGCCTGGCCTCCTCCTGGGGATGCAGACAGGGAGCAAGACGCAGGTAACCCCTGCCCACAGGCTCCGTGAACCTCAGATCTGTTCTCAATCCAAGAAACACAATTCCACTTCCCCTTCACCTCTCTTACTCCGGGAAACTTTGCACTACCTTTTCAATGGGCTTAAAAGAGTGGAGGAAAAATTGTCTTCAGACAACTTTAAACAGTTTTAAAACAGAAAATTTACTTACAGGGACTCCCTAGATGTTAGAAGAAAGCTCCAGGTAGCTGCAGGTAGCTAGGAAGTAGGAAGAGCCCACCTCTTCTTGGAATGGGGAAGAACACACATGAACTCTTATCTCATGAAATCCAATAGTCAACTACAACATGGTTTGTGTGAGTGAAAAGACCCCAGAATAAGACCACCTGGGTGAGCCTGTGCCTGGTGGTCTCAAAGCATCCCCCTCCTCCCATCCACCCCTGCTCTGCCCTGTATCATGGGGGGTCTGGCCTCTGCAGGCTATGAGCCCCGGGTTCCTGTGTCTCTGGCTTCTGACTGGGTTGGACCAATGGGAAGCCTGGAGGGACATGGGTGTGTACAGGAGTCTGGGTGGGCTTCTTGACTCTGTTTGTTGGGCTGTCTTGCCTGGAGGCTCTTTCCTTCTACAAGCCAGCTCCTGCCACAGAGACCCACCCTGGTTCTAGCTTCCCTTCAGTGAGTCTGATTCCTGGGCTCTGATAACTGCCTCCTTCCTTGTGCATCTGAGAGGTGGTAGCCACTTCCTGATGCTGTGGACACCAGGGTTGCCTCAATGTCCCTTGTCTGACGTTTTGGCTCTTCTACCATCTAGGAAGTCCCTGTAATTAAATTTTCTGTCTTATAAAACTTAGGATGACTGTTTATCCTCACTGGGTCCTGACTTAGTCACTTACTACTGTGTGGTTGTGGTCAAGCTTCTTTCTCCTGCTATGTTCAGTTTCCTCATCTGGAAAGCGGGATAATAATGGGTTCTTCCTTAGAGAACTCACCCCAGAGTGAGTTAAATAAGATAATACTCAGAGTTTGTTACTTGGAACTCACACAGTAAGTGGTAGATTTTGGAGTCTGTACCAGAGGGTCCTGAGGTGTGGGCTGAGGGTGATCTTTGGTGGTGCCTGTTCACTGGATTCAACAACTGCCAATCACAGAGTGAGGAAGTTGTTCACTTTTCAGGTGGTTCTGTTTTTTTCTGTCTCTCTTCTTCTGGATACAATAAAAGCTGCTCTCTGTTCCTAGTATGTCTTTAGAACTTGGAGTCTCCATGACCACGGGAGAAAGAGCAGGTCTCAGACTGAGGAAGTAGGACCCAACAGCATTGTTCTGTTTACATGGAATTTGCTTTTACAGCCAAATTCTACTGATGGCAAATGATACAGTTTTCCATTTCTGGAGGTGATAAAAAGTTTTTTTAATAATGAATTCATTTAAGTTTTTTGTTTTTTTTTAAAAAAAGATCGACTTGGAAAAACAGAAGTAAAAGAGTGCAGTTGGGAGGAGCTTGATGACCTGAGCTTAGAAGGCCTTTCCTGCAGACGTGCTCTGGGGCTAGTGGGTTGAATCAGGACACAGAACAACAAAGACAGTTTCTGCTTTCAAGGAGCGCATGGTTCTCAGCCAAATTCAACAGGAATAATATGACAGAACATAATTAAATAGCAAGTAATTTGTTACAGATGCAAATTCTGCAAAAGTTCAAAGACGCATGGGCCAACGGGGTCAGGAGAAGGCGGGATGGAGGAGGCGACTTAACAGGAGAGATTCCCGGTGGTGGGCACAGGTGCAGAGAAACGGGGACCTGGATTAGGGGAGCAAAGGAGAGCTAGCGTGACGGTGTGGCAAAAATGGGTTTTGAGTTTCTGGAGTAGAGATCCAGGTCGGTGTCAGAGGTGCTGGGGGTTCTGGGAAGGAAAATGATGACAAGTTGACGACAGGAAACGTGGAGTTCTGCATCATTAAGCGTCAGTTTCACGGGATGCTGTAGTCCTGGCAGAATCGTTTTTGGCTGTGGTGTGCAGGAGGGGTCTGCGGCTGAGCCACTGCAGAAGGGCTGGCCAGCTGGGAGGCTGGGAGGCAGATGCTGTAACCCTGGTGTGACCCTGTCCCTGCAGAGAGAGAGCCAGGGAAGGGGCCAGGTGAGCAGGGCCAGGGGGCAGCAGCACCATCATCCAGGGCACTCAGGGGTTAAAGCCTCATCTGGGGACACAGTGAGGAGCTGATCCCGGAAGGAAGAGGCTACGTAGTTCATATCAGACCATGCACACACACACACACACACACACACACACACACACACACACACCAGAGATCCAACTCTTCCTACAGTTTCTCACCAAGAAAGGTCATGGCTGGGTTGAAGAAAGTGAGGCAGGAGTGTTTTCCTTGCAAGGAACATTTGTGTGAAGAGGTCTCTCCCAAGGGTGCTCATATCAGGCAAAAGGTTCTGTCTGTGGGATCCCTGATCCATCTGATCTCCATCCTGCAGGAGCCTTGCTCTTCCTCATGGAGACGCGTTTGCATCTAGAGGGAAAATTGTGAGTAAAAGCCATGACTACAAAATGCACATGTGGATTCCACCGTGGAAAAGTGGGGAGCCCGGGGCCGGGCACAGCATCCGAAATGAAGGTGTGTCACAGGACAGTCGCATGCTCAGGCTGCCTCAACAGAGAAATAGGTGAAGGAGAGCATTTCTCTTTCCACAACTGACAAGAATTCTGTCTTAACGTGGACTGTTTTTGTCGTTGTTGTTGTTGTTTTTTATTTGAGACGGAATCTCACTGCGACACTCAGGCTGGAGTGCAATGGCACGATCTCAGCTCACTGCAACCTCTGCTTCACTTCCCAGGTTCAAGCAATTCTCCTGCCTCAGCCTCCCAAGTAGCTGGGATTACAGGTGTGCACCACCACATCTGGCTAATTTTTGTATTTTTAGTAGAGATGGGGTTTCACCGCATTGACCAGGCTAGTTTCAAACTCCTGATCTCAAGTGATCTGCCCACCTCAGCCTCCCAAAATACTGGAATTACAGGCGTGAGCCACCGCGCCCTGCCTGTTTTCCTTTGTAGTTTTAAATTTGGTAGTCAGGATTTTATATTTTGCTGCAAATGACATGAGAAAATTCAAAGAATCACATAAAATCACGCTCTCCTCTGCCTGCTGTCACTTGCCATCTATCAGTGGCACCAATCTTCAGCGGTGGCCATAACTAAATAGCCCATGCTCCTCAGCGGGGCCACACACGTGCAATGCAGTTACAATGTGTAACACGAATACACAACATTTACAGAACAAATTTTCCTCTTTTCCAGAAACTATAAACATTGAAAGGAATGCTGGGGCCTCCAAAATCTGCGATTACATTTCTCGTAAATGGCAACTCATTGTCATCCTGCAGACATGGATTAAACCACAGGATGGGGTCTGAACCGGGAACACTTGCAGGTTAACAGCAACAACATCCACTCCAACAGAATCACCCCCGTCACAGTGAGCAATGAGCAAAAACATGGCTCAGAAACAGTTTCCCCAGATGTTCAATAAAGGACATTTAAATGAGACATTTACCATCTGGTTAATAACATAGCATTGAGTGGGACTTGGTAACAATATCCCAATACGTAAGCTTTTAAAATCAGTTCTTTTCCCTGAGCATAAAACTGCTTCTCCATCTGCCCTATGAAAACAGGCGATAAATAAATGTTTGTTCAACCTCATTCCTGTCAAAGTCATTGTTCTTTAGGGGGGAAAAATACATATATATATATATATATATATATATATATATATATATATGTATATATGTGTGTGTGTGTATATATATATGTATATATGTGTGTGTATATATATGTATATATTTGTGTGTGTGTATATATATGTATATATTTGTGTGTGTGTGTGTGTGTATATATATATATGTGTATATATATGTATATATATGTGTATATATATATGTATATATATATGTGTATATATATATGTATATATATATGTGTATATATATATGTATATATATATGTGTGTATATATATGTATATATATATGTGTATATATATATGTATATATATATGTGTATATATATATATGTATATATATATATGTGTATATATATATACGTATATATATACTGTCTCCACTGTGGGTTAAACAAAACTATCTGCAACATGTGCAATGATCGGCCTTTGCCACAGCACATGGGAGACAGGAAGTCAGAGCTGCCAACAAATCCCCACCTTGTTAATTTTATCAGAGCCACGGATAATCTGAAAACAGGAAAGATGCTATAAATGGTGGTTCTGTTTGTGGATCCATCTTGCAGTCGGTTTTACCAGCATCTACCCAGCCAGAGGCCAGGAGAGGGCAGGGCTTGAGATATCTCTAAATTCCTCTTTTCCTTTGCTTTCTAAGTCCTCATCCTGCTGGGCTTGCAGCCTGTCTTGGGGTCCCTTCAGCCTCCCCCCATTCCACCTGTAGGCCAAGTGGTGCTGAGCCTTCCACTATGGGCTGTGGTCACTCTCGGGCCACTACACATCCAAGGTCTGCAGCCTCGAGAGGGTCCTCTACACAGCTCATCCACCCTTCCCGCTCCACACAGGCCCTTGCGCCAGTGGATCAGAGTGGATGAGCAAGGTGACGTGGAACATGCATGTGAAGTGCTGTGAGCAGGGCCCAGCACCCAGCGTGCACACCAGGGATGAGGAGGGGGAAGGGGACTCCTGCAGTCACCCTGAGATGACAGGCACGGACGGTATGGTTTTGGTCAAACAGGGCCTGTGTTCACTCTCTGTGTAAGCACTAGCTATTATTGCAATTATCCACCTCGTCTCCCTCAAATCTCCTGCCCATACCTGCCCCATCCTGCTGTGCATTGAGCATGGACTCCACCTCCTGGGGGAATCAGAAGCCGAGACTGGAGGGGCCCCACACATGCCTGCCGCGGCCTACACTACCTGCTCCCTGTGTGAGGGGTTCCTCCTCCCCCGATGCCCTGCTCTCTCTCCAGTTGCCACCAGCACCCCATGCAGGTCCCCGCAGCCTTGTCTAGGGTAGGATTGGGAGATGGACGGGCACAGGGCCACTCACAGCATGGGAGCTTTGGGCTGTGACTAAGCTTCTGCTGGTGTCTGCTCCCTAAACTGCACAGGGAGGACAAGGGTGGGACCTGCCTGGCGGAGGGAGGGTTCAAGTATCTGGAGGAGCACGTGGCTGCAGTGAATGCTCAATAAACACGAGCTGCCGGCAGCACCATCTCCTCCCTGGGAGCATCTCTGGGTTCTGGCTCGTCCCCCACATCCCTGGCTCAGGGTATTTTATTTCCTCCTCTCCACTGCTCTATGCTATAAGTACCGCGAATTATCTAAGAAACGGTGCAGAGTAGCTCCTCCACTCCTGACTCTGGCTTGGTGCTCCAGATACAATCGGGGCTGAATCATCCACAATTCCTGATCCTGGGGGCGTCCATGTGGCAAAGGAACAGACGGGAAGTGGGTGGGCAGGCATCTAATCTCATGAGGACAAGAGGGGATGTGTGGGACAGTGGGTCCAGAGAGGGCTTCCAAGGGGGAGGTGATCAACTGCAAGGCAAGGAGAAGCAGCAAAACTTTTCTAGGAGGATTCAGCAGCAAATGCACAGAAGCCCGGATGGTAAGGATCCCTGACCACTAAGGGGAAGGGAAGGATAGAGAGGCAAAGGCTGAGTGAGCCCGTGGGAGCAGGGAGAAAGCAGCCCTCTGTGTCTTCAGTGGAGGCTCCGACAGCTGCAGAGTGTCAGGAGGTGGACACAGAGGAGCACCGAAGCCCACCGCAGTGGACTGTGCTGAGTCGTGCTGGAGAGGTGGCTGAAGGGCAGCTGCTGTGTGGCTGGAGGGAAGGCGGCCACACTCCTTGGCTGGACTGGCCAGTCTTGGACAAAAGCACCATAGCCATGGCTATGATGGACCTTGGCCATCTGGAGCCAACCTTAGGGAGGGTGGGAGCACGAGAATGCATGGCCGGGCTCCGTTACTCACCAACCCCAGAGCTCCAAGAGCTTGATCCAACCTAGAAAAATAAAGGGAGTGGCGTGTCTTACTCCCGTGTCGCATGGACACTCTGACCCAGCTCCGCTCCTCTCACCCGATGTTTGTGGTCACCTGTGGTCACTCCACCCCATCCCTGGGTTTCTTCCGTCTCCCAGTGGCTCCCCCAAATCCTGCCAATCCTATGAGGCCAGTTCACCTTGCTTACAAAATCTTCTCAGCCTCTACAGCCACACTGGCTTCTCTAGTCTTTGAGACTGTGGTTCACACCATGTTAACATTAATCCCAAAATGCACCATCCCCATGTCCAGGTATCCAGCATGTGTGTTCTCATTTCTACTGAGAATGTAACTGCAGACGGGGCCTCAGACAGTGTAGGAACTCAAAAAATGTGGGTCTGATTTACAGAGGCCACAGTGTAATGATCCACTGTATACTTTTATGGACAGAAGAGAACCGTCTGCAAAACACTGATAATTCTTTTAAACTGCATTCATTCATTCACACTCTCATTCATTTATTCATTCCACACGTATATTTTACAGTCTATTATGCTCCAGTCATCACATGCAAGATGTTTTTCATAAGAAGATGACTTTTAAACTGAAAAGAAGTATTAAGGATGTTTTGGGGCTTTTTTAAGTGGATGGTATTTTGAAATGCTGTCCTCTGTATCTAATTTCTTAGTACCCTCAGACTATACATCTAAGCCAGCCAAAGTTCTGTGACTGACCAGCATGGCACAGAACATGGCACAGTGTGGGCTGCACAGCTGCCAGCTTGCCACGAAGCAGCTCCCTCTGGGCTGCTTCGTTTGTTTGTTTTGAGACGGAGTCTCACTCTGTCGCCCAGGCTGGAGTGCAGTGGTGCAATCTCGGCTCAGTGCAACTTCCGCCTCCCAGGTTCAAGCAATTCTCCTGCCTCAGCCTCCCGAGCAGCTGGGATTACAGGCTCCTGCCACCATGCCCAGCTAATTTTTGTATTTTTAGTAAAGACGAGGTTTCAACATGTTGGTCAGGCCAGTCTCAAACTCCTGACCTCAGGTGATCCACCCGGCTCGGCTTCCCAAAATGCTGGGATTACAGGAGTGAGCCACCGCACCCAGCCAGAGCTTTGAGGATGTTAAGGGAGGAATCAGGGAAGTCAAGCCCAGAGTTATCTCCATTCTAAAAAGGAAACAGCAGGATTCAGTAAAACCTTAGGAAGTCCTTCCAATAAACAAGCTCCATCCTGTCAAATACAAATCCCCTTCTGAATAAAATATTTCTTCCCCTTGTCCCCCAACCCCACCTCTCCACGTCTTCCTAAACAATTTCCCTCCTCCGCATTTTATGTGAGCATAAAACACCACTGCTGGCCACAGGCCTCCCCATCATGCATGCACCTCCCCACTGGCTTCATATAAATATTTAATATTCTTTGTTTAGGATCTGCCAATTGTGTATCCTACAGTCATTCAGAGTATGTTCTGATTAATATATAGTTTGTCAATAGTGCCTGTGGCAAAGGGTAACTTTGGGTCCTAAAAGATCCAGCCCCTTTCATACACTTAACTTTTATTTTCTACAGTAAACAAAACTTTACTGTAGAAAATACAAAACTGTTTACTGCAGAAAATACAAAAACTGTAGATAAGCAAAGGAAACAATTATCTACAATCCCAATAGTCTAGAGCAAATCAGTGTTAGGGAAACTCTGGAAGACTATTCAACAGAATGCAACTGTCTAAAATGCAGTTCTTTTTTTTTGTTTTGTTTTGTTTTGTTTTTTTGAGACAGAGTCTCGCTCTGTCACCCAGGCTGGAGTGCAGTGGCATAATCTTGGCTCACTGCAACCTCTGCCTCCCAGGTTCAGGCAATTCTCCTGCCTCAGCCTCCTGAGTAGCTGGGACTACAAGCGTGCGCTGCAATGCCCAGCTAATTTTTGTATTTTTAGTAGAGACAGGATTTCGCCATGTTAGCCAGGCTGGTCTTGAACTCCTGACCTCAGGTTATCTGCCGGCATTAGCCTCCCAAAGTGCTGGAATTACAGGCATAAGCCACTTCGCCCAGATGCAAAATGCAGTTCTTACAAAGGATGTCAGTTCATGCCAGTTCATACTACTTAGCGTGCACGCTCCTTTTTTAACCAGGAGTCATAATCCTCTCACAAAATTTTCGTTCATATTTGCTGAATCCTTGGAATAAAGGTCTAAAAGGAGGAACTCTGGGTCCGGATGTATGCCACTTTAAATGGATTTTGCTACAGATTGTCAAATCGCCCTCCAGGACTTTATTCCAATTAACACCCTTGTCAGCTGTGAGCCCTCCGATTTCCTTCTGTTTGCCTCACACTCAGCTCATCCTCCGTGGTCTTTCCAGGCAGATGTAAGAAATGATACCTTATTGTTTTCATTTTCCCTCTTTTTTGTTAAATGCCAGTTTATGTCTGGAGAAGACTTTTCTAAGGCAAATCCATGTAAAGAAGGGGTCAGGTTAAAAATTGACGGAAATGGCAGCGGTTCCTTCATGAGTTTAGGAATACACACGACAGATTGCTTGCCGTATTCCAGGCAGGACCCTCTCCTTGCCCCCAAAACTTAGACATCAGTGTTGAGCTTAGACCAATAGACCAGGGCTGAGTGTTTTCTCTACAAGGCATTTGCAAAGCCATTTATTTCTGTTCCGAAATTGTGAATTGAAAAAGAATACCTTGGCCAGTTCACTGACTGCAGCAGTCTTAATGGGGTGCCCACTCTGTTCCGGGTGCTTTTCTTTTCTTTTTTTTTCTTTTCTCTTTTCTTTTTCTTTTTCTTTTTTCTTTTCTTTTTCATTTTCTTTCATTTCTTTTTCTTTTTTCTTTTCCTTTTTTTCTTTCTCTTTTTCTTCCTTTTTCTTTTTTCTTTTCTTTTTCTTTTTTTTTTCTTTCTTTTTTTTTTTTTTTGAGACAGAATCTCGCACTATTGCCCAGGCTGGAGTACAGTGGCACGATCTCAGCTCGCTGCAACCTCCTTCTCCCAGGTTCAAGCGATTCTCCTGCCTCAGCCTCCCATGTAGGTGGGACTACAGGCACATGCCACCACGCCCGGCTAATTTTTATATTTTTGGTGAAGATGGGGTTCCACCATGTTTACCAGGATGGTCTCAATCTCTTGACCTCGTGATCTGCCCACTTCAGCCTCCCAAAGTGCTGGGGTTACAGGCGTGAGCCACTGTGCCTGTCCCCAGGGGCTTTTCTATCGATTACAATCTAATTGGGGTTGAAGGGTGAGAAGCAAGTAAGCAGATCAACAAAGAGAAAATACAAACACCTAACAGTGAAAAGTACTGGGGTAGTTGGAACTGGGGATGTTTGTTTTCTTGTCAAGCAAAGGGTGGTTTTCAATGAATTTACTGAGCTGATGAGTGAACTCAGTAAATATTTACAGAATATCTACTTATGTGCCAGGGGCAAAAATGAACAAGACTTGGCCTCTTACCTAAAAAGAGTTCTAATTTGAGGTATAGAGAATGAGGAGAAAATAGAAATTGAAGAATTACTTTTGCATGTCTTACTGAACAGTAATTTATGCTTCTTAGGCTGCTCCCTCAGGGCCCCACACTCCCATCCTCTCATGACTCTGTGTGGCAACCAAGGTAGACACGGTCTCCACTTTGCAAAGAAAGATGGGGCTCCTGGGAGGTGAGCCTCGCCCAGGGTCACAGCGTTGGTAAATCACCCAGCTGGTGTGCACACAAGACCTTCTGACGCCAAAGCTCGTGTTCTGGCCATTACCCCCTCCCACTTGGAATGGAGTGAAGAACTGGGAGAAGAAAAGGCATTGTGGAGAGGGAAGGAGAGGTGACGCAGCCATTCGGTTGATTTCACAAACTGAATCTGATATTCAAGACTGTCTGCATAAGGCCAAAACAACCAGTCAATGTATCCAACAGTCTGCCGTGTCCTGGGGAAATAGTCATTAAATCCATGATCTGGTGTTGAGTGCTCAAGCCTGGCTCACACTTGCGTGCTTTGCTTTTTTTTTTCGTTTTCATCTGGCTCTACTGATGCTTGGGGTGACTGGGCTTCAGGTCGGCACGTCTGGGGAGGACCTAACACCACGGCCCGTCTTCTGCACAGGACAAAGATCTGATTTATTAATTATGCTCTTCCCTGAGGGAACAGAAACAAGGGCATTTTAGAAGGCAAAGAACAATCCTGTTGCTAAAATGATGAAGCCCGTGGAGAAGAAGTTGAAGCCAGAGTGTGAGAGAGCAGAAACATGCAGTTTTGCAATCCTGAGCGGGAAGTCCTCACCTCCCCGCGAGCCTCTCAGCCTGATGCCAAATGGATTTTCCTCCAGACATGCTGGGATCGACGTCAGCTTCTGTTTCAAATGCCCCTGAGTGTGCCAAGGCTCTTTTTCTTTCTGTTAGCAAGTTTATCGTGGAGACCACACGTGCTTCTCGTGGGCCCCTAGAGCAGTGCCCTGGAT
Organism: Homo sapiens; assembly: GCF_000001405.40. Lineage (NCBI taxonomy): Eukaryota > Metazoa > Chordata > Mammalia > Primates > Hominidae > Homo > Homo sapiens. The sequence continues at coordinate 236,904,015 of NC_000002.12, read as the reverse complement.
TCCCAGGTCCATCCGAAGTTACCAGTGAAGACGACAGGCAGATAAACAGCAGGTTGCACCTCTTGCTAGCATCTCTCTGTATCTGGTCTTCATAAGAGAGTGGGGATGAGGGACGGAGGGAAGTGGAGCAGAGAAAAAGTCAGGAGGGAGCAGCAGAGCGAAGGGGAGGGGAGAAGAGATGTCCTCCAAAGAGTCGCGGCTTCAGCCCGGGCTTGCCCACCTTTCACATGGGGTAACTCCAGGTTCTGTACACAAGATCTCTATGTTCACCTGTTTCAAGCTTATAGATACTTGAACAGTGTTTGTTTTCTATACCACTTTATCCACAAAGAAGGCCACCCTCAAATTCAGGCTCTCCTCCGAGCAACTATTAAAGGATCCATTTGATGAGGGGGTGACATGTACAATTTATGATTTGTTATCATGTTCAACTAAAGAAATACTATGGCCTTTGCTTTGTTTGAATGAAATTAAGTGAAATCAGCTGGTCCACAGACACTGTGCCAATGGCATCTGAGATGGAAGGGCCACGGGGACCAGGAATGAACCTCAGCCCTCCTGTAACTCTCCCGACAGAAAGAATGGGCTTAGGTGTTCACAGAGCAGGGAGAGTGTGCTCTGAGACAATATTGGGCAGAAAGTACAGAGATTTCTTGTTACCCCATCTCCCTACACACACACACACACACACACACACACACACACACACACACACATTCCCCTGCTATCAAAATCCCCGCCAGAGTGGGACACTTATTACAATCAATGAACCTACATTAACACCTTACTATCACCCCAGTCCACAGTGCACACTGGTGCTCATTCTTGGTGTTGTACATTCTATGAGTTTAGACAAATGTAGGATAGCAGGTGTCCGCCATGATAGTATCATACAGAGTGTTTTCACTGCCGTAAACCTCCTCTGTGCTCCATCTGTTCATCCCTCCTTCCCCACCAACCTTTGCAAACCACTAATCTTTTTCCTGTCTCCATGGTTTCACCTTTGCCAGAATGTCACATAATTGGAATCGCACAGTCTGTAGTCTTTTCAGACTGGCTTCTTTCACTGAGTAACATGCCTCACCTCTAAATGGCTTGAAAGCTCATTTCTTTTTCGTGCTGAATAATATTCCGTTGCCTGATTGTGCCACAGTTTACTTATTGATTCATCTACTGAAGGACGTCTTGGTTGCTTCTGTTGGAAGTTTTTAGGGAGGGGACTGAAATTCTTTAATATGGGCTTGGGTGATCTATTTGTAGTTATCTTCAAACCTCCTCTTAAGACTCTTTCTTACAGTGTTATTCTCCCAATATGTTTAGGATAATTATGAATTCTATCACATATGACCATAATATAATTATATATAATATAGTGTTTTATAAAACATCAGACATAAAATCCCATGTGCACAGTGGTTACTGGCATAAAATCTGCAGAGAGCGGATAAATCCTGGAGGGTACATAGAACCTGAACATGGTCACTTGTGTGAGGTGTAGAATCACAGGGGATGTTTGCCTCTCAAAATTGTTTCCACATTTTCCTGTACACATAATTTCGAACTGACATAAATAAATAAGAGGAATCTCCAGGTCTGAAGGTTGATGGCTACATCTGTAAGGTCTCTATCTAGCCCTGTAACTTATGTAGTGAGAACTTGCCTGGGGTACCAAATAACAAGTACTCACCTCATTTTCTTCACCTAAGAAAATACTATCCCAAAAATTTATGCTGCATATTTGGGAAACAGATACAGGACCCTCCATTTGTACAACTGGTTGAAAACTGCTGACGGGAGAATGTGAATGTCACCATAGCAACCAGCATGGAATGGCCTTCTGATGCCCATGCCTGCTGCTTCCCCTGGGTGCCCAATTCTATTCTGTGGACTGTGCTTATTAAAGAGACGAGCAGATGTTGAAGTTCAAGTGTGATGGGAGGAGCAGAAGCACAGAGTTCAGGAGCCATCTCTCCCTGGAGCCTGATTTTGAACATGCCCATTTGTGTAGACGTCTGTGGTTTCCAAAATGCCCACGTGCACACTCAGTTATGTGACCTTCACACAAATTCATTATGATGCACGGGGACTCCGATTTGTAGAGGAGGAAATTGAGATGACTCAGGAATATTAGGTGCTCTGTTGAGGTTCTCAGAACCAATGAGAAGAGCTTGGGAGGGAGCCCTGGCTTCTGAGAACCAGCTTGCTGCCCCTTCTTGCCTACCTGACTAGCCACACCATCTCCCCCCTTGCGCTCCAAAGAACTGCTACCACCTCACAGGTAGAGCCTGCACACCCAGACGGGCATCTGCTGGAGACTTACCAATGAGGGTGGCTCATTTCGTGTGCAAATTCGTAGATGTAGTGCAAAGCAAAAGACAACACACAGCTAAAGGAAAGCTTATCAATAGTTTTAGTGCAAGGCTAATTGGAATAAATCGTCTATTTCAAGTTGAAAATTCCTTTGAAGTTGAAAATTCCTTTGAAGGATTAATTTTAAGAAACTTATTATGGTATAAAACTTAGTAAACAAATCAGAAGTATACAGCTTGATGAGTCTTCATACAGTGAATACACACATTTACCTACCACGCCGGATCAAAGAGTACAACATTGTTGGCCTCAGAAAAGCCCTTCCCATGCCCTTCTCAGTCACCACTCCCTTCCTCACCCCACAGGAGCTGCTGTCCTGGCTTCTGACATCATAGGGTTTTTTGTTGTTGCTTGGTTTTGGTTTTCTTTGGCCTATTTTAAACTTTGTGCAAACGGAACCTATATTCGTTTTTGTGACTTATTTCTCTTTGTCAGTATTAAGTTTGTGATATTCATTCATGTTGTTGCATAATCAGTGGTTTATCTCTTTTCATTGAGATATGGTTTCCCATTGTGTGTAGGTGTGTGTATGTTTGTGTGTGCTGAAATGTATTCATCTATGCTACTAGCTATATTTGACTTTCAAAATTGCTTCCACATTTTCCTGTACATATAATTTGGAATGGACATAAGTAGATAAGAGGACTCTACATCTCTGAAGTGGATGGCTTTGTCTGTAAGGTCTCTATCTGGCCCTTAACCTACATCATGAGAGCTTGCCAGGGTACCAAATAACAAGTCCTCATCTCATTTTATTCACCTGAGAAAATACTCTCCAGGAACTCTATGTTGTATATTTGGGAAGTAGATACTACAGACAGTGGACATGTAGGTCTCTAGTTGTTAATACTATGAATAGTGCCATGAATAAGCTTGTATGTGCCTAGGGCACATGCGTTCATGTCTAGCTGGGTAGATCGGTGGGGTAGGAGAGCCGGGGCTGTGGTCAACACACCATGCTGAGCCAGTAATCAGGAAAGAGGTGAGGAGACATGGAGCAGGCAAGGGCAGGAGGAGGAGCAGTCGAGGCAAAGGAAAACGTCTTTGTATCTTTGGGTCGGCTCTCCCTGCTCCTACTTTCCCTGCACTTCCATACTGAGTTAAACTCTGCAAGTCACTCCCCATTTAATCAGCACAAACAGCCCCCAAATCTCAGTGGTGTACACAACAGCAGCTTGTTTTTCCCCTCCTGTTACGTGTCCAGCATGGTCAGTAGTGACACTGTCTATCTCAATCTCTCAGGAACCCTGATTGAAGGAGGAGCTACCTTGATCACCATGACAAGGCAGGGTCCACAGCCATGCCCAGCCTACATGGGAGCAGGGAAGTGGAGCCCTGCCATGTGCTCTGGAGAAGGAGAAGGTTTGTTAATAGCTGTAATAACTATCATGTCCCTAACACCTGAGGGCAGAATTAATGAGCTCCAAGAGCATTTTGTACCCATGGCTACTCTAAATACTTCCCGTATTGAATTGCCCTCCTGGAGGTCCCTGACACTAAATTCCTGAGAGCAGAGGTGGAGTATCTATCTGCAACTCTCTAACCACAGGACCCAGCAGAGGCACAGAGCAGGTGCTGAGATGTGCTGAAAAAAGAAACTTTTTTTACCTACTGAAACGTTTCCTTATCTGATATTTTTACAATGTGTATTTATAAGTCAAATAAATTAGTCCTTCCTCTCCTGGTTTTCCTGAAAAAATAGACATCTTTTAGGAAATTACTATGACTCCAGGAATCCCAGAGTAACTACAGAAGACTCATCGCATGTAACTGGACAGATGGCCAGGAGAGTTAGGAAATAAAAATATTATCAGCAGCAAACCTGCTGTCAGCTTGCTAACTGGAGAAAGGTTACGCTGAACAGGTGACCAGGAATGTCTCAGCCTCTTCCCGGGCTTCAGGTCCCTGCACCGTGCTCACTTTATTTCCAGAAACACTCTGAGTGTGCCGTCCTCAGTTACTGGGATAGCGTTTGCGTAACTCTTTATACAAATGTATACTCAACTTTGTATTTTAGTAAACCTTTGTCTTTGCTAAAATACAAAGGCTAAATGTCCATCTTCCTTAAAAAGTATAAGGACATCCTGGAGGTGTTAAGACCTCCATAATTTTCCTTCTTGGTTTACTGTTTTCATAGCCAGAAAGAGCAGATGGGAGCGATTAATGAATTCCATTAACAACGGTAAATTTTTAACAAGGAAACCTCCCTTCCCCTCAATCCACTCCCTTAATCTCCTTATCAAATTAGTACCTTTATTTTCACAACAAAAATGGTATTCCTCCCCGGTAGTTCATTTGTAGTTCAAGCCCTAGTGGGATTCTAATTTACTCCTTACTGCTCGTCAAGAAGAATCTGAACGTCACGTGATGCATTTGCACAGCTACTTATCTGGGCCATATGTGTTCATGGAGATGAAGCTGACAATTGTGTGACCCAACAATGTTTCTGATGCCTTTATTTGTTTGCATATATATATATATATATATATATGAGATATATATATATATAGGAGATATATATATATATATCTCCTACAAAAACATTTTCTTTTCTTCAGTTCTTCCAAATTGCTGTGCAGTACAAAGGCTGGATTCAGAGAGGTGAATTCTAAATTACTTTCGCCATCTGGCACTAGAGTCATTGAAAAGAAACCGGACCAGAAGGAGTCTGATTCTGTTGGCCACAGGTCACACGACCTGAAGCCTGGGCTGCTCAGTCTCCGCAAGCTGGATGGGGCTCCCCAGAGTGGGCAAGGGGTCTGCAGAGGTTGCTGTCTACTCTCTCTCCATATATTTAGCCTTGCATTTTAAAATCACTATCAAAGTAATATATGTACATGTACAAAGACGGGAAAATACAGAAACTATGCCAAACATCCAGAAGTTAGTGCATTTAACATTAGGTATATTTTCTTCTATACATTTATTTTCTCTCTGTCTCTATCTCTCTCTCTCTCTCCCTCCATTCCCTCTATATGCTTGTATATTTAGTCATACACAAAAAATAGGAGATAAACTATAATACTGTGTTGAAAGTCACTTTTTAATCTTAACAATATATCCCATTTTCCTATAAAACTGAATCTTTTTTGAAAAACTTATTTGAACATTTGAGTAGTATTCCATCATGATGTAGTTGGATTATTTAAATACGTTACTATCATTGAGCATACAGAGATTCCCTATATTTTACTTTTACAACTTAAGAAACAACATACATCCTTGTATGTAAACATTTGTGCACATCTCTGATCTTAGCTGAGGATAATTTACTTAAAGTGGAATTATAATTTAGAGGGTCTGACTATTTTCCAGTATTCAGATGTGCTCTAGATAATCTGTACTGCTTTACATTCTGCCAGCAGTAAAGCAGTGTTGACTTCCCCGAACACTCGTCAATAAGAGGCCTTGTCATTTTAATTAAATCTTTGACAATGTAGTTTGTGTAAAATGGTGTTTCTTTGTCGTAATTTGCATTTCTTTGATTGCTAGTATAGGTGAAACTTCTTTTTTTTTTTTTTTTTTTTTATTTATTTTTTTTGAGACGGAGTCTCACTCTGTCGCCCAGGCTGGAGTGCAGTGGCGCCATCTTGGCTCACTGCAAGCTCCGCCTCCCGGGTTCACACCATTCTCCTGCCTCAGCCTCCCGAGTAGCTGGGACTACAGGCGCCCGCCACCACGCCCGGCTAGTTTTTTGTATTTTTAGTAGAGGCGGGGTTTCACTGTGTTAGCCAGGATGGTCTCGATCTCCTGACCTCATCATCCGCCCGCCTCTGCCTCCCAAAGTGCTGGGATTACAGGCGTGAGCCACCGCGCCCGGCCCGAAACTTCTTAATAATTATTTTTTTAATTACAAAGGTAATATATGATACTTGTAAAATTTACAAATATTAAAATCTTTGAACTGGAATATTCAGCTTTTAAGTAAACATTTTCTATTGTCTCACGGTCGGTCCTAAATTAATCAGAGTTTAATACCATGCGGCACCCTCTTTCAGGTATCTTTTACCCCAGAATATATTATCTGAGTTCTTCCTTCTAAATCTGAGTTGATTAAGCCCTTTCCCCCTAAACAGAGACAAATTTCTCCCCAAGAGGAATGCAGGTGCCAGTTGTCAACGTATTGGTTATGTCATTCAACTCTGTTTTCAGTTTCTACTCTGAATATTATTTCTTCTCAAAGGATTGCTGTCACTCACACAGTTGAAATTTCTGTCCTCATCCTGTTCTCCATGTAGACATATTAAGACTTAAATTTTCAGAAGAATTACTGTGTAGTATTTTATAAATATGGCAGAATTTACCCATTTTCCCAGGTATGGACATTTTGGTTTTTTTCTAATATTCGTTTTTATAAATAACGCTTTAATAAAAGTCCTGATATGTGAGATTTTCTGTGGACTATCTCCTGAATTAGTAAAATGTAGCATTATAGGGTATTGCCATCATCAGCTTCACCAGAAGAGACAAACTGTCTTCCAATAAATTGTCCCATTTACACGTCCCCCTCCTCCTTCCCAAACCTCTAAACACAGGGCAGAAGAGTCATCTTTCCTCCACATCTTTACCAACATTGGCCATTGCCCTGTTCTTTCTCCTACAAATCTTAAAGCTTTACTTTTTAACCTAAATATACATGGACCAGCTTCTGAGCCCTCAAAGCCGTATCCTTGGTCTCTGTTTATCTCGTGTGTTGATGTCATCCTGTTCTAATTACTGTAATCTTATAAAGCCGGGATAAATGGTCAGGCAGTCTCCCCAGCCAACATCCTTCTTTAGGACATAGCTTCACTATCGTTAGACCTTTACCCTTTCGTAAGGATTTTATGATAAAGATTAATGTCAAGTTTTATTAACAACCCTGCAGGGTTTTGACTAGAATTGTATGGACTTTATCATAAGTTAAATCAGAGAGACTTGATATTGTTTTAAGGTTGGCTTCCCACTTGTAAATCCAGAACAAATTTCCACTTATTTAGTCATTTTCAAATTGTGTTATAATTTTCTCAATAAAAAATCAGGCTTGCATCATGTTAGATGCATTCCCAGATACTTGTAAGTTTTGCTTTATGGTTGGCAGAAACCTTTATAATTACATTTTCTAATTCATTGTTGCTGGAAATAATATCTGTGTTTCTTTCTGATTCTTCTCTCTGTATATTTTATCTCATTTGGAATTTGTTTAAGGCAGGGATTCTTTTCTTTGACTGATACTTTCTAGAATTTTAATATAATATTTATCAATTAAAACAATGGTAATAGACAACTTTTTTGTTCAAAAAACAAAACAATGCTTCTAATGTTTCACCACCCAAACGAGATGATGTCTAATTTTGTTGAGCCTTTTTAAAATCAAGTTAAGATTATTTGCTTATTGGTTTACTAAGAGTTATTTGATCACATATGAGTATTAAATTTAATTGAATTTTTTTCCTGTATCTACTGAGATGACCATATGTTTTCTTCATAAATCTGTCAACAGAGTGAATTATGTTAATAGATTTTCACATATTAAGTTATCAGTGCTCCTCATTCTTTTTGGTCAAAATGAAATACTTTCTCTTTCTTTCTTTTGTATCTTTTGTTTTCTGTTCAGTGTTTTTTCAGAATGTGATAGTTTCAGAGCTATATAATTTGTCCTTACTTCTCATAGTGACTAATTTTATAAGAACATGGATAGATAGCATTACATTTTCTTTTCAAAACTTCAGGAACAAAATTTTAAAATGAAATAATTCTACCAAAGCTACATCAAAACAGTGGAGGAAAGACTAGATGATTTGATGTTGGTACTACTTCTTCCTTTTGTTTATAAACCCAGGAATTTTAGTTTCTGTATATTAGACAGTATTTTAAAATTTTACTTCCCAATCTTTTCCTTCAAATGATTGACTTCACAGCATTGCATAAGTAGAATTATCGAGTTGTTTACCCTCAGTTCCACATGTCAGTGCTCACCGCCAGCCCTGTCATGATACCTTCCCTTTGTCTGAAGTCTTCATTTGCAGTCATTTCAAATATGGCTTACTAGTTTTTTCAGAAGGGATTCATTGACCTTTTTATTATGATTTTTTGTTGAATTTATACATGAAGAAAAACTTCACTGGGTACAAACATTAGGACTCTCATGTTCTCCTAAAGCTACCGTGAAATTTGCTTCTGCGATAGAGCTGTGTCGAGGACAAGTCTAAGGTCCATGTTGCTCTGCATTTTTCCTCCTTTAGGCCATGAGCCTTTTCTTCTGCCTGAAAGCTTGTAGTATTCTTTCTTAATCCTTAGAGTTAAATATTTCTAGCAAGACATACCTTAGGATTTATTTTTGTTATTAAAATTTTCCAGGAATATGATGTGGCCTTTCAAGCAGCAGATTGAATTCTTTGCTTGAGCATGATTTCTTCTCTGGTCCTTCTGAACGTGCTTGCCCTTCTCTTCCACTTGTTCTGTTCCTGACGTTACAGGCACCCACTGTCTACATGTTAGCTCTCGGTGGCCTGTGTTCTTCTTCTCACATCTTTTTAATTTCATTTATCTCTTTTTTTATTTCTTTACTTTGTGCAAATATTAGCTTCACAGTGAAGAATGTGGGTTTGACAACAGATAAACCAGGGCTCAGTTCTGGCTGTGCACTTACTTTCTCTTTGATCTTGGGTGAGAGGATTAAACTTCAGAGCACAGACGTCCATCTGTATCCTGAGAATTACCTCATCAGACTGTGTTAAAGAAAGAGTCAGATAACGTTGTTATAATAGACCGCTCCATATCAAAGAGTAAGCAATCATTAATAGATTAACTCATGTCATATTATCAATATTCAACTATTTTGTAAACTACGAAATGATGTTTTCCTACGGCTCAACCTAATACATTTTAGTTATTACAGGATTGTTTTTATTATTATTATATCTTAATGCCTGTCCCTTACGCTATTATTCAGCTACTGCTATGCTATGTCTATTCCTTAATATTTTAATGCATTTATTGCTTCCCCGTATTAATGTTTTGGTCCTCATTTTTCCCCTAAATTATGCATTATTGCTATGTTGTTCTATGCTTTTTATAGACCCTTTATTCGTAACCAGACAGTGGTTTTCCTTGGGACCGTCTGATTTGACTGGGCATTTCCCTGATACAACTTGCATTGAAGGCACATGCAGTAACAGCTTATGTCCTACAGCACAGGGTTTCTCAACTGCAGAACCACTGACATTTGGGCCAGATAATTCTTTGTTATGGAGTGTGTCCTGCTCACTATGGGATCTCAGGCCTCTACCTTCTAGATGCCAGTAGGACCTTCCTCCCCTACTAGTAATAATATAGCACAAGACATTTGAAATAGTATTCTACTGCTAAAATTTTATTCTAGATATTCTTGCACTGTGTGCAAAAAAATGGTCATAGTAAATATAATTTTAAAAATAAAATATGAGAAGTAGAAAAGTGAAAAAAACTACATGTTCATAACTAAAGTATTTGTATCCAAAAAACTATGCAACCGTGAAAAACAATAAATTATAAGTAATGACATGAAAAAAAGTTTCCAACTGTTATGCTTCTTCTTGTGTAGATGATACTGCCATTTGTGAAGAACATTCTGGAAGAATACACTTAATCTGGAAATGACAGACTGAGGATCTGGGTGTCTACAATGAGAGAGAAACTTAACTTTTTCTGTATATACCTTGGAATTAATTGAATTTGTTTTTATTATGTGCATTTATTATATGCATAATTCCTTCAAATTAACAAAGTAATTAAAATAAATTAAAAGTCATACTAGAAGAAATGTAAAACATACTAGAACAAAAAAGAATAACCACTGAAGAGGATACTGCCAAGGACATGGTAGATAGGCTTGAAGATTTGTACAAAATGAAAACAGACAAGAACAGGGATAATTATAATAAAAGAATAGAACACACGTTAAAACATTCAAAGATTTTTTCTTAAAGCTTACCTGACATAAAAATAGCCCTGAATCTGTATATGAAATAGACATCATGTTTCAGGAAAAGTCAATGCTGAGAGATCAACAGACATAACCCACTGAAGTTATTTAATTAGATTTCAGGAATAAAGAAAACAAGGATGATAATAGTCACATTATACAGCCTTTACAATGTGCTGCTAGGCAGTTGTTTGTGTGTGTGTGTGTGTGTGTGTGTGTGTGTGTGTGTGTGTAAAATGCAGTTCATATAACAACAAAGAACCTTATGGGAATTGCATAAGTGTCCCTGGCCACAGTAGTGTTCTTCTAAGGGAGATATTCATGGTGGCTTCCTCCTTCCCCACTAGAACACTTCCATGGCTGGAGGCCTACAAGTTTGTCAAGGAAAAGGAAAGCATTACCAATTCTTTTCATGCAATCACATCGCTCTCCAAAAGCAAAGGCAACATGTAGACACTCTCAAACACAAGTAGACTTAGAAGCTGCAGCATCCATGAGCTGCTGGTGCAAAGCCCTGCTAACCAAATGATGAATCCAAATAAGCAACTCAAGAACGGGAAAGTCATGAAATATTAACTCTTGGCAAACACCGCATATATTTAACGGAGAGTCAGGACGAGGCTGTTCTGGGAATTTTTGCTGCAGAACGCATCGTAGAGATTATACAACTTTAAAATGAACCAGTAATAATGCAGCTACTAAAACCTGGTGGGTAGGTGAGACCCAGGGGGATGGAGGGTGGGTGCACCCATTTCATCATCTTTCGTAGCAGCAAATTAACAGGCACTGTGACAAGTTCCAACATGCAACTGAAACAGTGCTGTCATTCTAACCTATTCATTGTTTATTCTACTTCCCCCCGCCTTTCTAATGTTCTAGGGGTCTTTTAGAATCCAATTGGTTTTCTCATAGTGAGGGAGCAAAGAAGCATTTGTTTGAAATACAGCAGTTCCTTAAAATTAAATTTGATGCATTTTTGACAAATACTTATCATATGATCCAGTTTTTATAAAATTACTTCTATCCATCTGTAAGTATATTGGTCTATCTATCATGACATTTCTAAAATTATGCTCAACCAATTTTATTTTTTTAAAGTAATCGTTTGGATCATCTATATGAAGATGTATATCACTTTGTTTTCAAAACACTGAAGTCATTTCCCCCAAACTTAGTAAAGTGAAAACTCCTTCCCGCTCCCAATCTCCCCAGCAAAGATTTAATAATTATCATCATTTTCCCATCTATTCTCCTAGAAAAATGTTAATCTGCAGCTGTTCTCTGTACACAACGGTATCACACTCTACATACTGCTCTGTAACTTGCTTTCCCCCCAAAGACTGAAACTTGTCAGTTTTCCAGGACTTCCCCTTTGCCTTAACATGTCAGCTTCATTATGCGGAGAGCACTGGCGTCCCACAGGTATTTCAGTCATTTCTGTCCCGTGTATTCAGCTCAACAATCCTATCTATTCATGCTCCGGTGCAAAGTGCTCTGACTTTCTGGAATAACTCAACATTTTAATAACCGGGCAGCACAGGCCTATATTTAGACCATAGACTAAATATATAGTCTAATTTAGGGTAATTTATTTCTTTACACAGTTGAGCCTCCCCTTCCGAGGACAAGAAGTTATCTCATTTACTTACAGAAAATACTCCTCATAGGGTTTATGTCTCTCAGCAGAATACAATATTTCCCTCACATTGGTCCTGCAGTTGTTTTATAAAGTTTATTACTGGCTATTCAAATGTTATTGCCATTCAGATGGGTATGCTCCTTCTGTTACACTTTCTAAATGTTTATTTTTTCAGATAAAGGAAAGCTATTGATTTTGCATAGTAATTTTAAGACCACCTAACTGAATTCTCCTATTGATTCTAATAATGTTTTCGCTTGATTTACTTTGTGTTTCTAGACACACACTAATGCCATCTTCAAATGATCTCTTATCTAATTGCATTGGCTGGTATTTCCAAAACCATATTAAATAACAACAGTGAACATAGGCATCCTTTTCATTGTCTTGACTTTAATTTGAATGGCTTTATTGTGTCACAGTGAAGCATGACAATGATTTTTGTTTTGAGATTTTTTAAGAACCACATTAGAGAACTGCAACAGAATCTCATATCACATGGATTGTTTGTTTAGTGCATGTGTAGGTGAAATTAATTAAGATAGGTTGGATTTTAGCCAAGGAGCTCTTTGGCATTTATTAATTGATCATATTATCTTCCTCTTTTGACTTATTCAATGGATGTTGAATTAATTAATAGATTCAGATGCCTAGTTGGTTGTGGTTTATGTGCTTGCTTTTATATTCTTGCAGAGGGAAGTCTGTGCCTGTCCAGGGTTGGGCAGAGATGGATTCTGAAGTTGTCGTAGATCTCAGACTAGTTCTCTGAAGGTCAGATAGAGGAAAGGGAAGAAATTTTAAATTGCTTGTAGTTTTTCTCTGCCAGCTTGTTACTGTGCAGAGGGGTGTTCAGGATGTGGGGGCAAGGAAGCTGGGGGCCACCTGGGGGCTGTGCCTCTGTGTATTTTGGCAGCCATAGCCCCCCTGTTTGTTTATGTGTTTGTTTGTTTGTTTGGCTTGTAGGCCAAGGCCCTCAAGTGAAATTGGCTCAGAGGAGTCTCTACATGGTGTGGCCCCACTCTTCTTTCCATCCTTGATCACCAGGTTAGATGCTGGCACGGAGACCTTTCTCTGCCCATCTGTATTAGTCCGTTCTCACATTGCCAGTAAAGACATATCTGAGACTGGGTAATTTATAAAGAAAGTTTAACTGACTCACAGTTCTGCAGGGCTGGGCAGGCCTCAGGAAACTTATAATCATGGAGGAAGGGGAAGCAAACACATCCTTCTTCACATAGCGGCAGCAAGGAAAAGTGCTGAGCAAAAGGGGAAAAGTCCCTTATAAAACCATCAGATCTCGTGAGAACTCACTCACTATCACCAGAACAGCATGGAGGTAACCACCCCCGTGATTCAATTACCTCCCACCGTGTTGCTCCCACAGCACATGGGGATTACGAGAACTACAGTTCAAGATGAGATTTGGGTGGGACACAGCCAAACCATATCACTGTCTTCCTCTGGTTAAGTGGCTCCTGTGGGGAAGTCACGTGGGGGAGTATCTGCTTCCTTTGCCCCATCCCCTTCTGCACCTCATCTGGCAGAGATTCATCGGGGTTGGCCCTGGGGCACTCTCCACTGTTGGCAAGGCCAGGGTGCTTTCCTCCAAGTTTGTGTCTCCGTAGCCACTCAGTGACCATCTTCAAGAGAAGGGAGTAGACAAGGAATAGTGTTTGCTGAGAAGATTCCTAGTTGTTTTAAAAAGTGCATGTGCTGGTGTGCACGCGTACACACACACACACACACACACATATACAGTACACTATAAATTCGTATACAAAACCTTCTTGGCCAAAGTTAGAAACGTCGGAGCCTAAGTTAGCACAGAGACCCAGAAGAAACCCAAAGCCAGCACTGTGAGGCGCAGGAGCCCGTAGGGTAGAAAGCTACATTCCGCCACTCCCGAGAAAGACGACTGGGCCTGGGCAGGCGAAGGTGACTGTGGCCCTTTCTCTCAAGCCAGGGAGCCAGCTCCAGGGGCCCTACAGCCTGACCTGCGCCCCTCCAGCTGGGGCCCACTGCTCCCCATCCCGAGTCCTGCTCAGAGACAGAATCTTCATTTGTCCTCTATTTCATTATTCGGGGTCAGACTCTGGGTCTTCCAAGCTGACAGCAGGGAACCTGATAAGCGAATCTTCGCTAATAAGAGAAGCTCCGGCTAATTTGGCCTAAATTCCCCATATCCCTGGCACCCTGCTAAGGGAAACAGTCACATCAAAAGCAGCCAAGATCATGCCTTCTTTTTCTGTGTTTTGTTGTTATTGTTGTTTTCAAAAACACTTTCACGCAAGCTATTGTCATTTATCTTCATATGTGAGCATGGTCGAAATGATGGCTCCAATTTTCCAGATAAAGCTGAAGCTGCCAAGAGCCCAGGATCTGGTTCCCAATCTCTGCACTCCTGGACAGCTACGCCGGGTTATCCAGGGGCCCCCAGGTCTTTCTAACCTAATCTGCTCAGGAGGAGAAGCAACCCAGGCTGTTCCACATGCATCTTAAAATTTTAAATATTTAAACGTATCCCTTCAGACTAGCTTTCGTGACACCAAGGTGGAAATGAGTAACAGACATCTTTCCAGAGAAAAGACCACTCTCTCCTTCTGTGGCGTGGCTTTCAGGAAATGGGAGGGGAGTGCGAGGAAATCAGATCTAAAGGAACACCGAGAGTCCATAAAGAATAATTACAACCATGAGCCACGGGGAAGAGGAAATGGACTCCGGAGTCTGATAAATAGGATTTTATTAACTTATTAACCTCGCTGGCCTATCTAGGAAGCTAAAAGCGAGACCTTTCAGCCCAGCAGTGACCAGTGCACACTGGGAACCGACAAGCAGATGGAACACACAGGGCCTTGTTTAGACAGAGGCGGAAAAAGCAGCCCAGCAGTGTGGGCACTACATGTCTTTATTCCTAGGGGAATGTTTGCTGGAAGGGAAATTATCTTGAAATATGAAGCTGGTGATATTTCATCCATAGTCATACTAGAGATAAAAGATCTGATGCTTTAAAAAAAAAGTAGAGAGAGTAACATGAAGTGAAAAGTATTTCTTCCTTTCATGGGAAGATTAACTCACGTTGGGGGAATATAATTTTGAACCTGGAAATTGGCGATGTCTGGCTATCTATGTCCCAGGCGGCCATTGAGGCTCAGGAGGAGGCAGGGACCACATGGTGCGTTTCTAGACAAGCAACCGCCCAGCCGTCCCCTCGCCATAAACCCAGCCCGTTATTTGCAGCAGGCCACACAGACGCAGGGGAACAGGGCCTCTGCTTCTCTCTCAAGGACTGGAGTGGGGCTGTAATTCTTTGAAATCCAACAGCCCATTTAGTCATTTCATTTTTGCTGATCCAGCAGGCGGAATGGAGGCCCAGGAGTGAGCCTGGGTCTCTGGCTGCAGAGAGAGGAGTTCCAGCAGCTCCAGGCTCAGGTGCGTTTGCGCTGTGGCCCCCACAAACGGGGGCCCGCTGCCCCACATACTGAGTCTCTCTCAAGCTTCCTGAAATGACCGTGTGGGTTGTCTGGGCTGCAAACCTCCCAGTGACTACTCATCTCTCAGAGTAAATTCAAAGTCCTTGCAATGCCTCCATGCCCACATCCTCAGACCCTTCTCACCTTGTGGTTCCTCCCACTCCACGGCACGCAAGGCCCTCGCTGGTGGCAGGGCCTGTGGGCAGAATTCTCTTCTCCCAGGGGAGCACCTGGGGAATCCCCTCATTACCTCCCAGTCTTTGCTCCATTCCCTTTGCACCAAGGCCCACCAGGTCGGCTGTACTGGTCTGATGCTTCACTCAAGGCTCTATTCCTGTTTCCTTGGCACATGTCACCTTTTGGCTCATGAAGATGGACTGACACCTCCTCGATGGGGTATGTGCATTCCTTGTTTCCTCATAGCACATAAGTGCCGTGAGGACTGGGGCCTTGTCTGCATCTCACTCGTCTATTCCCAGCACCTAGAAGAACCATGGGCACACAGGGAAACAGGCAGCGAGTGTGTTTCCATCCAAAACAGCATCTCCAGTGTGTTTTTCTCTCTCAGCCCTTCCTTTCCAGAGTGGGAGAGAGGCCAGGACAGGCAGTCTATGCGCAAAAAAGTCCTTTAAATAAGGAAGGTAAAGATCCGGTTTTACGGCACTACCCCTACAGGAATTCCAGGCTTTCATAGAAACAAGTCCACATCCCTGTGCTGAAGTCTGCCGAAAGGAGGCCTCTCAACAGTGGGTGATAGTCCACAGTTTACAAGCGCTGGCTCCAGGCCTGACCAGAGAGGACCCCGAGCCGTGTTCCCCCTGCCTTCACTCTGCATTTTCTGGTTCAATTCAGGTCATAGCAGACTGTGGCTGTTATTCTAGCATGGTTACTAGCATATAAATATTTGTCAAGTGTTTCATTCAAATGCCTCTTCCAGGAAAAGAGGGTGGAGGGCCAGCCACGTGCCATTGGATGTTAAGGAAAGGTTGTTCCAGCAAATAAAACATGTGGCCTGAGACTTATGTACGAGGATGTTCAATACAATCTTACTTATAACAGTGAGAAAAGTACAAGCAACTTAAATAACCAATGGCAGAAGCATGGCCAAATAATTTATGGTACAACCATAATACAGTGTATTATGAACCTATAAAAATTATATTCTCATGGAATATTAAAGGTCATGGGGAAAGTCTATGAAAATGCAAAAGAAAAATATTAAAATATTCTCAGAAGCTATATCTGAATTGTATGTTTATAGGTAATTTTATTTTCATTTTTATACTTTTCTATTTTTAATGTTTTTTATAAGACTCATATATTACTTTTATTCTCTGGGGAAATAATGAATGCTGTCTTAAAATAAAGTGAACACAGTCTTGAGTAATAAGCTATGATGGATTATCCACACTACTTTGTTGAATTCAATATTTGGGAACAATATAAGCAAGTAACCAGCAGTGTCCTGTGCACCAACCTGGTTGGAAACTGCCCAGGTCTTATACACAATGTCACTGTGTCCTTGGGCTGAGGGGAAGCTCCCTGAACTTTGGTGGGTGATGATTCGGAAGAGGGTGAACTTCCCTTCTTAGTAGAAGAAGGTGCCCTAGGCCCTGGATGGGGCCTCAAGACCAGCCTTTTCCTCGGCTGTTCCTTGTATTAGGTTGGTGCAAAAGTAATTGCACTAAAATGCATTAAAAAATGGCAAAACCCGCAATTACTTTTGCACCAACCTAATACCTTAGAGACCCAGAATTCTCTCCCTCGCCATGTCCTAACATTCTCTCAAGCTTCTTTCCTCCTGCGTTGTCACGAGACCAAATGGAAATCTGGAAGAGGTGAGAGTTTGTCTTCAGAGCTTGGTGATAAAGTGGAACCAATGGCATCGCACTTTCTGGCTCCGAGTTTGCTTTCAGCCAGCAAAATTCCTGCCGACAGAACCCTCTGTGGCTCCAGCAAACATAAACAATATCTCTAAGAAACAACTGTTTGATTAATGCAGCCAATTCCAGCAAACAATTTCAAAATTCCATGGAAAAACAAAAGCCAGTAGAAAGGCCAAGCCAGATGCTGGACCTGGGGACACAGCAGAGGCGTCCCGGCTGCCATTCTGCCCACCATGACCTGTGGACACCACCAGCCACAGTCAGTGCAAACAGGTAGACTGTTCAGCTCAGTCGGTGAAGACTCCATTTCCTCAATTCGTTTTATTTATTGCTTTGGAAAACACTCATTGGCCAGGAAAATGGGCGTGTCCAGTAATGATTAAGCTCTGCAGCATAAAATAGAACCCATGCGCCTTACAGATTTATTACAGATTTATGGAAATGATGAGAGAGCTCCATGTACTTGAGCTCCAAGTGAGGGCAACCTGAACCAGCAGTCGCCACCTGCCCCTGCAGTACTGCCTTCTCTTCACCAACAGGCCTGGGCTTTCCTCCATGACTCCAGCACCACCCTAGGCATGGGAGGAGCATATAAGGAGATGGGGTTCCTGTTCACAGACCATCCCAATGACCTGATACAGAGGAGAAGCTATTTCACCGGCTGGCCATATCCAGTTAAGAAATGTCATAATCAAACGTCAGACTTGACATTGGTTTGCTTATTTTTATATTTATTGAACAAATATTTATTAAGCATCTTCTCTGTTAGGCTTATTTACACAAGAAGGTGTAAAACAGTACAAGTCAGTGGAGATGGTAAGAGGCAAAAACAAGATTATAAAGGGGAGAGCATGAAGAGGCTACTCCCTGTCAGTGGGAACCCGTGGCCGTGTCCAGGCACAGCCACTGCGGAGAGGCTGACAGTCCATCCTACCAGGTGGAGTCTGCTACTCATGCACACTTACTGATTGTTTTGGAAAACGTTCATTAGCCAGGAAGTGGGAGTGCCCATGAGTGTTAAGCTTCAGAAAGGCCATCTCAGAAGAGATGGTCAAAGCAAGCTTATACCATGGGTGAAGAGGGTGGATGGTGTTTCAAGCATGGCTGGAAGGCTGGAAAGCACAGTACTTTTGGTGAACCTCAAAGTCTACTGAGGCCCAGGCATAGGATACCTGGAGGAGAATAGAATAGGTCAATGGGCTGGATGTGCTGCTGAGCTTTTCTCAAAAATTCTTAAATAATTTGCCTTCTTTCCATCTGCACTGGCTTCGTTCTGGCCCTCATCAATTCTCTTCAGGACAATTTTAGCAGTCTTGCTCACCTCTCTACCCGAATCTCTGTCCTCCGTACATGCTCCACACAGGACAAGAGTAGCTTCTTCCTAATGTGGAGGGTGACCCCCTGTCCTAGTTGGCTTGGGACAGTTGCACCAGCTGTCCCCACAAGCAAGGACAGGCAGGTCCTATCCGTGGTAGTGGTGGATGTCATCTCTACTGACAGACCCACATCTTCCCTTGGGGTGGATACAAAACTCCACGGGACAACTCTGTCTTTGGGGTAAACCCATCTTGACACTGCCCTCCAGCCCTATGACGGGGGCCAGAGACTACGTAGAGACAGGTCATAAATGAAATGTGTCTCCACGTGAATTATTAGAACTCACACAGCAGCCTTCCCCAGGAGCATCTAGTAGCAGAACTGTGACCTGTGATGGCATGTGCCACCTGCCTTAGTGCCAGCAGCCAACACTGGATGGGCCTGGGCTCTGCTTCCTCTGTAGGACCCCCTCCCTGAGGGTCCAGCAGCAAAAGCCAACAGCAGCTCCTGGCCTGCCTCTCACCACACTCCCTTTCAGCCACTCTACCCTTCAGGACAGGGATGCAGAGGCATCTAGGACACAGGCCTCACAGAGGGGACCTAGGAGACCAGAGTCTGCACTCTATCGGGCTGTTCTCCACAATTTCATCAGGTCAGGCCAAGACCCTGAGCCAAAAGCACAGGCTTCCAGGTTCCACTGTTTGAAACTGAAAATAGCCCTGCATTAAGTATTGTTTAATGAAAAAAACAAGAACTACTAAATGAAACCTTAAAAAATTAAAACAAAAAAGATAAATATGGTTTCTTTATGAAACATTTCTCAAGCCTTTAATATTCTAGGGTGCATTATGACTCTCCAAGAAGATCCAGCATGCAACAGTTCCATACTTACTCCACCACGAGCCCTCTTCTTACAGAGCATCTACATAGACTTCTCTTTTGCGGAGTTCACATTGGGGAAAACTGGAGTAAATTATTAGATAAGATGAGGACAAAGACATCAGGAGGACACCTAAGCCCAAAATGTTTTTCATAAGTCTGGAAACATTGGAAATAATCTTAACGCTCTCTAGAAAAATACATGAGGTTATATTAAAATGCCACTCCAGATGCTAGTCAGGAAGCCTATAAAGTACATAACGAAGATAAAAGATTAGATCAGTTTTTTTAAAAAGGTGCAAAATTGTATAAATGACTATTATATCTACATATAAAAATTAAATATAGCTTCTGACTATGAGGGACTAAAATAGCTGAGACTTGTTCTGTTTTAAACAAGCAAAAAGTTGAAGTATGAAACAACCAATTTTGGACACCAGAAAATAGGAAGTGCAAAAACTTTGGTCCCTAAGCAAAAGGAAGCAAACAAGATGAGTCCAAGGTCTCCTCAGCTATTTCTAGAAGCAACTTCCAGACCTTAGTACAGGGAGAATAATGCAAAACAGCAAGTCCATATTGTTGAGTTGAGGAGATGGAAATCACAGTTTGGGGAAACTGAAGGCTTTTTACAGCAGAACACCGAAGAAGAGGAAGCTAAATCTTCACAGGTGTGTGGATGCCTTTGAGGATCTGGATGAGTAAGAGTCTGCACATACATAGAGTAAATTTCCCTGAGGTTAGATGAAAGCTTCCAGGTGCAGAAAAGGTACGAAGAAGCCCTGTGTCAAACAATCCCCAGAATTACCCAGACAGGGTCCAAAAGCCTTTCACTTGCCACCAGCCAGAGCGGAGGAAATTTACTGAATACACAGAGTCTTCATTAGAGCTTCCAAAAAGGTCATGCCATAGGAGTTGGGCTAAACTAACCCTAAAAGAACCCCCCAAATGATTA